>NC_000023.11:72765572-73068602 GCF_000001405.40 Homo sapiens | reverse complement strand
CCCAGACGGGGCGGCTGGGCAGAGGCGCTCCTCACCTCCCAGACGGGGAGGCCGGGCAGAGGCGCTCCTCACTTCCCAGATGGGGTGGTTGGGCAGAGGCGCTCCTGACTTCCCATTTGGGGCAACCGGGCAGAGGCACTCCTCACTTCCTCCCAGACTGGGCAGCCAGGCAGAGGTGCTCCTCACTTCCCAGATGGGATGGCTGGGCAGAGGCACTCCTCACTTCCTCCCAGACTGGGCAGCCAGGCAGAGGCGCTCCTCACTTCCCAGATGGGATGGCCGGGCAGAGGCGCTCCTCACATCCCAGACGGGGCGGTTGGGCAGAGGTGCTCTTCACCTCCCAGATGATGGGCGGTTGGGCAGAGATGCTCCCCACTTCATAGACGGAGTGGAGGCCGGGCAGAGGCACTCCTCACTTCCCAGATGGGGCGGCCAGGCAGAGGGGCTCCTCACATCCCAGACGATGGGCAGCCAGGCAGAGACGCTCCTCACTTCCTAGACAGGGTGGCGGCTGGGCAGAGGTGCTCCTCACTTCCCAGAGGGGGCGGCCAGGCAGAGGCGCTCCTCACTTCTCATTCGGGGCAGCCAGGCAGAGGTGCTCCTCACTTCCTCCCAGACGGGGCGGCCGGGCAGAGGCGCTCCTCACTTCCCAGATGGGGCAGCCAGGCAGAGGGGCTCCTCACAACCCAGATGATGGGCGGCCAGGCAGAGACGCTCCTCACTTCCTAGATGGGGTGGTGGCCAGGCAGAGGCACTCCTCACTTCCCAGACGGGGCGGCTGGGCAGTGGGGCTCCTCACAACCCAGACGATGGGCAGCCAGGCAGAGATGCTGCTCACTTCCTAGATGGGGTGGCAGATGGGCAGAGGCTGTAATCTTAGCACTTTGGGAGGCCAAGGCAGGCGGCTGGGAGGTGGAGGTTGTAGTGAGCCGAGATCACGCCACTGCACTCCAGCCTGGGCAACATTGAGCATTGAGTGAGTGAGACTCCGTCTGCAATCCCAGCACCTCAGGAGGCCGAGGCGGGCAGATCACCTGAGGCGAGGAGCTGGAGACCAGCCCCGTCAACACGACGAAACCTCGTCTCCACCAAAAATACAAAAACCAGTCAGGAGTGGCGGTGCATACCTGGAATCCCAGGCACTCAGCAGGCCGAGGCAGGAGAATCACCGGAGCCCGAGGCAGGGAGGTTGCAGCGAGCCGAGATCATGGCAGTACAGTCCAGGCTCCGCAAGAGAGGGAGACCGTAGAAAGAGGGAGAGGGAGAGGGAGAGGGAGAGGGAGAGGGAGCGGGAGCGGGAGGGGGAGAGGGAGCGGTATTAACTTTTCTGTAAGTGATTGGTAGCATTAACCTATGAAGCCATCTGGGTCTGGGCTTTTCTTAGAAGAGAGTTTTAAAGATTTTGTGTACTAATACAACCTCTTTATTTATTGTAGATCCATTCAGATTTTAGGTTATGTTTTGAGTCAATCTCAGTAGTTTGTGGCTTTGAACGAGTTATTCCATTTCATGTAAGTGATCTAATACATTGGCATACTATTGTTCATAGCTTTCCCTTACAGTCCTTTTCATGTTTGTAAAGTTACTTTCTATATGCTTTTCTTCATTCCTAATTTTATTAATTTGATTCTTCTCACTTTTTTCTTGGTCATTTTAGCTAAATGTTTGTCAATATTGTTGATCTCTTCAAACAACCAATTTTAGGGTTTATTGATTTTTCTCTTTGTTTTGCTGCTATTTCATTAATATCTTAATATCTTCTGTAATCTTTTATTATTTCCTTTCTTCTACTTGATTTAACATTAGTTTGCTCCTCTTTTTCTAGTTTATTAAGTGGAAGTTCAAGTTATTACATTAGGATCTTCTATCTTAATATAGGCATTTACAGCTATCAGTTTCCCTCTAAGAACTGCTTTAGCTGCGTCCCATGTTTGGAGTAATGTATTTTCCTTATCATTCATCTCAAAATATCTTATAATTTCCCTTGTGATTTTTGCTTTGACTCAGTGGGTTTTTATCAGTATATTGTTCAATTTTCATATATTTATGAAAATTCCAAATTTCCCTAGGCTATTGATTTCTATTTTTATTTAATCTTATTTGGAGTATATACACTGTGTAATTTCAACTATGTTAATTTGTGTGGTTTGTTTAATGCTCTAAAATATGGTCTACCTTGGAGAATGTTCCATGTGCAGTTGAAAAATATGTTTGTTCTCCTATTAGGTGGGATGTTCCCTAGATGTCTGTTTGGTCTAGTTGTTTTATAGTGCATTTCAAGTTTTCTATTTCACTGTTGATCTCTGCCTGGTAGTTGTGCCTATCCATTACAGAAAATGATGCATTGAAGTTGCCCGCTATTGTTGTTGAATTTTATATCTCTCCCTTTAATTTATCTTAGTTTTCGCTTTATTTGTTTTAAGCCTGTGTTGTTAGATGCATGTATTATAATTTTATTTCTTCCTGAGGTAGTAAAACATATTTCATTACAATATCTCCCCTTATCACAGCAATATTTTTACTTTAAGTCAATTTTGCATATTAGTATAGCCACTGCATACTACTTATGCTTTCTTTAAATTTATTTATATCTTTCAATCTAAAGTGTGACTCCTGTAGAAAATATATAACTGTATTTTGCTTTTTAAAATCTCATTTCATTATCTCTGCCTTTTGATTACATTGTTTAATCTATTCAAACTTAATTTTATTATTGAAAGAATTGGATTTACACCTGCCATTTTAATGATTTATTTTCTTTAATTTTTTTATTTTTTATTATTTTATTTTATTTTATTATTATTATACTTTAAATATTAGGGTACATGTGCACAATGTTACATATGTATACATGTGCCATGATGGTGTGCTGCACCCATTAACTCGTCATTTAGCATTAGGTATATCTCCTAAAGCTATCCCTCCCCCCTCCCCCCACCCCACAACTGTCCCCAGAGTGTGATGTTCCCCTTCCTGTGTCCATGTGTTCTCATTGTTCAATTCCCACCTATGAGTGAGAATATGCAGTGTTTGGTTTATTGTTCTTGCAATAGTTTACTGAGAATTATGATTTCCAGTTTCATCCATGTCCCTACAAAGGACATGAACTCATCATTTATTATGGCTGCATAGTATTCCATGGTGTATATGTGCCATATTTTCTTAATCTAGTCTATCATTGTTGGACATTTGGGTTGGTTCCAAATCTTTGCTATTGTGAATAGTGTCGCAATAAACATACGTGTGCATGTGTCTTTATAGCAGCCTGATTTATAGTTCTTTGGGTAAATACCCAGCAATGGGATGGCTGGGTCAAATGGTATTTCTAGTTCTAGATCCCTGAGGAATCGCCACATTGACTTCCACAATGGTTGAACTAGTTTACAGTCCCACCAACAGTGTAAAAGTGTTCCTATTTCTCCACATTCTCTCCAGTACCTGTTGTTTCCTGACTTTTTAATGATTGCCATTCTAACTGGTGTGAGAAGGTATGTCACTGTGGTTTTGATTTCCATTTTTCTGATGGCCAGTGATGGTGAGCATTTTTTCATGTGTTTTTTGGCTGCATAAATGTCTTCTTTTGAGAAGTGTCTCTTCATGACCATTGCCCACTTTTTGATGGGGTTGTTTGTTTTTTTCTTGTAAATTTGTTTGAGTTCATTGTAGATTCTGGATATTAGCCCTTTGTCAGATGAGTAGGTTGCGAAAATTTTCCCCCATCTTGTAGGTTGCCTGTTCACTCTGATGGTAGTTTCTTTTGCTGTGCAGAAGCTCTTTAGTTTAACTAGATCCCATTTGTCAATTTTGAGTTTTGTTGCCATTGCTTTTGGTGCTTTAGACATGAAGTCCTTGCCCATGCCTATGTCCTGAATGGTAATGCCTAGGTTTTCTTCTAGGGTTTTTATGGTTTTAGGTCTAAAGTTTAAGTCTTTAATCCATCTTGAATTGATTTTGGTATAAGCTATAAGGAAGGGATCCAGTTTCAGCTTTCTACATATGGCTAGCCAGTTTTCCCAGCATCATTTATTAAATAGGGAATCCTTTCCCCATTGCTTGTTTTTCTCAGGTTTGTCAAAGATCAGATAGTTGTAGATATGTGGTGTTATTTCTGAGGGCTCTGTTCTATTCCATTGATCTATATCTCTGTTTTGGTACCAGTACCATGCTGTTTGGGTTACTGTAGTCTTGTAGTATAGTTTGAAGTCAGGTAGTGTGATGCCTCCAGCTTTGTTCTTTTGGCTTAGGATTGACTTGGCGATGCAGGCTCTTTTTTGGTTCCATATGAACTTTAAAGTAGTTTTTTCCAATTCTGTGAAGAAAGTCATTGGTAGCTTGATGGGGATGGCATTGAATCTATAAATTACCTTGGGCAGTATGGCCATTTTCATGATATTGATTCTTCCTACCCATGAGCATGGAATGTTCTTCCATTTGTTTGTACCCTCTTTTATTTCATTGAGCAGTGGTTTGTAGTTCTCCTTGAAGAGGTCCTTCACATCCCTTGTAAGTTGGATTCCTAGGTATTTTATTCTCTTTGAAGCAATTGTGATTGGGAGTTCACTCATGATTTGGCTCTCTGTCTGTCTGTTATTGGTGTATAAGAATGCTTGTGGGTTTTGTACATTGATTTTGTATCCTGAGACTTTGCTGAAGTTGCTTATCAGCTTAAGGAGATTTTGGGCTGAGACAATGGGGTTTTCTAGATATACAGTCATGTCATCTGCAAACAGGGACAATTTGACTTCCTCTTTTCCTAATTGAATACCCTTTATTTCCTTCTCTGGCCTGATAGCCCTGGCCAGAACTTCCAACACTATGTTGAATAGGAGTGGTGAGAGAGGGCATCCCCGTCTTGTTCCAGTTTTCAAAGGGAATGCTTCCAGTTTTTGCCCATTCAGTATGATATTGGCTGTGAGTTTGTCATAGATAGCTCTTATTATTTTGAGATACATCCCATCAATACCTAATTTATTGAGAATTTTTAGCATGAAGCATTGTTGAATTTTGTCAAAGGCCTTTTCTGCACCTATTGAGATAATCATGTGGTTTTTGTCTTTGGTTCTGTTTATATGCTGGATTACATTTATTGATTTGTGTATATTGAACCAGCCTTGCATCCCAGGGATGAAGCCCACTTGATCATGGTGGGTAAGCTTTTTGTTGTGCTGCTGGATTCAGTTTGCCAGTATTTTACTGAGGATTTTTGCATCAATGTTCATCAAGGATATTGGTCTAAAATTCTCTTTTTTGGTTGTGTCTCTGCCCGGCTTTGGTATCAGGATGATGCTGGCCTCATAAAATGAGTTAGGGAGGATTCCCTCTTTTTCTATTGATTGGAATAGTTTCAGAAGGAATGGTACCAGTTCCTCCTTGTACCTCTGGTAGAATTCGGCTGTGAATCCATCTGGTCCTGGACTCTTTTTGGTTGGTAAGCTATTGATTATTGCCACAATTTCAGAGCCTCTTATTGGTCTATTCAGAGATTCAACTTCTTCCTGCTTTAGTCTTGGGAGGGTGTATGTGTCCAGGATTTTATCCACTTTTTCTAGATTTTCTAATTTATTTGCATAGAGGTGTTTGTAGTATTCTCTGATGGCAGTTTGTATTTCTGTGGGATCGGTGGTGATATCCCCTTTATCATTTTTTATTGCATCTATTTGATTCTTCTCTCTTTTCTTCTTTATTAGTATTGTTAGCAGTCTATCAATTTTGTTGATCCTTTCAAAAAACCAGCTCCTGGATTCATTAATTTTTTGAAGGGTTTTTTGTGTCTCTGTTTCCTTCAGTTCTGCTCTGATGTTAGTTATTTCCTGCCTTCTGCTAGCTTTTGAATGTGTTTGCTCTTGCTTTTCTAGTTCTTTTAATTGTGATGTTAGGGTGTCAATTTTGGATCTTTCCTGCTTTCTCTTGTGGGCATTCAGTGCTGTAAATTTCCCTCTACACACTGCTTTGAATGTGTCCCAGACATTCTGGTACGTTTTGTCTTTGTTCTCATTGGTTTCAAAGAACATCTTTATTTCTCCCTTCATTTCGTTATGTACCCAGTAGTCATTCAGGAGCAGGTTGTTCGGTTTCCATGTACTTGAGCGGTTTTGAGTGAGTTTCTTAATCCTGAGTTCTAGTTTGATTGCACTGTGGGCTGAGAGACAGTTTATTATAATTTTTGATTTTTTACATTTGCTGAGGAGTGCTTTACTTCCAATTATGTGGTCGATTTAGGAATGTGTGATGTGGTGCTGAAAAAAAAATGTATATTCTGTTGATTTGGGGTGGAGAGTTCTGTAGATGTCTATTAGGTCTGCTTGGTGCAGAGCTGAGTTCAATTCCTGTATATCCTTGTTAACTTTCTGTCTTGTTGATCTGTCTAATGTTGACAGTGGGGTGTTAAAGTCTCCCATTATTATTGTGTGGGAGTCTATGTCTCTTTGTAGGTCACTCAGGACTTGCTTTATGAATCTGGGTGCTCCTGTATTGGGTGCATATATATTTAGGATAGTTAGCTCTTCTTGTTGAATTGAGCCCTTTACCATTATGAAATGGCCTTCTTTGTCTCTTTTGATCTTTGTTGGTTTAAAGTCTGTTTTATCCGAGACTAGGATTGCAACCCCTGCCTTTTTTTGTTTTCCATTTGCTTGGTAGATCTTCCTCCATCCTTTTATTTTGAGCCTATGTGTGTCTCTGCATATGAGATGGGCTTCCTGAATACAGCACACTGATGGGTCTTGACTCTTTATCCAATTTGCCAGTCTGTGTCTTTTAATTGGAGCATTGAGTCCATTTACATTTAAAGTTAATATTGTTATGTGTGAATTTGATCCTGTCATTATGATGTTAGCTGCTTATTTTGCACTTTAGTTGATGCAGTTTCTTCCTAGCCTGGATGGTCTTTACAATTTGGCATGATTTTGCAGTGGCTGGTACTGGTTGTTCCTTTCCATGTTTAGTGCTTCCTTCAGGATCTCTTTTAGGGCAGGCCTGGTGGTGATAAAATCTCTCAGCATTTACTTGTCTATAAAGGATTTTATTTCTCCTTCACTTATGAAACTTAGTTTAGCTGGATATGAAATTCTGGTTGAAAATTATTTTCTTTAAGAATGTTGAATATTGGCCTCCACTCTCTTCTGGCTTGTAGAGTTTCTGCTGAGAGATCAGCTGTTAGTCTGATGGGCTTCCCTTTGTGGGTAACCCGACCTTTCTCTCTGGCTGCCCTTAACATTTTTTCTTTCATTTCAACTTTGGTGAATGTGACAATTATATGTCTTGGAGTTGTTCTTCTCGAAGAGTATCTCTGTGGCATTCTCTGTATTTCCTGAATCTGAATGTTGGCCTGCCTTGCTAGATTGTGGAAGTTCTCCTGGATAATATCCTGCAGAGTATTTTCCACCTTGGTTCCATTCTCCCCGTCACTTTCAGGTACACCTATGAGACGTAGATTTGGTCTTTTCCCATAGTCCCATATTTCTTGTAGACTTTGTTCATTTCTTTTTATTCTTTTTTCTCTAAACTTCCCTTCTCACTTCATTTCATTCATTTCATCTTCCATCACTGATACCCTTTCTTCCAGCTGATTGCATCAGCTCCTGAGGCTTCTGCATTCTTCATGTAGTTCTCGAGCCTTAGCTTTCAGCTCCATCAGCTCCTTTAAGCACTTCTCTGTATTGGTTATTCTAGTTATATATTCGTCTAATTTTTTTTTGAAAGTTTTCAACTTCTTTGCCTTTGGTTTGAATTTCCTCCTGTAGCTCGGAGTAGTTTGATCATCTGAAGCCTTCTTCTCTCAACTCGTCAAAGTCATTCTGCATCCAGCTTTGTTCCATTGCTGGTGAGGAGGTGCGTTCCTTTGGAGGAGGAGAGGCGCTCTGCTTTTTAGAGTTTCCAGTTTTTCTGCTCTGTTTTTTCCACATCTTTGTGGTTTTATCTACTTTTAGTCTTTGACGATGGTGATGTACACATGGGTTTTTGGTGTGGATGTCCTTTCTGTTTGTTAGTTTTCCTTCTGACAGACAGGACCCTCAGCTGCAGGTCTGTTGGAGTTTGCTAGAGGTCCACTCCAGACCCTGTTTGCCTGGGTAGCAGCAGCGGTGGCTGCAGAACAGTGAATTTTCGTGAACCGCGAATGCTGCTGTCTGATAGTTCCTCTGGAAGTTTTGTCTCAGAGGAGTACCCAACCGTGTGAGGTGTCAGTCTGCCCCTACTGCGGGGTGCCTCCCAGTTAGGCTGTTCGGGGGTCAGGGGTCGGGGACCCACTTGAGGAGACAGTCTGCTTGTTCTCAGATCTCCAGCTGCATGCTGGGAGAACCACTGCTGTCTTCAAAGCTGTCAGACAGGGACATTTAATTCTGCAGAGGTTACTTCTGTATTTTTGTTTGTCTGTGCCCTGCCCCCAGAGGTGGAGCCTACAGAGGCAGGCAGGCCTCCTTGAGCTGTGGTGGGCTCCACCCAGTTCGAGCTTCCCTGCTGCTTTGTTTACCTAAGCAAGCCTGGGCAATGGCGGGCACCCCTCCCCCAGCCTCGTGGCCACCTTGCAGTTTGATCTCAGACTGCTGTGCTAGCAATCTGTGAGACTCCGTGAGCATAGGACCCTCTGAGCCATGTGCGGGATATAATCTCCTCGTGTGCCATTTTTAAGCCCGTTGGAAAAGTGCAGTATTGGGGTGGGAGTGACCTGATTTTCGAGGTGCCGTCTGTCACTCCTTTCTTTGACTAGGAAAGGGAACTCCCTGACCCCTTGCACTTCCCGAGTGAGGCAATGCCTCACCCTGCTTCAGCTCATGCATGGTGCGCTGCACCCACTCTCCTGCACCCACTGTCTGGCACTCCCTAGTGAGATGAACCTGGTACCTCAGATTGAAATGCAGAAATCACCCATCTTCTGCATCACTCACGCTGGGAGCTGTAGACTGGAGCTGTTCCTATTCGGCCATCTTGGCTCCCCCCTCCCATTTTACTGATTTAAAATACATTTTATGTTTTTCTGTTCCCATATCTCTTCTTTACTGTTGTGTTTTGTATTAAGTGAATATTTTCTAATGGGCATTTTTATTATTTTAACAATTTTTTCACAACATATTTACCATAATTTTTCACTGTGTTTTTTTATTGTTTGCTTTTAAGTTTGCTGTATACTTTTTTAAAAATTAGTTTTTAATTTTTATGGTTACATGGTAGGTATATATATTTATGGGATACATGAGATATTTTGACATAGGTATAAAATGTGTAATGATCACTTAAGGGTAAATAAGGTATCCATCAACTCAAGCATTTATCATTTATTTGTAAAACAAATATTCCAATTTTTAGCTATTTTAAAGTGTACAATCAATTATTGTTTACTGTAGTCATCCTGCTATCAAATACTAGAACCTATTCATTCTCTGTAACAAAATGTTTGGACTCATTAAACATGCTTACTTTCTTCCCCCCCCCCCACTACACTTCCCAGGCAATGATAACCATTATTCTGCTCTCTATCTCTATGAGCTCAATTGTTTTAATTTTTAGCTCCCATGAATGAGTGAGAGCACGTGAAGTTTGACTTTCTCTGCCTGGCTTATTTCACTTAACATACTGATGTCCAGTTTCACATTGTTGACAGTGACAGGATAACATTTTTTTAATGGCTGAACATTACTCCACTGTGTATACAGACCCCATTTTCTTTATTTATTTATCTGTTGATGGACACTTAGGTTGCTTTCAAATCTTGGCTATTGCCAATAATATTGCAATAAACGTGGAAGTGCAAAAATCTTTTCAATATACTAATTTTTAAAGGTATATACACAGCAGTGGGATTGTTGGATCATATGGTAGTTTTATTTTTAGTTTTTTAAAGAAACTCCAAACTGTTATCCACAATGGTTGTACAAATTTGCATTCCTGTCAAAAGTCTATAAGGGTCTCCTTTTCTCCACAACCTCATCAGCATTTGTTGTTGCCTATCTTTGGATAAAAGTCATTTTAACTGGTGTGAAATTATATCTCATTGTGGATTTAATGTGCATTTCTCTGATAATCTGTGATGTTGAAAATGTTTACATACCCCTATTTTCCATTTGTATGTCTTTTTAAAATAAATATCTATTCAGCTATTTTGCCTATTTTTTTTTATTATACTTTAAGTTCTGGGATACATGTGCAGAATGTGCAGGTTTGTTACATAGGTATACAGGCGCCATGGTGGTTTGCTGCACCCATCAACCTGTCACTTACATTAGGTATTTCTCCTAATGCTATCCCTCCCCCTAGCCCTCCACCCCCTGACAGGCCCTGGTGTGTGATGTTCCCTCCCTGTGTTCATGTGTCCTCATTTTTCAACTCCCACTTATGGGTGAGAACATCTGGTTTTTGATTTTCTGTTCCTGTGTTAGTTTGCTGAGAATGATGGTTTCCAGCTGCATCCATGTCCCTGCAAAGGACATGAACTCATCCTTTTTTATGGCTGCATAGTATACCATGGTGTGTATATGCCACATGTTCTTAATCCAGTCTATCATTGATGGGCATTTGGGGTGGTTCCAAGTCTTTGCTATTGTGAACAGTGCTGCAATAAACATACATGTGCATGTGTCTTTATAGTAGAATAATTTATAGTCCTTTGGGCATATACTTGGTAATGGGGTTGCTGGGTCAAATGGTATTTCTGGTTCTAGATCCCTGAGGAATCATCACCCTGTTTTCCACAATGGTTGAACTAACTTACGCTCCCACCAACAGTGTAAAAGCATTTCTATTTCTCCACATCCTCTCCAGCATCTGTTGTTTCCTGACTTTTTAATGATCACCATTTTAACTGATGTGAGATGGTATCTCATTGTGGTTTTGATGTGCATTTCTCTAACGACCAGTGATGATGAGCTTTTTCTCATATGTTTGTTGGGCACATAAATGTCTTCTTTTGAGAAGTGTCTGTTCATATCCTTTGCCCACTTTTTGATGGGATTTTTTTTTCTTGTAAGTTTAAGCTCCTTGTAGATTCTGGATATTAGCCTTTTGTAAGATGGATAGATTGCAAAACTTTCGTGCCATTCTGTAGGTTGCCTGTTCACTCTGATGATAGTTTCTTTTGCTGTAGAGAAACTCATTAGTTTTAATTAGATCCCGTTTGTCAATTTTGGCTTTTGTTGCCATTGCTTTTGGTGTTTATTCATGGAATCTTTGCCCATGCCTATGACCTAAATGGTATCACTTAGGTTTTCTTCTAGGGTTTTAATGGTTTTAGGTCTTATGGTTAAGTCTTTCATCCATCTCGAGTTATGTTTTGTATAAGGTGTAAGGAAGGGGTCTAGTTTCAGTTTTCTGCATATGGCTAGCCAGTTTTCCCAACACCATTTGTTAAATAGGGAATCCTTTCCCCATTTCTTGTTTTTGTCAGGTTAGTCAAAGATCAGATGGCTGTAGATTTGTGGTGTTATTTCTGAGGTCTCTGTTCTGCTCCATTAGTCTACATGTCTGTTTTGGTACCAGTACCATGCTGTTTTAGTTGCTGCAGCCTTGTAGTATAGTATGAAGTCATGTAGGGTGATGCCTCCAGCTTTGTTCTTTTTGCTTAGGATTGTCTTGGCTATATGGGCTCTGTTTTGGTTCCACATGACATTTAAAGTAGTTTTCTCTAAATCTGTGAAGAAAGTCAATGGTGGCTTGATGGGAATAGCATTGAATCTATAAATTACTGTGGGCCATGTGGCCATTTTCACGATATTGATTCTTCCTACCCATGAGCATGGAATGTTTTTCCATTTGTTTGTGTCCTCTCATTTCCTGGAGCAGTAGTTTGTAGTTCTCCTTGAAGAAGTCATTCACATTCCTTGTGAGTTGTATTCCTAGGTATTTTATTCTCTTTGTAGCAATTGTGAATGTGATTTCACTCATGATTTGTCTCTCTGCTTGCCTATTATTGGTGTATAGGAATGCTTGTGATTTTTGCAAGTTGTTTTTGTATCCTGAGACTTTGCTGAAGTTGCTTATCAGCTTAAGGAGATTTTGGACTGAGATGATGGGGTTTTCTAAATATAAAATCATGTCATCTGCAAACAGGGACAATTTGACTTCCTCTTTTCCTAATTGAATACCCTTTATTTCTTTCTCTTGCCTGATTGCCCTAGCCAGAACTTCCAACACTATGTCGACTAGGAATGGTGATAGAGGGCATCCTTGTCTTGTACCAGTTTTCAAAGAGAATGCTTCCAGTTTTTGCCCATTCAGTATGATATTGGCTCTGGGTTTGTCACAAATAACTCTTATTATTTTGAGATACATTCCATCAATGCCTACTTTATTGAGAGTTTTCAGCATGAAGGGGTGTTAAATTTTGTAGAAGGCCTTTTCTGCATTTGTTGAGATAATCATGTGGCTTTTGTCATTTGTTCTGTTTATGTGATTGATTATGTTTGTTGATTTGTGTATGTTGAAGCAGCCTTGCAACCCAGGGAGGAAGCCGACTTGATCGTGGTGGATAAGATTTTTGATGTGCTGCTGGATTTGGTTTGCCAGTATTTTATTAAGGATTTTCGCATTGATGTTTGTCAGGAATATTGGCCTGAAATTTTCTTTTTTTGTTGTGTCTTTGCCAGGTTTTGGTATCAGGATGATGCTGGCTTCATAAAATGAGTTAGAGAGGAGTCCCTATTTTTCTATCATTTGGAATACTTTTAGAAAAAATGATACCAGCTCCTCTTTGTACCTCTGGTAGAATTCAGCTGTGAATCCATCTGGTCCTGGCCTTTTTTGTGTTTGTTGGCTATTAATTAGTGTCTCAATTTCAGAACTTGTTTTTGGTCTAT
This sequence comes from Homo sapiens, assembly GCF_000001405.40. Classification (NCBI taxonomy): domain Eukaryota; kingdom Metazoa; phylum Chordata; class Mammalia; order Primates; family Hominidae; genus Homo; species Homo sapiens. The sequence continues at coordinate 73,055,817 of NC_000023.11, read as the reverse complement.
TCAGGGATTTGACTTCTTCCTGGTTTCATCACGGGAGGATGTATGTGTATATGAATTCATCCATTTCTTGAGATTTTCTAGTTTATTTGCATAGAGCTGTTTATAGTATTTTCTGATGGTAGTTTGTATTTCTGTGAGATTGGTGGTGATATCCCCTTTATCATTTTTTATTGTGCCTATTTGACTCTTCTCTCTTTTCTTCTTTATTAGTGTAGCTAGTGGTCTATCTACTTTGTTGATCTTTTCAAAAAAATCAGCTCCTAGATTCATGGATTTTTTAAGGGTTTTTCATGTCTCTATCTTTTTCAGTTCTTCTCTGATCTTAGTTATTTCTTGTCTTCTGAATTTGTTTGCTCTTGCTTCTCTAGTTCTTGTAATTGTGATGTTAGGATGTTGATTTTAGATCTTTCCTGCTTTCTCCTGTGGGCATTTAGTGCTATAAATTCCCCTCTAAACACTGCTTTAGCTGTGTCCCAGAGATTCTCGTACATTGTGTCTTTGTTCTCATTGGTTTCAAAGAACTTATTTATGTCTGCCTTAATTTCATCATTTACCCTATAGTCACTCCAGAGCAGATTGTTCAGTTTCCATGTAGTTGTATGGTTTTGAGCAAGTTTGTTAACCCTGAGTTCTAATTTGATTACACTGTTGTCTGAGAGAATGTTATGCTTTCCATTCTTTTGCATTTGCTGAGGAGTGTTTCACTTCCAATTATGTGGTCAATTTTAGAATAAGTGTGATGTGGGGCTGAGAAAAATGTATATTCTGTTGATTTGGGCTGGAGAGTTCTCTAAATGTCTATTAGATCTGCTTCAACCAGAGCTGAGTTCAAGTCCTGGATAACCTCATTAATTTTCTGTCTTGTTGATCGGTCTAATGTTGACAGTGGAGTGTTAAAGTCTCCCACTGTCATTGTGTGGGAGTCTAAGTCTCTTTGTAGGTCTCTGAGAACTTGCTTTATTAATCTGGGTGCTCCTGTGTTGGGTGCATATATATTTAGAATAGTTAGCTCTTCTTGTTGCATTGATCTATTTACCATTATGTAATGCCTTTCTTTGTCTTTTTTGATCTTTGTCAGCTTAAAGTCTGTTTTATCAGAGACTAAGATTGCAACTGCTGCTATTTTTTGCTTTTCATTTGCCTGGTAAATATTCCTCCATCCCTTTATGTTTAGCCTTTTTGTGTCTTTTCACATGAGATGGGTCTCCTGAATACAGAACACTGATGAGTCTTCACTCTTTATCCAATTTGCCAGCCTGTGTCCTTTAATTAGGGCATTTAGCCCATTTACATTTAAGGTTAATATTGTTATGTGTGAATTTAATCCTGTCATTATGATGCTAGCTGGTTATTTTGCTCGTTAGTGGATGCAGTTTCTTCAAAGTGTCAGTGGTCTTTACAATTTGGTATGTTTTTGCAGTGGCTGGTACTGGTTTTTCCTTTCCATATTTAGTGCTTCCTTCAGGAGCTCTTGTAAGGCAGGCCTGGTGGTGACAAAATCTCTCAGCATTTGCTTGTCTGTAAAGGATTTTATTTCAAAACTTAGTTTGGCCTGATATAAAATTCTGAGTTGAAAATTCTTTTCCTTAAAAGTGTTGAATATTAACCCCCACTGTCTTCTGGCTTGGAAAGTTTCTGCAGAGAGATCCACTGTTAGTCTGGTGGACTTCCCTTTGTGGGTAACACAACCTTTCTCTCTGGTTGCTCTTAACATTTTTTTCTTCATTTCAGTCTTGGTGAATCTGACGATTATGTGTCTTGGGGTTGCTCTTCTCAAGGAGTATCTTTGTGGTTTTCTCTGTATTTCCTAAATTTGAATGTTGGCCTGTCTTTCTAGGTTGAAGAAGTTCTCTTGGATAATATCCTGAAGAGTGTTTTCCGACTTGGTTCCATTCTCCCCATCACTTTCAGGTACACCAATCAAATGTAGGTTTGGTCTTTTCATATAGTCCCATATTTCTTGCAGGCTTTATTCATTCCTTTTCATTCTTTTTTCTCTAATCTTGTCTTCATGCTTTATTTCATTAAGTTGATCTTCAATCTCTGTTATCCTTTCTTGCACTTGATGGATTCAGCTACTGATACTTGTGTATGCTTCATAAAGTTTTTGTGCTGTGTTTTTCAGCTCCATCAGGTCATTTATGTTCTTCTCTAAACTGGTTATTCTAGTTAGCAATTCATCTAATTTTTTTTTCAAAGTTGTTCACTTCCTTTCATTGGGTTAGAATATGCTCCTTTAGCTCAGAGGAGTTTGTTATTGTCCAAGTTTTGAAGCCTACCTCTGTCAGTTCTTCAGTTTCATTCTCTGTCCAGTTTTGTTCCCTTGCTGGCAAGGAGTTGTGATCCTTTGGAGCAGAAGATTCATTCCGGTTTTGGGAATTTTCAACCTCTTTGCGCTGGCTTTTTGTCATCTTCGTGGATTTATTTACCTTTGATCCTTGATGTTCATGACCTTCAGATGGAGTTTCTGTGTGAACATCTTTTTTGTTGATATTGATGCTATTCCTTCTGTTTTTTAGTTTTCCTTCTGACAGTCAGGGCCCTCTTCTGCAGGTCTGCCGGAGTTTGCTGGAGATCCACTCCAGACCCTGTTTGCCTGGGTATCACCAGTGGAGGCTGCAGAACAGCAAAGATTGCTGCCTGTTCCTTCCTCTGGAAGCTTCGTCTCAGAGGGGCACCTGCCAGATGCCAGCTGGAGCTCTCTTTTATAAGGTGTCTGTTGACCCCTTCTGGGAGGTGTCTTCCAGTCAGGAGACGTGGGGGTCAGGGATCCACTTGAGGAGGCAGTCTGTCCCTTATCAGAGTTCGAGCGCTGTGCTGGGAGATCTGCTGTTCTCTTCAGAGCCAGCATGCAAGAATAAGTCTGCTGAAGCTGTGCCCACAGCCGCCCCTTCCCCCAGGTACTTTGTCCCAGGAAGATGGGAATTTTATCTATAAGCCACTGTCTGGGGCTGCTGCCTTTCTTTCAGAGACGCCCTGTCCAGAGAGGAGGAATCTAGAGAGGCAGTCTGGCCACAGAGGCTTTCCCATGCTCCCATGGGCTCTGCCCAGTTGGAACTTCCTGGTGGTTTTGTTTACACTGTGAGGAGAAAACTGCCTACTCAAGCCTCAGTAATGTTGGATGCCCCACCTGCCACCAAACTGGAACATCCCAGGTCGTCTTCAGACTGCTGTGTTGGCAGCAAGAATTTCAAGCCAGTGGATCTTAGCTTGCTGGGCTCCATGGGGGTGGGATCTGTTGAGCTAGACCACTTGGCTCCCTGGCTTCAGCCCCCTTTCCAGGAGAGTGAACGGTTCTGTCTCTCTGGTGTTCCAGGTGCCACTGGGGTATGAAAAACAAAAAACAAAAACTCGTGCAGCTAGCCCAGTGTCTGCACAAATGGCCACCCAGTTTTGTGCTTAAAACCTAGGGCCCTGGTAGCCTAGGTGCCCGAGGGAATCTCCTGGTCTGCATGTTGCGAAGACCATGGAAAAAGTGTAATATTTGAGAAGGAGCGCACCATTCCTCATGGCAGGGTCCCTCATGGCGTCCCTTGGCTAGGGGAGGGAGTTCTCTGACCCCTTGTGCTCCCTGGGTGAGGCAATGCCCCACCCAATTTTGGCTCATTGTCCACGGGCTGCACCCTCTGTCTAAGCAGTCCCAATGATATGAGCCAGGTACCTCAGTTGGAAAAGTAGAAATCACCCACCTTCTGCGCTGATCTACCTGAGAGCTGCAGACTGGAGCTGTTCCTGTTTGGCCATGTTGCCAGCCACCTTATTTTGCCTATTTTCATGGGATTATGAGATTTTTTTCCTATTGATTTTCTTGAACTCCTTATGTATTCTGGTTATTAATCCCTCACCAGATGGATAGTGTGCAGATATTTTCTCCTATTTTGTCTGTTGTCTCTTCTTCTTGTTGATTGTTTCCTTTGTTGTGCAGAAGCTTTTTAACTTGATATAATCCTATTTGTCCATTTTTGCTTTGTTTGCCTATGCTTTGGGGTATTACTCAGGAAATAATTGCCCAGACCAATGTCCCAGACAGTTTCCCCAAAGTTTTCTTTTTAGTACTTTCATAGTTTGAGATCTTAGATTTAAGTCTTTAATCCACTTTGATTTGTTTTTTGTATAATGGTAAGATATAGGGGTCTAGCTTTAATTTTCTACATAAGGGTATCCAGCTTTCCCTGCACAATTTCCCTGCACAATCTACCTTTACCATAGATGTGTGGATTGATCTCTGGGTTCTCTATTCTGTTCCACTGATCTATGTGTCAGTTTTTATGCTACTATAATGCTATTTTGGTTGCTGAAGCTGTGTGGAATAATTTGAAGTCAGGTAACATGATTCTTCCAGTTTTGTGCTTTTTGCTCAAGATACCTTTCTTCAGAGTCCTTTACAGATCCCTACACATATTAAGATTCTTTTTCTATTTCTGTGAAGAATGTCATTGGTATTTTGTTAGGGATTGCATTGAAAATATAGATTGTTTTAGATAGTATGAACATTTTAACAACATTGATTCTTCCAATCTATTAACATAAAATTTCTTTTCATTTTTTGTGTCATCTTTGATTTCTTTAATCAATATTTTATTGTTTTCATCACAGAGATATTCCAGTTCTTTGGTTAAGTTAATTCCTAGGTATTTTATTTTATTCATAGTATTTTAAATGAATTACTTTCTTGACTCATTTTTCAGATTGTTCACTGTTGGCATGTAGAAATGCTACTGATTTTTTAATGTTAATGTATCTTGCAAATTTACTGAATTTATCAGTTCTAACAGGTTTTGTGGTGGAATCTTTAGGTTTTTCAAAATATGATATTATGTCATCTGCAAACAAGGATAATTGGACTTCCTTCTTTTTAATTCAGATTCCCTTTTTTTCTATCTCTTGTCCAATTGCTCCATCTAGGACTTCCAGGACTATGTTGAAAGCAGTGGTAAAATTGCACATCCTTGTCATGTTCCAGATCTTAGAGGAAAGGCTTTCACTATTTCCCCATTCAGTAAGAAGCTAGCTGTGGGTCTGTCATATAATGCTTTTATTGTGTTGAGGTTTGATCTTTCTTTACCCAGTATTCTGATGGTTTTTATTACAATGGATTGTTGAATTTTATCAAATGCTTTTTCAACATCAATCAGAGATCATATTTTTTCTTGTCATTCTGTTTACATGATGTATCGCTTTAATTGATTTGTCTATGTTGACACATTCTTGCATCCCTGGGATAAATCCAACTTGGTCATGAGGTATTTGACCTGCAATGAAAGGTGCACACTCAGTCTTGCCAGGTGTCTACTGTTAAAGTGAGGGCATTGATTGGAAAAGAATGAGACCCTGCAACTTGAAATGGGGACATGTGGGAGGATGCTGATGAAGCTGGAGACACTGAGCTCAGAGTCTGATGAGACTTTTTGTCAGAAGAAAGAGCTACCCCACCCCCAGTGGTGACAACATCCCCTCCCCCACCCATGCTGCCATCAGTCTCTCCACCTTTGTCTGAGGAGATTAACCATGCACTGCCCAAGGCAACAGTGATGGCCTCACTTGGGGCAGTTGCCAGGAAAGACAATGCCGATTCTCTTCATGTCCCACCCCCAACACCTCTGTTTGCTTCTAGACCTGTAACTGCACTAAAGTACTGGCAGGCCCCTAGAGGTGAGGTTCAGAGTGTGACCCATGAGGAGGTGCACTATACCTCAAAAGAACTGCTTGAATTTTCTAATTTATATAAGCAGAAATCTGGAGAAAAGGCATGGGAATGGATATTAAGGATGTGGGATAATGGTGGAAGGAACATAAAGTTGGATCAGGCTGAATTTATTGATTTGCACCCACTAAGCAGGGATTCTGCATTTAATGTTGCATCTCAGGGAGTTAAAAAAGGATCTAATAGTTTATTCACTTGGTTAGCTGAAATATGATCAAAAGATGGGCCCCTGTGAGTGAGCTAGAAATGTCTTATCTCCCTTTGTTTAATGTAGAGGAAGGGATCCAAAGGAATGGGGAGATTGAGATGCTAGAGTGGATTAGTCACTTTAGACCTACTCATCCCAGGTGGGAGGGTCCAGAAGACATACCCTTCACCAATACCTTGTGAAATAGATCGTGAAGGGAACACCTGCATCCTTGAAGAGCTCTGTGATTGCTATTCTCTGTATGCCAACTCTTACAGTGGGAACTGCAGTCACTCAATTACACAATTTAAATGCAATAGGAATAATTAGATCCTGAGGTGGCAGGGGCCAAGGAATAGCCCTCAACCTTCAGAGGCAAGGTGGGTGTAGCTTCCATAATGGAGAGCAAAGGCAAAGCAGCAATCTGAAAAGTCTGACTTGTGTAGAACTCTGGCATTGGCTAATTAATCATGGTGTTCCTAGAAGTGAAATTGACAGGAAACCTACTGCATTCTTACTTAATTTGTATAAGCAGAAAACTTTCAGGTCAAGTGGACTAAATACTAATTTGAATTATAAAAATAGAGAATCATGGCCCCTCAATCAATTTCCAGACTTGAACCAGTTTATAGACCCAGAACCCCTTGAATGAAAAGGAGGCCATGTACCCTTGAGGAAGGACGCCCACTCTACTACCGACAATTTATAATGTTTATCTTTCTCCCATCTTTCCCCAAGAGGACCTACAGCCTTTTACCAGGGTAACTCTGCACTGGGGAAAGGGGAATGATCAGACCTTTTGGGGACTAGTGGACACTAGCTCTGAGCTGACATTGACTCCAAATGACCCAAAACATCATTACGGTCCTCCAATTAAAGTAGGGGCTTATGGAGGTCAGGTAATTAATGGAGTTTTTGCTCATATCCAACTTAGAGTGAATCCAATGGGTCATTGGACTCGTCCTCTGGTCATTTTCCCAGTGCCAGAACGTAAAATCAGCATAGACATACTGAGCAGCTGGCAGAACCACATTGGCTCCCTGATTGGCAGAGTGAGGAGTATTATGGTGGGAAAAGCCAAATGCAAGCCATTAGAGCTGCCTCTACCTAGAAAAATAGTAAATCAAAAACGATATTGCATCCCTGGAGGGATTGCAGAGATTAGTACCACATCAAGGACTTGAAAGATGCAGGGGTTGTGATTCCCACCACATCCTCATTCAACTCTCCTATTTGGCCCATGCAGAAGACAGATGGATCTTGGAGAATGACAGTGGGTTATCGTAAGCTTAACCAAGTGGTGACTCCAATTGCAGCTGCTGTACCAGATGTGGTTTCAATGCTTGAGCAAATTAACCCGTCACCTGGTATGTAGCCATTGATTTGGCAAATGCCTTTTTCTCCATTCCTGTCCATAAGGCCCACCAGAAACAATTTGCCTTCAGTTGGAAAGGCCAGCAATATACCTTCACTGTCTTAACTCAGGAGTATACCAACTCTCTAGCTTTGTGTCATACCCTTGTTTGCAGATATCTTGATTGCTGTTACCTTCCACAAGATACCACACTGGTGCATTAAATTGATGACATTATGCTCATTGGACACAGTGAGCAAGAATTAACAAACACACTGGGCCTATTAGTGAGACATTTGTGTGCCAGGGGATGGGAAATAAATCTGACTAAAATTCAGGGGCCTTCTACCTCAGTGAAATTTCATGAGGTCCAGTGATGTGGGGCCTGTTGAGATATTCCTTCTAAGGTGAAGGATAAGTTGTTGCATTTGGCCCTTCCTATAACCAAGGAAGAGGCACAATACCTCTTGGGCCTATATGGATTTTGGGGGCAATGTATTCCTCATTTGGGTGTGTTTCTGTGGCCCATTTATTGAGTGACCTGAAAAGTTGCCAGTTTTGGGTGGGGTCCAGAACAGGAGAAGGCTCTGCAACAGGTCCAGGCTGCTGTGCAAGCTGCTCTGTGACTTGGGCCACATGATCCAGCAGATCCAATGGCGCTTGAGATTTCAGTGGCAGATAGGGATGCTGTTTGGAGACTTTGGAAGGCCGCCATAGGTGAATCACAGCAGAGACCTCTAGGATTTTGGAGCAAGGCTCTGCCATCTTCTGCAGATAACTACTCTCCTTTTGAGAAATAGCTCTTGGCATGTTACCAGGCTTTGGTAGAAAGTGAGTGTTTGAAAATGAGTCATCAAATCACCATGCGACCTGAACTGCCTATCATGAATTGGGTGCTTTCTGACCCATCTAGCCATGAACTGGGGTATGCACAGCAGCATTTCATTATCAAATGGAAGTGGTATATATGTGATCGGGCTCCAGCAGGTTCTGAAAGCACAAGTAAGTTACATGAGGAAGTGGCTCAAATGCCCATCGTCTCCACTCCTGCCACCCTGCCTTCTCTCCCCCAGCCTGCACCAGTGTCCACATGGGGAGTTCCCTATGATCAGTTGACAGGGGCTTACAGAAGGCTCTGCATGATATGCAGGCACCACCTGGAAGTGGACAGCTGTAGCACTACAGCACCTTTCTAGGACATGCCTGAAGGACAGTGGCAAAGAGAAATCTTCCAAGTGGGCAGAACTTTGAGCAATGCACTTCATTGTGCACTTTTCTTGAAAAGAGAAATGGTCAGACATGCGACTATATGCTCTTTCATGGGCGGTAGCCAATGGTTTGGCTTGATAGTTGGGGGCTTGGAAGAAGCATGATTGCAAAATTGGTGACAAAGATATTTGGGGAAGAGGTATGTGAATGGACCTCTCTGAGTGGTCAAAAACTGTGAAGATATTTGTATCTCATGTGAGAGCTCACAAAAGGGTGACCTCAGCAGAGGATGATTTTAATAAAGTGAATAGGATGACTTATTCTGTGGATACCACTCAGCTTTTTTCCCCAGCCAGCCCTTTCATCACCCAATGGGTCCATGAACAAAGTGGCTATGGTGACAGGGATGGAGGTTACACATGGGCTCAGCAACATAGACTTCCACTCACCAAGAATGACCTGGCTATGGCCACCCCGAGTGCCCAATTTCCCAGCAGCGAGACCAACACTGAGCCCTTGACATGGCGTCATCCTCGTGGTGATCAGCCAGCTACTTGGTGGAGGGTTGATTATATTGCACCTCTTCCATCATGGAAAGGGCAGCGGTTTTTCTTCACCAGAATAGACACTTACTCCGGATATAAGTTTATCTATCCTGCACCCAATGCTTCTGCCAAAAATACCATCTGTGGACTCATGGAATGCCTTATCCACTGTCATGGTATTCCACATAGCATTGCCTCTGATGAAGGCACTCACTTTATAGCTAAAGAAGTGCAGCAGTGGGCTCATGCTTATAGAATTCACTGGTCTTACCATGTTCCCCATCATCCTGAAGTACTGGATTGATAGAATTGTGGAATGGCTTTTGAAGCCACAATTACAATGCCTAATATGTTACAATACTTTGCAGGGCTGGGGCAAAGTTCTCCAGAAGGCTGTACATGCTCTGAATCAGCATCCAATATATGCTACTGCTTCTCTCATAGCCAGGATTCACGGGTTCAGGAATCAAGGGGTGGAAGTGCTATCACTCACCATCACCCTTAGTGACCCACTAGCAAAATTTTTGCTTCCTGTTTCTGTCACATTATGTTCTGCTGGCCTAGAGGTCATAGTTCCAGAGGGAGGAATGCTGCCACCAGGAGACACAACAATGATTCCATTAAACTGGAAGCTAAGATTGCCACCTATCCACTTTGGGTTCCTTCTATCTCTAAGTCAACAGGCTAAGAAGGGAGTTACAATATTGGCTGGAGCGATTGACCCATACTATCAAGGTGAAGTCAGTCTACTACTCAACAATGGACGTAAGGAAGAGTATGTATGAAATACAGGAGATCTTTTAGGGTGTCTCTTAGTATTACCATGTCCTGTGATTAAGGTCAATGGGAAACAACAACAGCCCAATCCTAGCAGGACTACAAATGGCCCAGACCCCTCAGGAATGGTTTGGGTCACTCCACCAAGTAAAAAACCACGAACTGCTGAGGTGCTTGCTGAAGACAAAGGAAATACAGAATGGGTGGTAGAAGAAAGTAGTCATCAATATCAGCTATGACCGTGTAACCAGTTGCAGAAATGAGGACTGTAATTATCATGACTATTTTCTCCTTATTTTGTTACGAACGTGTTTGTACATGTATATACTTATTCTAAGAAAATACCTTCATTTAATTTCCTTTCTTTTTCTGTTATCATGTGACATAAGATTTATTGACTTCCTATCAGAATTTAAGTGTTGTTAACTTTATGTAATAGCATTCAGGTTAAGGACTGGTGTGTTTCCAGTTGTACAAAGAATAGCTGTATTATGTTAGGCATAATTATGACCTTTTTAATGTATTTATTTGAAGATTATGTATGATTTCAGGAGGTGTGTATGGGTTCAAGTTGACAAGGGGTGGACTTGTGATAATTAATATTGAGTATCAACTTGATTGGATTGAAGGATGCAAAGTATTGTTTCTGGGTTTGTCTGTGAGGGTGTTGCCAAAGGACATTAACATTTGAGTCGGTGGACTGGGAGAGGCAGACCCACTCTCAATCTGGGTGGACACCATCTAATCAGCTGCCAGCATGGCCAGAACAAAGCAGGCAGGAGAGGATGGAAGAGCAGACTTTCTGAGTCTTCCGGACTTCATCTTTCTCCCATGCTAAATGCTTCCTGCCCTCGAACTCCAAGTTCTTTAGCTTTTGGACTCTTGGACCTAAACAAGCGGTTTGCCAGGGGCTCTTGGGCCTTTGGCCACAGACTGCACTGTTGGCTTCCTTCCTTTTGAGGTTTTGGGACTCGGACTGGCATCCTTGCTCTTCAGCTTGCAGATGGCCTATTGTGGGACTTCACCTTGTGATCGTGTGAGTCAATATTCCTTAATAAACTCCCCTTTATATATACCTCTATCTTATTAGTTCTGTCCCGCTAGAGAAACCTGGCTAATACAATGGGAAAGAAGTTCTTTACAATCTTTTAGTATATCTCCCCTGAGAACAGTTGGGTCATTTATTTTAGTTCCCATATACATGGGCCTTCCAGTTATAATGTCATGAGGGGATAGATGATGATTTCCAAAAGGGATAGATCGCAGTGTAAATAGTACCAGGGGGATTGCTTTTGGCTAGGGGAGGTGAAACAACTCTAGGAATTTAGCCAATTGTATTTTAACGATTCCATTGGTCCATTCCACTAACCCTGTGGACTAGGGGTGGTAGGCACAATGGAAATATTAAAATATGGGACAAATTTTGAAAATATTTTATTAACTTGGTCAGTAAAATGAGTTCCTTTATCACTATGAAGTTCAGAGGGGACTCCCAATAGTGAAATAACTTTCTTGAATAGGATTTTTCCACCTGCCATTGCAGTCCCTTGCTTGCAAAGAAAAGCCACAACCCAATGGGAAAATATGCAGATTATTACAAAAACATAGTTGTAAACTTGACGTGATGTCAAATGGATGAAATCAAGTTTCCGTGTATCAAAAGGTCCAGCTGCAAGGAGAAAATGACCTTGGGCCCTTTGGAGGGGGTTCTCTGGGTTATGTTTGGGACAAATGAAATGCTGAAAATAAACCTTTTCTGCCATCATGAAGGACAGTTTCCAGTAATATTTTTTACACCAGGATATCATTTTATGTGAATTCCCATGTGTCAGATTATGAATATGTTCCATAAGGAGCACCTGACATCTTATTGAAATAATGGGTTTATTATTAATTACATCCATACCATATTTCAGTTTCAGGATAAAATTATCCTCCTTTTTGTTTCCAACTAGATTTTTCATTTGGTGGGGCTATGCCTTGAGTTTTTTTCTTTTAACATGATTTTAAGTGACTTAGGTTTTGTGGCCATTCTGTGGATCTGGGCTGGGTGGCTCAAATGCTGCTCTTTTAGCTGTAGTGTCTGTAAATTGGTTACCCCAACTTTCAGTGATGTCCAACTTAGAGTGACCTGGGACTTTTATAATCATGAAAAGTTTTGATTTTAGAATTGTTGCTAACAGCTCTTACACTTTTCCATTTTTATGGGTTGTCCTGAGTAGGTTAAAGATCCTCTCTCCTTCCATAGCATCTTAAAGTCATGGGAAACCACAAAAGTATAGTGACTGTCAGTGTATATATTCATAGGCCTTTCTTTTGCAATTCAATTGACAAGCTCAGGTCAGGGAAATCAATTCAGCCACTTGAGTTAATCTGCCTTTGGGAAGAGGACTGGCTTCAATGACCTCTAATGAGAAAACCATGGCACATTCCTCTCTAAAGCTACCGTCCTCCCATCTTAAGTAAGACCTATCTGTAAACCACTCTATCTCAGCATTATCCAGTGGCATCTATTGTAGATCCATCCTGGAGGTGAGAAACTGGTCAGCCGTCAGACTACATTCATGAGGGGTATCATCAGAAGGACTTGGTAATGTAGTAGTCAGGTTAAGATTGTTAGAATGAAAAATGGTAATATTTGAAGATGATGGAAGTAAAACTTCATAGGAGCTTAACCTATTGACAGACAGGTGTTGAGCATGGTGAGAGTTTAGAAGGTCTTCAAGAGAATGTGGTGCAAACATGGCAATAAAGGAACCCATAATTATTTATTCAACAGACTTGTACAAAAGGATAGTGGCTGAGATGTCTCACATACTGGGAGGCAGCCCTTGAGCCACGGGGCTTAGCTGTTGGCTATAGCATCCTATAGGCCTCTGATGATTAGCATGTTTCTGGGTCGGTACCCCATATGAAGAGGGGAAAGGCAACTTGTAGTTAGGGTGCCCTATGGCTGGAGTGTTTGTTAGCGTTTATTTTATTCATTGTATGACATATTGTTCCTCTGGACCCCACATGGTGGGATCAGGCTGTTCATTTTTTAGGTATGTATACAGAAGTTGAGCTATGAGGGAGAAATTTGGTATCCAGTTTCTACAATAGCTGGCCAGTCCCCAAAACTCTCTAAGTTGTTTCTTTGTGATGGTCATTGAGAAAGCTAAATTCCTCTCTCTATTAGGGGTAATGCTGAATCCCTCCACCGAGATAATGTGCCCCAAATACTTAACTTGAGGCAAGCATAGCTGGAGTTTGTCTTTGGACACTTTCTGTCCCTTATTAGCTAATTGAGTAAATATAGACTATCTTCGTGAGAAGAAGAGAGTGTGTCTGAGCAAAGAACATCATCCACATATTGAATGAACGTCGAGCCCTGGGGAAATCTTAAATTCTCTAAATCAGCTTTTAATACTCAGGAAAAATAAGTGGGCCTCCATGAGTATCCTCAGAGCATCACACTCCAGGTATATTTTTCTTTACAAGTGAAGGCAAATATGTATTGGCTGTGTCAATCTACAGGAATGCTAAAGAAAGTACTACAGAGACCCACAACTGAGAAGTACTGGCTGGTAGCAGGCATAGCAAACTGAAAGGTATGTGAGTTTAACACTAGACACTCTGCAAGACTGGGAGTTCAACTTGCATTGTAATTCAGCCAATGGCAGGATGAGGTTGTGCATTTGATTTTCAGCAGTTTCAACCTTATGGCTATGGTTGTTAAGGGCACACCTAGAAGAACTTATGTCATTTATGTGGTGCTTGAGCTGAGAATTCAAATCCTTGAGCTCATCCTTTTTTTCATTACTTTGTCCAGTAATATTAGGAGCAACCAACTAGCATTATTATATTCCTTAGTTTTCTGAATGTGTTTAAAAGTATCATATACAGAGTAACTTAGCTCCTTGCTTCTTATAAGTGGTTGACTAGGTGAATTCAGTGCACATATTTTGTGTATCTCTATAAACAGTTCATGTCACAGACTATCAGTGCTCCCTTTATTACTAGAAATAGTCATTAGTGTATTTAACTCTCATTAGATTAGACAGCCAATTCTAGAAACCCTAGAAAAAAATTCAGAAATTTTATCCTAAAAATTCTGTTTTCTAGAACCACTCTCAGTACCAAAAACTGTTATTAGTCATGATTATCCCAAGAAATAGAATGAATAGGAAATATATATTATGGCAACTGGATCGTGTGATTATGGATGCTGAGAAATCCCACTATCTGCCATCTGCAAGCTAGAGAACCAAGGCTGCCAGTGATGTAATTCAGTCCAAGTCTGAAGACCTGAGAAGCAGAGGGGCTGCTGGTGTAAATCCCAGAGTCCAAAGGGCTGAGAAACAAAAGCACCATGGGCAGGAGAAGATAAATATAACAGATCAAGAAGCAAGGGAAAATTCACCTTTCCTCCACCTTTTTGTTCTATCTGAGCACTCAGTGAATTGGATGATGCCCACCCACACTAGTGAGATCAATCTTCTTTACTCATTCTATTAATTTAAATGCTTATCTCTTCTGGAGACATCCCCACAAACACACTCCGAAATAATTTTTTTGTCAGTTATCTGGGCATCCTTTAGCCCAGTCAGATTGACATTTAAAATTAACCATCACAATCTCAAATCAACAACCACAATCTCCACCTTAAGCAATTTGAAGAAGAATGAAATAAACCCAAAGCAAGAAAAAGGAAGGAAATGCTACAAATATAGCAAAGATAAATAGAATAGAGAACAGAAAAAAAATAGAGTCATTAAACAAAATCAGGAATTTGGTCTTAGAAAAGATTATAAAAATGGACAAGACTTTTGTCAAATTGATGAAAAAAGGGAAGTCACTAATGACTAAAATATGAAATGAAGAGGATATTATTACCAATTTTATAGAATTTAAAAGGATTATAAGAAAATACTATGAAAAATTGTATAGCCAAAATGGATAACCTAGATATATGAAAAAAATCCTAAAAACACACAACCGATCAAGATCAAATAATGACGAAATAGAAAATATGAAGTGACCTGAAATCAGCAAAGAGATTGAATCAGTAATCAAACCCCCATCCGCAACAGAAAATACCAGATGGCTTCACTGGAGAATTCTGTCAAACATTTAAGGAAGAATTAAGACCGATTCTTCTCAAAGTCTTCCAAAGAACTGAAAAGGAAGAAACACTTCCAAATTAATTCTACAAAACCAGCATTACCTTGATACCAAGTCAAAAACACTGCAAGAAAAGAAAATTACACATCAATGTCCATGATGAACATTGATGCAAAAATCCTTAAGAAAATACTAGCAAACTGAATTCGACAGCACATTAAAAGGATTACACACCAGGAACAAGGGGGATTTATTCCTGGAATGCAAGAATTATTCAACATATAAAAATTGACAAATGCAATACACCATATTACCAGAATAAAGACAAAAACTACATGATTATCTCAATTGATGCATGATGGTGGTTTGGATCTGTGTCCTGCCTAAATCTCATACTGAATTGTAATCCCCGATGTTGGAAGTGGGACCTGGTGGAAGGTGATTGGATCATAGAGGTAGATTTTTCATGAATGGTTTAGAACCATCCCTTTGGTACTGTTCTTATGACAGAGTTCTCATTGAGATCTGGTTGTTTAAAAGTGTGTAGTACCCCCTCCACCCCTTTTTCCTACTCTGGCCATGTGAAGTGCTGGCTTCCCATTTGTCTTCCACCATGATCAAAGCCAAGCAGATGCCGCCATGCTTCCTGTACAGCCTGTGGAACTGTGAGCCAATTAAACCTCTTTTCTTTCTAAATTTTCCATTATCAGATATTTCTTCATTAGTGAGAGAATGGACAAACACAATGCGGAAAAAGCATGAGCCAAAATTAACACCTTTTGCAATAAAAACATTCCACAAATTAAAAATAGAAAGAAATTACCTCAACATAATAAAAGTGATGTATTAAAAAAAGGGAGCATCATACTCAGTGGTGAAAACCTGAAATCTTTTATCTAACATCTGGAATAATATAAGGATGCTCATTCTTGCCACTTCTATTTAACACAGTAATGGGAGTTCTAGCTTGAGCAGTTTGTTGAAAAGAGAAGGAGGAGGAGGAGAAAAGGAAAGAAGAAAGGAATGAAGAAAGGAAGGAAGAAAGGCAGGAAGGAAAAAAGGGTGTCTAAATTTGAAAGGAAAAAATATCTGTTCACAGGTTACATGATCTTTTTTAAATTTTTTTATTATACTTTAAGTTTTAGGGTACTTGTGCACATTGTGCAGGTTAGTTACATATGTATACATGTGCCATGCTGGTGCACTGCACCCACTAACGTGTCATCTAGCATTAGGTATATCTCCCAATGCTATCCCTCCCCCCTCCCCCCACCCCACAACAGTCCCCAGAGTGTGATATTCCCCTTCCTGTGTCCATGTGATCTCATTGTTCAATTCCCACCTATGAGTGAGAATATGCGGTGTTTGATTTTTTGTTCTTGCGATAGTTTACTGAGAATGATGTTTTCCAGTTTCATCCATGTCCCTACAAAGGACATGAACTCATCATTTTTTAGGGCTGCATAGTATTCCATGGTGTATATGTGCCACATTTTCTTAATCCAGTCTATCATTGTTGGACATTTGGGTTGGTTCCAAGTCTTTGCTATTGTGAAAAATGCCGCAATAAACATACGTGTGCATGTGTCTTTATAGCAGCCTGATTTATAGTCCTTTGGGTATATACCCAGTAATGGGATGGCTGGGTCAAATGGTATTTCCAGTTCTAGATCCCTGAGGAATAGCCACACTGACTTCCACAATGGTTGAACTAGTTTACAGTCCCACCAACAGTGTAAAAGTGTTCCTATTTCTCCACATCCTCTCCAACGCCTGTTGTTTCCTGACTTTTTAATGATTGCCATTCTAACTGGTGTGAGATGGTATCTCATTGTGGTTTTGATTTGCATTTCTCTGATGGCCAGTGATGGTGAGCATTTTTTCATGTGTTTTTTGGCTGCATAAATGTCTTCTTTTGAGAAGTGTCTGTTCACATCCTTCGCCCACTTTTTGATGGGGTTGTTTGTTTTTTTCTTGTAAATTTGTTTGGGAGAAAATTTTCACACCTACTCATCTGACAAAGGGCTAATATCCAGAATCTACATGAACTTATATCTAAGTAACACTAAAGATTCCACCAAAAAGTATCATAACTAATAACAATTTCAGCAAAGTTAATGGATATACCATCAACACACAATCAGTTGTGTTTCTATACACCTAGAGTAAATAAACTAAAGGGAAATTAAGAAAGTAATCTCATTTATAGTATACAAAAGAATAAATTACTTAGGGATGAACTTAACTGATAAGAAAAAATGCGTATGGTGAAAAGTAAAAAAAAAAATTGAAATAAATTAAGGAAGAAAACAATTAATGAAATGATATCCTGTGTTTATGAATATGATAAGACTTAATATGGCTAAGATGTCAATACCAGCCAAATTAATCCACAGATTCAGTACAATTTTATCAAAATCCCATCAACATCATTTGTAGAAATTAAAAAAAAATCCATCCTAAAATTTACTATGGAAATACCAAAGCAATTCTGAGAAGAAAAAAGTGGGAAGTGTCACACATTCTAATTTCAAAACTTAATACAGTGCTACAATAAAGAAAATATTATAGTATTGGCATAAAGACAGACATATACACCAATAGCACAGAATAGAGATCTCAGAAAGAAATTCTTGCATATAAGATCAAATAAATTTTGACAAGGGTATCAAGACCATTTGATATAGGGAGTACAGTCTTTCCAACAAATGGTGTTTGGAAAACTGGATATCCACATACTAAACAATGAAGTTCTTAAGCCATGTACAAAAATTAACTCAAAATGGATTAACAACATAAATGTAAAAGCAGAAACTATAAAACTCCTAGAAGAAAATAGAAAAGAAAAGCTTCATAACATTGGATTTGGCAGTAATTTCTTGGCTAAGACACCAAAAGCACAGGCAGCCAAAAAAAATCGGTAAGCTGCACATTAAAATTTTAAAAATTATTCATCAAAGTACACAAGCAATGTGGTGAAACCCACAGAAGGGAAGGAAATATCTGCAAATCATATATCTGATAAAATTTAGTATGAAGACTATATAAGGAACTCCTACAACTCAACAAAAACCAGCTAAAGAAAAGAAAGAAAGAAACCGGGGGGCTGGAGCCAAGATGGCCGAATAGGAACAGGTCTGGTCTACAGCTCCCAGCATGAGCGACGCAGAAGATGGGTGATTTCTGCATTTCAATCTGAGGTACCAGGTTCATCTCACTAGGGAGTATCAGACAGTGGGCGCAGGACAGTGGGTGCAGCATGCCGTGCGTGAGCCGAAGCAGGGTGAGGCATTGCCTCACTCAGGAAGTGCAACCTGTCAGGGAGTTCCCTTTCCTAGTCAAAGAAAGGGGTGACAGATGGCACCTGGAAAATCGGGTCACTCTCACCCTAATACTGCGCTTTTCCAATGGGCTTAAAAAACGGTGCGCAGGAGATTATATCCCGCACCTGGCTCAGAGGGTCCTATGCCCACAGTGTCTTGCAGATTGCTAGCACAGCAGTCTGAGATCAAACTGCAAGGCGGCCGTGAGGCTGGGGGAGGGGCGCCCGCCATTGCCCAGGCTTGCTTAGGTAAACAAAGCAGCCAGGAAGCTCGAACTGGGTGGAGCCCACCACAGCTCAAGGAGGCCTGCCTGCCTCTGTAGGCTCCATCTCTGGGGGGCAGGGTACAGACAAACAAAAAGACAGCAGTAACCTCTGCAGATTTAAATGTCCCTGTCTGACAGCTTTGAAGACAGCAGTGGTTCTCCCAACATGCAGCTGGAGATCTGAGAAAGGGCAGACTGCCTCCTCAAGTGGGTCCCTGACCCCTGACCACCGAGCAGCCTAACTGGGAGGCACCCCGCAGTAGGGGCAGACTGACACCTCACACGGTTGGGTACTCCTCTGAGACAAAACTTCCAGAGGAACGATCAGACAGCAGCATTCGCGGTTCATGAAAACCCGCAGTTCTGCAGCCACCGCTGCTGGTACCCAGGCAAACAGGGTCTGGAGTGGACCTCTAGCAAACTCCAAAAGACCTGCAGCTGAGGGTCCCGTCTGTTAGAAGGAAAACTAACAAACAGAAATGACATCCACACCAAAAACCCATCTGTACATCACCATCATCAAAGACCAAAAGTAGATAAAACCACAAAGATGTGGAAAAAACAGAGCAGAAAAACTGGAAACTCTAAAAACCAGAGCCCATCTCCTCCTCCAAAGGAAAACAGTTCCTCAGCAGCAACAAAACAAAGCTGGATGGAGAATCACTTTGACGAGTTGAGAGAAGAAACCTTCAGATGATCAAACTACTCCGAGCTACAGGAGGAAATTCAAACCAAAGGCAAAGAAGTTAAAAACTTTCAAAAAAAATTTAGACGAATGTATAAATAGAATAACCAATACAGAGAAGTGCTTAAAGGAGTTGATGGAGCTGAAAGCTAAGGCTCGAGAACTCTGTGAAGAATGCAGAAGCCTCAGGAGCCGATGCGATCAACTGGAAGAAAGGGTATCAGTGATGGAAGATGAAATGAATGAAATGAAGCAAGAAGGGAAGTTTAGAGAAAAAAGAATAAAAAGAAACAAACAAAGCCTCCAAGAAATATGGGACTATGGGAAAAGACCAAATCTACGTCTGATTGGTGTACCTGAAAGTGACGGGGAGAATGGAACCAAGGTGGAAAACACTCTGCAGGATATTATCCAGGAGAACTTCCCTAATTTAGCAAGGCAGGCCAACATTCAGATTCAGGAAATACAGAGAACGCCACAAAGATAATCCTCAAGAAGAGCAACTCCAAGACACATAATTGTCAGATTCACCAAAGTTGAAATGAAAGAAAAAATGTTAAGGGCAGCCAAAGAGAAAGGTCGGGTTACCCACAAAGGGAAGCACATCAGACTAACAGCTGATCTATCGGCAGAAACTCTACAAGCCAGAAGAGAGTGGAGGCCAATATTCAACATTCTTAAAGAAAAGAATTTTCAACCCAGAATATCATATACAGCCAAACTAAGCTTCATAAGTGAAGGAGAATTAAAATACTTTACAGACAAGCAAATGCTGAGAGATTTTGTCACCAACAGGCCTGCCCTAAAAGAACTCCTGAAGGAAGCACTAAACATGGAAAGGAACAACCAGTACCAGCCGCTGCAAAATCATGCCAAAATGTAAAGACCATCAAGACTAGGAAGAAACTGCATCAACTAACGAGCAAAATAACCAGCTAACATCATAATGACAGGATCAAATTCACACATAACAATATTAACTTTAAATGTAAATGGACTCAATGCTCCAATTAAAAGACACAGACTGGCAAATTGGATAAAGAGTCAAGACCCATCAGTGTGTTGTATTCAGGAAATCCATCCCACGGGCAGAGACACATATAGGCTCAAAATAAAAGGATGGAGGAAGATCTACCAAGCAAATGGAAAACAAAAAAAGGCAGGGGTTGCAATCCTAGTCTCTGATAAGACAGATTTTAAACCAACAAAGATCAAAAGAGACAAAGAAGGCCATTACATATTGGTAAAGGGCTCAATTCAACAAGAAGACCTAACTATCCTAAATATATATGCACCCAATACAGGAGCACCCAGATTCATAAAACAAGTCCTGAGTGACCTACAAAGAGACTTAGACTCCCACACAATAATAATGGGAGACTTTAACACCCCACTGTCAACATTAGACAGATCGACAAGACAGAAAGTTAACAAGGATATCCAGGAATTGAACTCAGCTCTGCACCAAGCGGACCTAATAGACATCTACAGAACTCTCCACCCCAAATCAACAGAATATACATTTTTTTCAGCACCACACCACACCTATTCCAAAATTGACCACATACTTGGAAGTAAAGCTCTCCTTAGCAAATGTAAAAGAGCAGAAATTATAACAAACTGTCTCTCAGACCACAGTGCAATTAAACTAGAACTCAGGATTAAGAAACTCACTCAAAACCACTCAACTACAAGGAAACTGAACAACCTGCTCCTGAATGACTACTGGGTACATAACGAAATGAAGGCAGAAATAAAGATATTCTTTGAAACCAATGAGAACCAAGACACAACATACCAGAATCTCTGGGACACATTCAAAGCAGTGTGTAGAGGGAAATTTATAGCACTAAATGCCCACAAGAGAAAGCAGGAAAGATCTAAAATTGACACCCTAACATCACAATTAAAAGAACTAGAAAAGCAAGAGAAACACATTCAAAAGCTAGCAGAAGGCTAGAAATAACCAAAATCAGAGCAGAACTGAAGGAAACGGAGACACAAAAACCCTTCAAAAAATTAATGAATCCAGGAGCTGGTTTTTTGAAAGGATCAACAAAATTGATAGACTGCTAGCAAGACTAATAAGAAAAGAGAGAAGAATCAAATAGACGCAATAAAAAATGATAAAGGGGATATCACCACCGATCCTACAGAAATACAAACTACCATCAGAGAATACTATAAACACCTCTATGCAAATAAACTGGAAAATCTAGAAGAAATGGATAAATTCCTCGACACATACACCCTCCCAAGACTAAACCAGGAAGAACTTGAATCTCTGAATAGACCAATAAGAGGCTCTGAAATTGTGGCAATAATCAATAGCTTACCAACCAAAAAGAGTCCAGGACCAGATGGATTCACAGCCGAATTCTACCAGAGGTACAAGGAGGAACTGGTACCATTCCTTCTGAAACTATTGAAATCAATAGAAAAAGAGGTAATCCTCCCTAACTCATTTTATGAGGCCAGCATCATCCTGATACCAAAGCCTGGCAGAAACACAACCAAAAAAGAGAATTTTAGACCAATATCCTTGATGAACATTGATGCAAAAATCCTCAATAAAATACTGGCTAACCGAATCCAGCAGCACATCAAAAAGCTTATCCACCATGATCAAGTGGGCTTCATCCCTGGGATGCAAGGCTGGTTCAACATATGCAAATCAAAAATGTAATCCAGCATATAAACAGAACCAAAGACAAAAACCACATGATTATCTCAATAGATGCAGAAAAGGCCTTTGATAAAATTCAACAACACTTCATGCTAAAAACTCCCAATAAATTAGGTGTTGATGGGACATATCTCAAAATACTAAGAGCTATCTATGATAATCCCACAGCCAATATCATACTGAATGGGCAAAAGCTGGAAGCATTCCCTTTGAAAACTGGCACAAGACAGGGATGCCCTCTCTCACCACTCCTATTCAACATAGTGTTGGAAGTTCTGGCCAGGGCAATCAGGCAGGAGAAGGAAATAAAGGGTATTCAATTAGGAAAAGAGGAAGTCAAATTGTCCCTGTTTGCAGACGACATGATTGTTTATCTAGAAAACCCCATCGTCTCAGCCCAAAATCTCCTTAAGCTGATAAGCAACTTCAGCAAAGTCTCAGGATACAAAATCAATGTACAAAAATCACAAGCATTCTTATACACCAACAACAGACAAACAGAGAGCCAAATCATGAGTGAACTCCCATTCACAATTGCTTCAAAGAGAATAAAATACCTAGGAATCCAACTTACAAGGGATGTGAAGGACTTCTTCAAGGAGAACTACAAACCACTGCTCGATGAAATAAAAGAGGATACAAACAAATGGAAGAACATTCCATGCTCATGGGTAGGAAGAATCAATATCGTGAAAATGGCCATACTGCCCAAGGTAATTTACAGATTCAATGCCATCCCCATCAAGCTACCAATGACTTTCTTCACAGAATTGGAAAAAACTACTTTAAAGTTCATATGGAACCAAAAAAGAGCCCGCATTGCCAAGTCAATCCTAAGCCAAAAGAACAAAGCTGGAGACGTCACACTACCTGACTTCAAACTATACTACAAGGCTACAGTAACCAAAACAGCATGGTACTGGTACCAAAACAGAGATATAGACCAATGGAACAGAACAGAGCCCTCAGAAATAGCACCGCATATCTACAACTATGTGATCTTTGACAAACCTGAGAAAAACAAGCAATGGGAAAGGATTCCCTATTTAATAAATGGTGCTGGGAAAACTGGCTAGCCATATGTAGAAAGCTGAAACTGGATCCCTTCCTTACACCTTATACAAAAATTAATTCAAGGTGGATTAAAGACTTAAATGTTAGACCTAAAACCATAAAAACCCTAGAAGAAAATCTAGGCATTACCATTCAGGACATAGGCATGGGCAAGGACTTCATGTCTAAAACACCAAAAACAATGGCAACAAAACTCAAAATTGACAAATGGGATCTAATTAAACTAAAGAGCTTCTGCACAGCAAAAGAAACTACCATCAGAGTGAACAGGCAACCTAAAAATGGGAGAAAATTTTCGCAACCTACTCATCTGACAAAGGGCTAATATCCAGAATCTACAATGAACTCAAACAAATTTACAAGAAAAAAACAAACAACCCCATCAAAAAGTGGGTGAAGGACATGAAGAGACACTTCTCAAAAGAAGACATTTATGCAGCCAAAAAACACATGAAAAAATGCTCATCATCACTGGCCATCAGAGAAATGCAAATCAAAACCACAATGAGATACCATCTCACACCAGTTAGAATGGCAATCATTAAAAAGTCAGGAAACAACAGGCGTTGGAGAGGATGTGGAGAAATAGGAACACTTTTACACTGTTGGTGGGACTGTAAACTAGTTCAACCATTGTGGAAGTCAGTGTGGCGATTCCTCAGGGATCTAGAACTAGAAATACCAATTGTCCCAGCCATCCCATTACTGGGTATATACCCAAAGGACTATAAATCATGCTGCTATAAAGACACGTGCATACGTATGTTTATTGCAGCACCATTCACAATAGCAAAGACTTGGAACCAACCCAAATGTCCAACAATGATAGACTGGATTAAGAAAATGTGGTACATATACACCATGGAATACTATGCAGCCCTAAAAAATGATGAGTTCATGTCCTTTGTAGGGACATGGATGAAGCTGGAAACCATCATTCTCAGTAAACTATTGCAAGAACAAGAAACCAAACACTGCATATTCTCACTCATAGGTGGGAATTGAACAATGAGAACACATGGACACAGGAAGTGGAACATCACACTCTGGGGACAGTTGTGGGGTGGGGTGAAGGGGGAGGGATAGCATTAGGAGATATACCTAATGCTAAATGAGGAGTTAATGGGTGGAACACACCAGCATTGCACATATGTACATATGTAAGTAACCTGCACATTGTGCACATGTACCCTAAAACTTAAAGTATAAAAAAAAAAAGAAAAGAAACCCAATCCAATTTTTAAAATGGGTAAAGGACTTAAATAAACATTCCTGCAAAGGCACACAAATGGCCAATAAGCATATAAAAAGTTGCTAAACATCACTAATTATTCGGTAAATGCCAACCAAAGCCACAAGGAAATTTCAGTTCACATCCATTAGGATAGCAATTATCTGACACACACACACACACACACACACACACACACACACAGAAGATAGAATAACAAGTGTTGACAAGAATGAGGAGAAATTGGAACACTTATCCATTGATAGTGGGAATGTACAATGGTACAGTAACTATGTAAAATAGTTTCACTGTTCCTCAAAATATTAAACATATAATTACTGTATGATCCAGCAAGTCTGCTTCTGGCTATATACCGTAAATATTTAAAAACAGGAACCCAAACAGACACTTGTGCACCCGTATTCACTGTGGCATTATTCATAGTCAATAAAAGGTGAAAACATTCCAAGTATTCATTGATAAATGAATGGATAAACAAAATATGGTATATATTACATTGGAATATTATCCAGCTGTAAAAAGGAAGGAACTTTGACACATGATATATAACATGGATCAATTTTGAGTGCACTGTGTTAAGTAAAATAAACTAGTCATAAACAGGGCAAGTAGTATATGGTTCCACTTATGTGAGGTACCTAGTGTAGTCAAATTCATAAAGACAGAAAGTTGATTTGTGTTTGCCAGCATCTGAGTGAGAGGAGAGGAAATGGGAAGTTATTCTCTAATGAGTACAGAGTTTCAGTTTGAAAACTTTCTGGAAAGAGATGGTGATGTTCTTGCACAGCTGGAGTGTTAGTGGTCCTAGTGGCTCTTTATTCACCCTGGGTGAGTGCATGCAGGCAAAGTGGCATGAGGGAGGCCACAGTTGGGGAAGGGCTTGGGTAGGCTGGTGCTTGACTGTGGGTCCCCTCTGCTGCAGCACTCTACTGGTTTGGCACCATCTGCTAGCACTGGAGCTATGCTCCACTACAGATGTTCCCGCACCAAATCCTTTGGGCTCCACACTGGCTGGAGTTCTGCCCCAACCACTTCTCTAAGCAGCTCTCTCTGACAACTCAAGCGTCCATGGTGGTCAAGGAGTCTCCTCCTGCTGAGATTCAGGAGGCTTGTGACAAGATTGAAAGGGTCCTTGCCTGCTCAACTCATCCCTTCCCTAGGAGTCGTTATTGGCCAGGTATGACTCCTGGTGCATGGTAGCCCTGTGCAGGGTTCCCAGCTTCCCCCGGCTTCAGCCCAGCATCTGTGTCTTCCCGCCATCTGCTCTCAATGCCTTCCCTCTTGAAGATCTGCTAGGAGTGCACCAGTCTTCCTGATATTCTGGTTCTTCAGTGGGAGATGTTCCTCCTGGCTACCTCTAGCTGCCCATCTTGGAGAGTTATCAGCACTTTGACCATATGATCCCATTTTTTCCTGGTCTATATGTTTCTGCTAAGAAATCCCCTGTTAGTCTGATGGGGAATCCCTTATAAGTGACTAGACACTTTTCTCTTGCTGTTTTTAGAGTTCTCTCTTTGTGGCTGACTTTTTATGTTTTGACTATAATGCGCCATGGAGGAGATCTTTTTTAATTGTATCTTTTGAGAATCTCTGAGCCTCCTGTATCTACATGTCTAAATCTCTTGCTAGAGGGGGAAAATTTTTTACTATTATTACATTGAACAGATTTTCTACCCCTCTCCTTTTCTCTTCGTCTTCTGGGATATCAAAAATTTGAGTGTTTTTTCACCTAATGGTGTCCCATATATAACATAGGCTTTGTTTATTCTTTTTTACTTTTTTAAAATAATTTTTGTCTGAGTGGGTTATTTCAGTAGACCTGTCTTTATATTCTAAAATTATTTCTTCTGCTTGATCTAGTCAGGCCAGTCCCTAGGCCATCAGGTTCCAGAAGTGAGTTGATTCCTTCAGGGGTGATAGAGGCAGTTTTGGCAGGCTCATCCTCATGGCCCCCGGAGCAGCACTTGGATACCAGTGGTGGTAGATGTGGTATGGCAATCCCCAGCCCCGCCGGGATAATGTGCTCTGGAACTACAGAGGTCATAGCTAAGCTGGGAAAGCCTGAACTAAGACTTCCTGTTGATGAATGCAGGTATGTGCTTTGGTAGGCAGAGATGGGGTGATCTTCAGGCCCCCAGAATAGTTCTTTGGTGGGGGCAGCAGCAGCTGTGCTGCAGGCTTGCTGCTAGGGAGGCTGGGATTCCTGTTTAGTGGCAGCATCCATAGGCAAGTGGCTAGCAAGGACACACCTCAGCCCCAAATGCAGTAGCCTGTTTTCAGGGCACATGTAAATGTGCAGCACTTCTGCTATTGGGAGAAGCAGTGTCACTGCCAATAGCTCATGCTGTGGCCTTGGCAGCAGCAGCCAGCAGTGGCAGTGTCTGTGGGTGGGGGAAGTTAATGGGCTTCAGGGATATGGAGATACAGGGGCTGTTGGGCCTCAGGGCTTGATGCAGCCATGTGGGGCCTGGGCTCACAAAATGATGCCATGCTATATCTGCTTAGGGCTCAGGTGGTGTTTGGGACCCAGCATGAGCTCCTTCTCTGTAGAAATGCCATCATGTGGTCTCCAGGCAGCTCTCTATGTTATCTCAGAACCTGCAAGTGTCAACAGACTCTCCTGTGGCTAAGATTACAGGAAACCATGGTGGGAATTTGGACCACCCGGGGGGTCTCTCACTTGCCCTTTCCCCATATTGGAGAGCCACTTCAGGATCCCTGCCCATCCCAGAGAAGCAGGCTGCCTCTCTTTTTATTTCTTCCTTGACTTAGGTGTTTTCCTTACTTCTCTGCTGAATACCAGTGTTCTCTCTTAGGAGATCTGTTCAAAGTGTGATTATCTACTTGCTATTTTGGCTTTCTTCATGAAGGAGGTAACAGATGCCTCTAATCAGCCATCTCAAAGCCCCTTTTAGTAACCATCAGAAATTGTATTTTTTCTAATGTGTGCATTTAATCCTATAAATTTTCTTCTAAATGCTCCTTTAGTGCTTCCCACAGCTTTGATGTGATTTATTATTATTTTCATTCAGTTCAATAGTTTCTTTGTCAAATTTCTCCTCACACATCCCTTTTGACATCTGGATTATACGGGAAACTGTTATTTACTTTCCAAGTGCTTGGTTCTTTTTCAGCTACCTTTCTGTTACGAATTTTTAGTTTGATTCCATTATGGTCCAAGAACACACTCTGTATGATTTTCATTATTTAAATTTGTTGAGGTTTGTTTTCTGGCCCAAAATATAGTATATCTTGATATAAGTAACACTGACATTTGAACAGAATGCATTCTGCTCTTTTTATCTGCAGTGTTCTATAAAAGTTGATTAGATCATGCTGCTTGATGGCATTGTTGATTTCTTCTACATGATTACTGATTTTCTTTCCAGATCTTCTCTCAATTGTTGAGA
The DNA here is from genome assembly GCF_000001405.40 of Homo sapiens. Lineage (NCBI taxonomy): Eukaryota > Metazoa > Chordata > Mammalia > Primates > Hominidae > Homo > Homo sapiens. The sequence continues at coordinate 73,028,243 of NC_000023.11, read as the reverse complement.
GAGGGGAGTTAAATATTTCAACTAAAATTGTGGGTTTCTCTATTTCTTTTTTCAGTTCTATCATTTTTTGCTTTACCTATTTGAAGCTTTGACGTTTGTTCCGTGCACATTTAGGATTGCTATATCTTCTGGTGAACTGATCCTTCTACTAAAACACAGTGTGTCTTCCTCTCTCTGGTAATTTTTTTTGCTCTTATGTGTGCTTGATCTATTACTATAGCCACTCTTGCTTTCCTTTGATTAATGTTTGTACCATGTATCTTTTCTATTATTTTATTTAAAACCTGCCTATATGATTATACTTAGGGTGAGTTTCTTGCAGATAACACAGATTGGGTCGAGTTTTTAATCCACTGCCAATCTCTGTATTCTAATTCGCATATTTAGATTATTTGTGTTTCACAATTTTTACATGTTAGTGTTTTTGTCTGTCATTATGCTTTTGCCTTCCTTTCATTCTGTTTGTTCTCATCTGTTTTATTTGTCTGCCTTCCTGTGGATTATTTAAACACTTTTTAGAATTCCATTGTGATTTATCTATAGTGATTTTGAGTGTATCTATTTTTATATCATTTTTAATGAGTGTTGTAGGTATTTCCTGTTCACTTAAAAAATTATGGTAATATATATAGCATAAAATTTGCCATTTCAACCATTTTCAAAGTGTACAATTCCATGGCATTAATTACATTCACAATGTTATGTCACCATCACCACTATTTATTGCTAAAAATTTTCAGCACCACAAAAAAAACTATAAATTCATTAAGCAACAACTCTCCTTTTTTGGAAGGAGATGTCAGAAAGAATAGAAGTTTCCAGGCTTTCCTCCCCCCTTCAATCAAATCGTCAACTAGAACTATCCACACACAAAAACACCTTGTTGAAAACGTCAAAGTGTGGATGGAAATAAGCCCGAGCCACCTGCACATTCCAGGGAACTTAATACAAACCTGCATTAAATGTGTAGGCAAAATAGCTTTGCTTTGACTACATCACCCCTTCCTTTACCCCAAGTTGGCTCAGTGCCACGTAGAGAGGATTCCCCATGGTAGTCTACAGTGGGAAAAGAGTTTTGGGGAGGCAGACATCCAGCTTCCCTTGCATTCTCTGATGCTTCCCAGGAGGCTCACTCCATTTGTAGGGAGAAACTACATGAATAGACCCCCTGGGGCCGGATAGGAAAAACAAAGAAAAAGGAAGAGCCCATAAAAATAGCATACAGATTTTGATGAAAGCTCAGTGTACCTGCCAGCAGTGGCACTCAATTACAATATTAGCTACAGTGTAGCTCACTCACAATGTTAAGCTGGTCACTCTCAGAAAAAGTGGAAAATACTATCTTGCTTGAGTTCCAAGATGGCCAGCCTCCAGGTCCAGCCTCAGATCCTAGCCCAGCCTCCCTCTTAGGGAGAAGACCCCCGTAACAAATTTTCACAACAAGCAGCCACTAGATTTCAGACACCCAGGAGCTTAATCATCATTCGTCCACAGCCTCAAAGCCCATCCTCAGACCCCACTTAGGGAGGGAGATGACTTTTGATAAGAAGTGGGCACTAGTTCTGCACAACTGAGAGCTTAATCAGGGCTCCTCTTGACCTCAAACTTTACCACTAGACCCACCCAGGGAGGGAGAACCACTGCAGTGAATTTCAACAATAAGCATGTATTAATTCTGCCACACCCTGGAGTTTAATCCCTGCACCTCAAAGCTCACTCCCAGACCCCGCCCAAGGAGAGAAGCAAGTCTCAATTGTGCATTTCTACTGCACATAGCACTTGGTCTATTTATTCCAATCAACTTAACTGTGGTACCTCTTCGCAACTCTCAACCGCTGAAATCAAATGGCAGTATCTTCTCTCCAGGGAATACATGCTGTAGTCTATTCTGAATCAGGTGATTGCAATGCCCATATACCAGCTCAGCCTGGTAGCAGATGTTAGATAACGGTCTTGCTGGATAGCAGAGTGTAGCCAGCTGCCCCATATGAATTCAGAGCAAAGTCAGCAGTAGCCCAAACATCTAAAGAACCTGAAAGCAAGCTCTGTATGCCTCGGGTCATCACTAGCTGACCCATCCAGTCATAGCCTAGACTAACAAGTGAATGTCTATCCCTGCCAAAGAACTCCTGTAAAAACCAGAAAAGATGTCTGTGTCAACAAATACACCCACACAAAGGCACAAAACAAAGATTCAGAAAATCATGAGACCTCTGAAAGAAATGAACAAAGCTCCAAAAATGGACACTAAAAAAGGGACATTTACAAAATTATAGAAAAAGAATTCAGAATAATCCTCTTAAAAATCTCAGTGAACTCCAGGAATATATGAATATTAAGTGAAATTTGGAGATCAATACATGAACAAGAGAAGTTTGACAAAGAAGCAGAAACAATTAAAAACAAATAGAAGTGCTAGAGATAAATAATGCAACGACTATACTAAAAAAGGCAATGCAAAGTGTCTACAGCCAGCTAGATCAAGCTGGTGGAAGGATCAGTGAACTCAAGGACAGACACTTGAAATTTCTCAATCAGAAGAGTAGAAAGAATAAAGGATGAAGAAAGCCTATAGGAATTATGGGACACTATCAAGAGACCTAACCTATGCATAATTGGCACTGCAGAAAAAGAAGAAAGAGATACAGGGCCAGAAAAAAAAAATTAAAGAAATAATTAGTGAACACTTTCCCATTCTGAGGAGGGAAGTCAACATCTAGGTACAGGTATTGCAGAAGTCACCAATTAAATTCCAAGAAAGGGGAGTTCATCAAGACATACAATATACAAACCATCAAAAATCAAAGACAAAGAAAACATCCTGAGAGCAGCAAGAGATAAAATATGCGTTACACACAAAGGTGTCCTGATATGACTATTAGTGGACTTCTTGAGATAGTAGGATGATATATTCAAGTGTCAAAGGAAAGAAACCTGTCAACCAATAATACTTTATGCATCAAATCTTCCCTTCAGAAATAAGGGAGAAATAAAAACATTCCCATACAAACAAAATTTAAGGAAGTTCATCAGCACTGTATGGTGGATGCTTTAGAGGAACTGCTACAAGGGAGTTCTTTAAACTAGAAAAAAAAGGCTGCTAATTAATAACAGAAAACTTACCAATGCACAAAACCCAATGGTATAACTAATACAGAGTGATATTTATAATACTCTAAGACTGTAATGGTAGTATGTAAAGTAATGTTATCCCTAGTACAAGGATAAAAGGACAAAATTACTAAAAACAACTATAGCTAAAATGAATTTTCAAGAGATTCATATTGCAAAATAACATAAATTCAGACATGAAACCTTAAAATGTGGGGAGTGAGTAAAAGTGTAGTGTTACTTTATGCAATCAAAGTTAACGTGTTATCAGTTTGAAACAAAATGTTATAAATGTAAGGTGTTCTATTTATGCTTCATAGTAACCAAAAAAACTCAAAAATCTGTAGGAGATGCACAAAACAAAAATAAAAGTAATTCCAAAGTACCACTTCAGAAAATCATCAAACCATAAAACAAAAAACAGCAAGAGAAGAAAGAAACAAAATATGCACAAAACAACCAGAAAACAATTAACAAAATTACAGTAGTAAGTTATTACATATAAATAATTATCTTGAGTAAAAATGGACTAAATTCTCCAATCAAAAGATATAGAGTGAATGAATAGATAATAAAATAAGACCCAACTGTATGTTCCCTATAAAAGCCACTTTACCTTTAAGGACATATATATGCTGAAAGTGATGGGAAAGAAAAAGATATTCCACACAAATGAAATTCAAAAGAAATCAGGAATAGTAATAGTTATATTAGAAAAAATAGACTTTAAGTCAAAAACTACAAAGAGACAAAGAAGGACATTATATAATGATAAAAAGGATCCATTAAGAAGATATAATTGTAACTATATATGCACCTTACAATGAAGCACCTATTTTAATCAAATATTAAAAGCTCGGAAGGGAGAGATAGATTGCAATACGATAATCGTGGGGGACAGCAATACACTATTTTCAGTATTGGACAGATTATTCAGACAGAAAATCAAAAAGGAAACGTACTTTAGCAACATTTAGACTAAATGGAGCCCATAGATATATACAGAATGTGCCATTAAACAACAACAAAATATTCATTCTTCTCAAGTGCACAAGGAACACTCTCCAGGACAGATCATGTGTTAGGCCACAAGATGAGTCTTAGCAAATTTAAGAAGATTGAAATAATATCAAGTATCATTTTGACCACAATAGTATGAAACTAGAAATCAATATCAGGAGAAATTTCAGGATATACTCAAATACATGGAGATTAAACAATATGCTCCTGAACAAGTAATAAGTCAATGAAGAAATTAAGGAAATTTTAAAAAATCTTGAAACAAATGAAAATGGAAACATACCAATACTTATGGCATGCAGCAAAACCAATTTTGTGATGAAAGTTTGTAACAATAAATGCCTATACCAAAAATAGAAAGATCACAAACAATGTTACACCTCAAAGAAATAGAAACAAACAAAAAAACCCCATTAAACTCAGTGTTAGCAGATGGAAAGAAATAGTAAAGATCAGAGCAGAGGCCAGGTTCAGTGGCTCACACCTGTAATCCCAGCACTTTGGGAGGCCGAGGCGGGCAGATCACCTGAGGTCAGGAGTTCGAGATCAGCCTGGCCAACACAGTGAAACCCCATAGCTACTAAAAATACAAAAATTAGCTGGGAGTGGTGGCACACACTTGTGGTCCCAGCTACTTGGGAGGCTGAGGCAGGAGAATCGCTTGAAACCAGGAGGCAGAGGTTGTAGTGAGCCTAGATTGTGCCACTGCACTCCAGCCTGGGTGACAGAGCAAGAATCTGTCTCAAAAAAAAAAAAAAAAAAAAAGACTGGGTGCGGTGGCTCATGCCTGTAATCCCAGCACTTTGGGAGGCCAAGGCAGGCAGATCATGAGGTCAGGAGTTTGAGACCAGCCTGACCAACAAGATGAAACCTCATCTCTACTAAAAAATACAAAAATTAGCCAGGTGTGGTGGCGTGTGCCTGTAATCCCAGCTACTCGGGAGGCTGAGGCAGGAGAATCACTTAAACCTGGGAGGTGGTGGTTGCAGTGAGTGGAGATTGCACCACTGCACTCCAGCCTGGGTGACAGAGTGAGACTCCATCTCAAAAAAAAAAAAAATCAGAGTAGAAATAAATGAACTAACAAGAGGCTGAAAAAAAAAATAAGGATCAACACAATTAAGAGTTGATTTCTGAAAATGTAAACAAAATCAACAAATCTTTATCCAGATTTACCAAGAAAAAACCAGAAAAGACTCAAATCAAACCAGAAATGAAGGTGGAGACAAGCCTGCCTGCCTGCCTGCCTGCCTGCCTGCCTGCCTTCCTTCCTTCCTTCCTTCCTTCCTTCCTTCCTTCCTTCCTTCCTCTCTCTCTCTCTCTTTCTTTCTTTCTTCGGTTTCCCTCTGTTGCTGAGGCTGGACTGTACTGCCGTGATCTCAGCTTGCTGCAACCTCCCTGCCTTGGGCTCCCATGATTCTCCTGCCTCGGCCTGCCGAGTGCCTGCGATTGCAGGCACGCACCGCCACGCCTGACTGGTTTTTGTTTTTTTGGTGGAGATGGGGTTTCGCTGTTTTGGCCAGGCTGGTCTCCAGCTCCTGACCTCGAGTGATCTGCCTGCCTCGGCCTCCCGAGGTGCTGGGATTGCAGATGGAGTCTCGCTCACTCAATGCTCAATGTTGCCCAGGCTGGAGTGCAGTGGCGTGATCTCGGCTTGCTACAACCTCCACCTCCCAGCCACCTGCCTTAGCCTTCCAAAGTGCTAAGATTACAGACTCTGCCCAGCCGCCACCCTATCTAGGAAGTGAGGAGCGTCTCTGCCTGGCTGCCCATCATCTGGGCTGTGAGGAGCCCCTCTGCCCGGCCGCCCCGTCTGGGAAGTGAGGAGCGCCTCTGCCCTGCCACCTGTCTTGGAGGTGAGGAGCACCTCTGCCCGGCTGCCACCCCATCTGGGAGGTGAGGAGCGTCTCTGCCCAGCCGCCACACCGTCTGGGAAGTGAGGAGCGCCTCTGCCTGGCCTCCCCGTCTGGGAGGTGAGGAGCATCTCTGCCCAGCTGCCCCATCTGGGAAGTGAGGAGCACCTCTGCCCAGCCGCCCATGGTCTGGGCAGTGAGCAGTGCCTGTGCCCAGCCACCCCGCCTGGGAAGTGAGGAGCGCCTGTGCCCAGCTGCCCCGTCTGGGAAGTGAGGAGCGCCTGTGCCCAGCTGCCCCGTCTGGGAAGTGAGGAGTGCCTGTGCCCGGCCGCCCCGTCTGGGAAGTGGGGAGCACCTCTGCCTGGCTGCCCTGTCTGGGATGTGAGGAGCGCCTCTGCCCAGCCGCCACCCCGTCTGGGAGGTGAGGAGTGCCTCTGTCTGGCCACCCTGTCTGGGAACTGAGAAGCACCTCTGCCCAGCTGCCCCATCTGAGAGATGAGGAGTGCCTCTGCCTGGCAGCCGCCCTGTCTGGGAAGTGAGGAGCGTCTCTGCCTGGCTGCCCATCTGGGAAGTGGGGAGCGCCTCTGCCCAGCTGCCCCAACTGGGAAGTGGGGAGCGCCTCTGCCCGGCCGCCCCAACTGGGAAGTGGGGAGCGCCTCTGCCTGGCTGCCCTGTCTGGGAGGTGAGGAGCGCCTCTGCCCGGCCGCTCATCATCTGGGAAGTGAGGAGCGCCTCTGCTCAGCTGCCACGCTGTCTGGGAAGTGAGGAGCTCCTCTGCCCGGCCGCCCCGTCTGGGAAATGAGGAGCGCCTCTGCCTGGCCGCTGTGCAATCTTCCAAGTGTGAAGTGACAGCCTTTCTGCAGGTATACCCAACAGCTCCGAAGAGACAGTGACCATCAAGAATGGGCCATGATGACGATGGCGGTTTTGTCGAAAAGAAAAGGGGGAAATGTGGGGAAAAGAAAAAGAGATCAGATTGTTACTGTGTCTGTGTAGAAAGAAGTAGACATAGGAGACTCCATGTTGTTCTGTACTAAGAAAAATTCTTCTGCCTTGGGATGCTGTTAATCGATAACCTTACCCCCAACCCCATGCTCTCTGAAACATATGCTGTGTCAACTCAGGGTTAAATGGATTAAGGGCGGTGCAAGATGTGCTTTGTTAAACAGATGCTTGAAGGCAGCATGCTCAATAAGAGTCATCACCACTCCCTAATCTCAAGTACCCAGGGACACAAACTCTGTGGAAGGCTGCAGGAACCTCTGCCTAGGAAAACCAGAGACCTTTGTTCACGTGTTTATCTGCTGACCTTCTCTCCACTATTATCCTATGACCCTGCCACATCCCCCTCTCCGAGAAACACCCAAGAATGATCAATAAATACTAAAAAAAAAAAAAGAAAGTGGAGACATGGCTGACACCATAGGTATACAAAAAAATTAGAAGAGACTGTTATGAACAACTATATGTCAAGAAATTGGATAGCCAGGAAATGGATAAATTCTTAGACACATGCAAACTAACAAGACTGAATCATGAAGAAATAGAAAATCTGAACAGACCAATAATGAGTAGGGATATTGAATCAAAAATAAAAAGTGCCCCCATCAAAGAAAAGCCTAGGACCTGATGGCCTCACTTCAAAATTCTGCCAAATATTTAAAAAAGAACTAATACCAATTCTTGACAAAATTGTTCAAAAACTCAAAGAGAAAGAAATACTTCCAAATGCTTTTTACAAGTCCAGAATTACCTTAATACCAAGCCAGAAAAGAATATTACAATAAATTTATCTTTTACATTTCTGGAGGTTGGGAAATCCAAGCTCGAGGGGCCACATCTGGTGAGGGCCTTTTTGCTATGTCATAACATGGCATAAGGCATCACATGACAAAGGGACAAGAGAATCTCAGCTCAGATCTCTCTTTCTCTTCTTATAAAACCATCATTCCCATTTTAGGGCCTCCACCCTGATGACTTTATCTAATTCTAATTACTTCCCAAAGATGCCACCTCCAAATACCATGAACATTTGGGGATTAAATTTCCGACACCTGAAATTTGGAGGACCATATTCAATGCCAGAAAACAAATTCAAAAGCACATTAGAAATTATGCACCATGAGCTCATGGGATTTATTCCCAGGATGCAAGAATGTTTCAACATTTGCAAATCAATAATGTGGCACATTAGATTAACAGAATCAAGGACATAAATTATATGATTATCTCATTAGATGCAGAACATGCATTACACAAAATTCAGCATTATTTCAGAATTTAAAACACTCAACAAACTAGGTATAGAAGGAATTCACATCAACACAATAAAGGCCATATATAATAAACCCAAAGCTAGTATTATACTCAATCGTGACAAATTGGAACCCTTTCCTCTCTAAAATTAGTAATAAGATCAGGATGCCCACTCTTATCACTTCTATTCGACATATTAATAGCATTGGAACTCCTCACCAGAGAAATAAAACAAAATAAAGAAATAAAAGGCATCCAAATAGGAAAGAAAGAAAGAAACTGTCACTGTTGCTGACAACATAATATTATATATAGATGATGTAGTTTGGATGCCTGTCCCCTCCAAATGTTATGTTGAAATGTGATCCCCAATGTTAAAGATGGAGCTCAGTGGGAGGTGCTTGGGTCATGGGGACAAATCCTTCATGAATGGCTTAGTACCCTCCCCACAGTAATGAATGAGTTCTCACTCTATTAGTCAACGTGGGAACTGGTTGTTTTAAAGAGCCTGGCACCTTTCTTGCTTTCTGTCTTGCCGTGTGACATGCCTTCTCCCCCTTCACCTTCTGCCATGATTGTAAACTTCTTAAGGCCCTCACCATAAGCAGATGTTGGCACCATGCTTCTTGTACAGTCTGCAGAACTGTGAGCCAAAATAAACATATTTTCTTTATAAATTACCCAGTCTCAGGTATTCCTACATAGCAACACAAAATGAATTAATATAATAGGAAACCCTAAACACTTCACCAAAAATCTGTTAGAACTGATGAGCAAATCCAGTAATGTTGCAATACACAAAATCAACACATAAAAATTAGTAACATTTTTCTACACTACCAAACTTTCCCAAAAAGAAATCCAGAGAACAATCCCACTTACAATAGCTTCAATGAAATAAAAAAGTTATGAATAAATTTAACAAAGGAAGTGAAAACTCTATGTGCCAAAAACTGTAAATATTAATGACAGAAACTGAAGAAAGCACAGGCAAATGGAAAGATATCCTGTGTTAATGGACTGGAAGAATTAATATTGTGAAAACATTCTATTTTAACTACCAAATTGACTACCCAAATCAATCTACGGATTCAATGCAAAACCTATCAAATACCAATGTCATTTTTCATAAATATGGGAAAAAACAATCTTAAAATTTACATAGAATCACAAAAATCCATGAATAGCCAAGACAATCATAAGTAAAAACAAAGCAGAACAATGACAAGAACAAAAAGCTTGGAGGCATCACATGACCTCACTTCAAACTACACTACAAAACAATAATAATTAAAACAGCATGATACTGGCATAAAAATAGACCCACACTGACCAATGGAACAGAATTGATAGCCCAGAAATGAGCCCATGCATTTACAGTCAACTGATATTGGACAAAAGTAGCAGGAATATAGAATGAGAAAAAGACAGTGTCTTCAATAGATGGTTTTGGGAAAACTGGATATCCATCTGCAGAAAAGAAAAATGAAATTGGACCCTTTTCTCACATCATATACAAAAATCAACACAAGATGAATTAAAGAATAAACATAAAACCTGAAACTGTTAAACTACTATAAAAAAATCATAGAGGAAAAACATTACATTGGTCTCAGCAATGCTTTTTTATATTTGACCCCAAAAGTGCAAGCAACTAAAGTGAAAATAGACCAATGGGATTACATCAAAATAAAAAGCTTCTGCACAACAAAGGAAACAATTAACAGAGTAAAGAAACAATGTACAGAATGAGAGAAAATATTTGCAAACTATACATCTAACAAGGGGTTAATATCCAAAATACATAAGGAACTAGTCTGATAAGAAATGGTCAAAGGACATTGATAGAAAATTCTCAAAAGAAGACATACAAATGGCTAACAGATACATACAAAAATGCTTGACATCACTGATTATTAGGAAGATGCATATTTAAGCCACAGTGAGGTATCACCTCACACTAGTTGGCATGGCTATTATCAAAAAGACAAAAGGTTAAACAAATGTCAGTGAGGATGCAGAGAAAAGGGAATCATTGTATACTGTTGATGGGAATGTACACTACACTAGTAGAGCTATTATGGAAAACTCTATGGAAGTTCTTCAAAAGCTAAAAATAGAATTATATAACCCAGCAATCCTACATCTAGATATTTACCCAAATATTTGAAAGCAGCTATGTTGAACAGATGTCTGCACATCCATGTGCATTGCAGCACTAATAGCCAAGTTACAGAATCAACCTAAATGTCCATCAGTGGATGCTTGGATAAAGAAAATGTGGTATATATACACAATGAAATACTATTCAAACTTTAAAAAGGATGAAATTCTGTTATTTGCAACAACATGGATGGTAATGGAGAACACTATGCTAAGTGAAATAAGCCAAGCACAAAAAGACAAATACTGAGTGTTCTCACTTATATGTGGAATCTTAACCCATTAAACTCATAAAATCAAAGAGTAGAATAATAACCACCAGAGTCTGGGTGTTGGCGGAATAGAGAGATGTTAATCAAAGGCTCCAAAGCCTCAGATAGGAGTAATATGTCTGCTGCACAGCATGGTGAATATAGCTAATAACTGAGCGCTGCACATTTCAATACCACTGAGAGAGTAAATATCAAATGTTCTCATCACAAAAAGTCAAATATTTGAGGTGATGGACAGATTAATTCGCTTAATTTAATCATTCCACGTTGTTTTAAAAAATCACAACATCATTTTGTACAGCATAAATATAATAAATATGCAGGTTTCACATCCCATAAGCACTGTATTTTGAGTTCAGTTTTTAAAAATCCACGTATAAGTGAGCCCATGCAATTCAAATACCTGTTCCAAAATAGGACATCTGCAAGCTGAGGAGCAAGAAAGCCAGTCCGAGTCCCAAAACCTCAAAAGTAGGGAAGCTGACAGTGCAGCCTTCAGTCTGTGGCCAAAGGCCCAAGAGCCCCTTGCAAACCACTGGTGTAGGTCCAAGAGTTAAAAAGCCAAAGAACTTGGAGTCCAATGTTTGGAGGCAGGAAGCATGCAGCATGAGAGAAAGATGAAGTCTGGAAGACTCAGCAAGTCTTCTCTTCCATCCTCTCCTGCCTGCTTTATTCTAGCTGCAAATTGAGGGTGGGTCTGCCTCTCCCAGTCCACTGACTCAAATGTTAATCTCCTTTGGCAACACCCTCTCAGACACACCCAGGAACAATACTTTGCACTCTTCAGTCCAATCAAGTTGACACTCAACATTAACCATCACACTCATCTTGTAAAAATAGAAAAAAAAAGGTTTTGATAAAAGATCCATTCCACAGTGCATTCCCTGCCAATGAGGTTTCTGTTCATAATTTACAGCCCAGAGGTTTTGTCTGTTGGAAGAGACATTTAACGAAAGACTCCCTCCAACCTTGCCAACCCCAGTGGAAGGACCTATACTAGGTACTATTGACTAATCTGTGTACAGCAAAATTAGAGGGTATAGACTCATTCATCCACATCTCTCATCTTACAAATGCACAACTTTCTGAGCGAGCTGTAATGCCCACCAAAGCTTTTCACCAGTCACTAAACAATGATGATCTTTGACCCAGAACCAGAAGGAGACTGACTATAGCTGTTTTGGACTGCTTTAACTCAAGACTCTGAACCAGACCTGTATACAAATTAACACCTATGTTTATTGTATAATAGTCACTATAATTATTGTCCTAAAGATACTGGCAATTTTTATCATCTTATGCAGAGTGGAATATCTGCCTTGTCTGTTTTAATGTCCTTTTTACTAGTTAAAATGAATTTCACAATCTCACTTCTACTTATCCTCTGTCCATATGCTTTCTTGCCACTGCCACCCACTGTTGTCCATGAAACAAACCTGATTCTACAATGGGCCCAGGATTATACAGACAGATTACAATAGGGTGTCTGATGGATATGCAGACTCATGCCTCTTTCCAGTGGCTCTAGCCTGCCACGGTGGGTATCTCCCTTCCAAGGTCAGGACTGGATAGAATACCAAAACTTTATTACATCACAGAAATGATCTGGCATCATTAGCACTGACATAAGAAAAGACAATATATATCATTGACCTATTAATAACACACTAAAGGACAAGGGACATGGAGAATGCTTTTCAATGTTGTGAATGTTGTTGCTACATTATGTTGTGAATGTTGTAGCTACATACATTATGTTGTGACACATACCATGGTGTCCCTGCCACCTGCCATGGTGGGTATCTTCCCTCCAAGGTCAGGACTGGATAGAATACCAAAATTTTATTACATCACAGAAATGATCTGGCATCTTTAGCACTGACATAAGAAAACACAATATATATTATAGACCCATTAATAACACACTAAAGGACAAGGGACATGGAGAATGCTTTTCAATGTTGTCAATGTTGTGAATATTGTGGCTAAATTATTATATTACAAAGCACTGACTGGCATGCCACTGATTGGATGCAGTGTCCAAGCATTTATTGGCTAGCTAAAAATGGGATATATTGGCCGTGTGGCACTAACTTATGGATGTGGTTACTCTTACTCTCACTGGACACATTCTGTATTCCAATGGTACAATCACTTAGCTTCCATCTTTATGCCATAAATGGGAATTGAAAATTTCATATGGCATATAGAGGACTTAACAAATTATACCCAAAAGGCCCTAATTTATAGTTGATTGGTGTCTCCTTGCTAAACAATGAGGTCTCACTTATGAGAAAAGCTGTGCCGTAAAATTGTATGACCTTGGACATGCTCACTACAGCCCAAGGGTATCCTGTACCACCATAAAAACTGAATGTTGTGTTTATAACCCAGATTAATCAACAACATTACTTGACTTATGACTGATATGAAAATACAAATAATCAAGCTTTCAGACCGAAAACTCTCACGAATCAACTGCTTAAGTGGTTGGTTTGGGTCCTGGGGAATTTGGCGGAAAGAGCTATTAATTATAATAGGAATAATAATAATTTATGTTCTGCCTTTTTTTTTTCTTACGATATTATTAAGGCATATGTTTCCAGCTAAATCAACATGTGACCAAAAAGGGTGGAATAATGATTGCTCCAAAATTTGCTCTGATTGAGGAGGCAGTAGCATAGCCTGAACCAGTTTTGAGGATTGCTTTCCCTTTGTTGCTATAATCTGGTCTTGGTTCCTTTTCTCCCTTATTTTTTCTTTCTCTCCTCCTTCTGTTTTTTTTTTTTTCCATGAAACATGACCTCCTAGGAATGAGCCTTCTTAGCAATGAGGGACCTAATCTTCTAGAAATAAACCATCCTAGTGATGAGTGATCAGATGAAACCTGTGAGTAGAGATTCATTTTTTTCTGCAATGCTTTCTCTCAAAGATTTTGAAGAACTTTGGGGAAATGTGAAAGAAAAACAGAATTTCAGAACCCCAAACTCACCATGCCAAAGGGAGAGTTAGGCTTGGGAACTGAGTCATGCCAAAACAAACTGCCTTCCTTTTGTTCCTAAACAGATAGCTGCAATGACAGAAGGCCACATATCCCCCTCAGTGTCCTTCCTCACAAATTGCTCACAAGGAAATTCTCTGTAACCCCCAAAGTCTTTCATAATACATATATCCCTGAAAAACTAACCTTAAAACAGAGTTCTGTTGAATCTCACCCTGACAATGTAAATTAACAGCTTATCTTTACAGGCATGGAACACAGACAAGACTAGAAGTAATCTTTTTGTCCATCCCAAGATAAACGCATAATTGACTTCATCCTCTACTTTATGTTTATTTTATCTTATGTAAAATGTAGATTTACTGAGTGTGAGATGAAGGCATAATTGACAATCATCTTTTTGGTTTACAATCCTATATCTGTCTCACCATTGTACATTAGAAGCACAAAACTTCTTAATTTCAGTGTCATAGTTAGAGAGGAATTTGCCTCAGTATGAATTTTGCCTTGGGTCTCACCCATATCTGATTTAAATGAGACTCTGGGCTTTGGGCTTTTGAGTTGTTGCTGGAATGAGTTAAAACTTTTAGGACTATTGGGATGGGACAAATTTATTTTACATTGTGAGCAGGACAGTAATTTAGTGGGTCTAGGGTGAAATGTGGTTTGAATGTGTGCCCCAAAATTCATGTGCTGGAAACTTAATCCCTAATGCAACAGTGTTGAAAGGTGGGGCCTAATAAGAGGTGATTAGGTCATGAGGGCTCTGCTCTCATGGATGAATTAATGTCACTATCATGAGGGTAGGTTAGTTATTTTGAGAGTGGCTTTGTTATAAAAGTGAATTTGGACTCTTTTTGCTCACTTCCTGTCACCCTCTCTTGCCGTTACACCTTCCACAATGAGATGACACAGCATGAAGGCCCTCAGAAGATGCCAGCACCATGCTCCCTTAGACTTCTCAGCCTCCAGGGCCATGAGCCAAACAAATGTATTTTCTTGGTAAATTACTCAGCCTATGGCATTCTGTTATAGTCATACAAAACAGGCTAAGGCAGCATTATTACCATTATGGAAAGCAAAATCCAAGCAGTAATCAGAAGGATCTGACCCACACAGACCTATGGCATTGGCTAATTAAGCATGGTGTTGCTAGAAGTGAAATAGATGACAAGCCTACTAAATTTTTACCTCATCTATATAAGCAGAACATTTCTAAGTTAAGTAAACAAAATTTTAACCTGAATCATAAAGAGTCACAGCCTGCTACTCAATCAAGTCCCAGACTACAGACCCAGAACCTTTGAAAGAAGGGGAGGCCCAGTCTCCTTTAGGAATAATTCAAGCACATTACTGAAAATTTGTACTGTTAATCTTTCTCCCAGCCTTCCCTAAAGGACCTACAGCCTTATACCAAAGTAAATATACATTGGGGAAAGGGAAATAATCAGACTTTGCAGGGACTGCTGGACATTGGCTTTGAACTGACACTAATTTCAAGAAACCTAAAACATCACTGTGGCCTTCCAATCAGAATATTGGCTTATGGAGTCAGGTGATCAATGGCTTATGTCACTGTGGGTCCGGTGGGTCCCCAACCCATCCTGTGGTTACTTCCCCAGTTCCAGAATGCATAACTAGAGTAGACATAGTTAGAAGCTGGCAGAATCTTCACACTGGCTCTTTGACCATATTGGTCAAAGAGCCAATGTGAAGAGTGAAAGCTACTATGGTGTGAAAGGCCAAATTAAAGCCATTGGAACTGCTTCTACCTAGAAAAATAAACCAAATGCAATACATCACTGGAAAAATTGCAGAGAGTAGTACCTTCATGAAGAACTTGAAAGATGCAGGGATGATGATTCCCACCACATCCCCATTTAATTCTCCTATTTTACCTGTGTAGAAGACAAATGAATCTTGGAGAATGACAGTGGATTATTATAAGCTTAACCAAGTGGTGACTCCAATTGCAGCTGCTGTGCCAGATGTGGTTTCATTGTCTGAGCAAATTAACACATCTCCTGCTATCGTGTATGCAGCTATCTGGTATCCAACAAATACCTTTTCCTCCATCACTGTCCATATGGCCCACCAGAAGCAGTTTGCTTTCAGCAAGGCCAGAAATATATCTTCACTGTCCTATCTTGAGGGTATATCAACTGTAAAGCCCTATGCCAGAATTTAGTTCAAATGGATCTTGATCACCTTCCCCTTCCACAAAATATGCTGGTCCACTACATTGATGACATTATGCTGATTTCAACTAGTAATTGAGTAGTAGCAACCACTCTAGGCTTATTGTTAAGACATTTGTCTGTCAGAGAGTAAGAAATAAATCATAAATAAAATTCAGGGGCCTGCTACCTTAGTGAAATTTCTAGAGGTCCAGTGGTATGCAGCCTGTTGAGATATCACTTCTAACATGAAGGAAAAGTTGCTACATCTGGCCTCTTCCACAACTAAGAAAGCGACACAATGCCTGGTGGGCGTATTTGGATTTTTTTTTTTTTTTGGTGATTTATTTATTTATTTATTTTTTATTATTACTATTATTATTATTTTTTTTTAATTATACTTTAAGTTTTAGGGTACATGTGCACATTGTGCAGGTTAGTTACATATGTACACATGTGCCATGCTGGTGCGCTGCACCAACTAACTCATCATCTAGCATGAGGTATATCTCCCAATGCTATCCCTCCCCCCTCCCCCCTCCCCACCACAGTCCCCAGAGTGTGATATTCCCCTTCCTGTGTCCATGTGATCTCATTGTTCAATTCCCACCTATGAGTGAGAATATGCGGTGTTTGGTTTTTTGTTCTTGCGATAGTTTACTGAGAATGATGGTTTCCAATTTCATCCATGTCCCTACAAAGGACATGAACTCATCATTTTTTATGGCTGCATAGTATTCCATGGTGTATATGTGCCACATTTTCTTAATCCAGTCTATCATTGTTGGACATTTGGGTTGGTTCCAAGTCTTTGCTATTGTGAATAATGCCGCAATAAACATACGTGTGCATGTGTCTTTATAGCAGCATGATTTATAGTCCTTTGGGTATATACCCAGTAATGGGATGGCTGGGTCAAATGGTATTTCTAGTTCTAGATCCCTGAGAAATCACCACACTGACTTCCACAATGGTTGAACTAGTTTACAGTCCTACCAACAGTGTAAAAGTGTTCCTATTTCTCCACATCCTCTCCAGCACCTGTTGTTTCCTGACTTTTTAATGATTGCTATTCTAACTGGTGTGAGATGATATCTCATAGTGGTTTTGATTTGCATTTCTCTGATGGCCAGTGATGATGAGCATTTTTTCATGTGTTTTTTGGCTGCATAAATGTCTTCTTTTGAGAAGTGTCTGTTCATGTCCCTCGCCCAATTTTTGATGGGGTTGTTTGTTTTTTTCTTGTAAATTTGTTTGAGTTCATTGTAGATTCTGGATATTAGCCCTTTGTCAGATGAGTAGGTTGCGAAAATTTTCTCCCATGTTGTAGGTTGCCTGTTCACTCTGATGGTAGTTTCTTTTGCTGTGCAGAAGCTCTTTAGTTTAATTAGATCCCATTTGTCAATTTTGGCTTTGGTTGCCATTGCTTTTGGTGTTTTGGACATGAAGTCCTTGCCCAGAAGTTGAATCTCTGAATAGACCAATAACAGGAGCTGAAATTGTGGCAATAATCAATAGTTTACCAACCAAAAAGAGTCCAGGACCAGATGGATTCACAGCCGAATTCTACCAGAGGTACAAGGAGGAACTGGTACCATTCCTTCTGAAACTATTCCAATCAATAGAAAAAGAGGGAATCCTCCCTAACTCATTTTATGAGGCCAGCATCATTCTGATACCAAAGCCGGGCAGAGACACAACCAAAAAAGAGAATTTTAGACCAATATCCTTGATGAACATTGATGCAAAAATCCTCAATAAAATACTGGCAAACCGAATCCAGCAGCACATCAAAAAGCTTATCCACCATGATCAAGTGGGCTTCATCCCTGGGATGCAAGGCTGGTTCAATATACGCAAATCAATAAATGTAATCCAGCATATAAACAGAGCCAAAGACAAAAACCACATGATTATCTCAATAGATGCAGAAAAAGCCTTTGACAAAATTCAACAACCCTTCATGCTAAAAACTCTCAATAAATTAGGTATTGATGGGACATATTTCAAAATAATAAGAGCTATCTATGAGAAACCCACAGCCAATATCATACTGAATGGGCAAAAACTGGAAGCATTCCCTTTGAAAACTGGCACAAGACAGGGATGCCCTCTTTCACCGCTCCTATTCAACATAGTGTTGGAAGTTCTGGCCAGGGCAATTAGGCAGGAGAAGGAAATAAAGGGTATTCAATTAGGAAAAGAGGAAGTCAAATTGTCCCTGTTTGCAGATGACATGATTGTTTATCTAGAAAACCCCATTGTCTCAGCCCAAAATCTCCTTAAGCTGATAAGCAACTTCAGCAAAGTCTCAGGATACAAAATCAATGTACAAAAATCACAAGCATTCCTATACACCAACAACAGACAAACAGAGAGCCAAATCATGAGTGAACTCCCATTCACAATTGCTTCAAAGAGAATAAAATACCTAGGAATCCAACTTACAAGGGATGTGAAGGACCTCTTCAAGGAGAACTACAAACCACTGCTCAAGGAAATAAAAGAGGATACAAACAAATGGAAGAACATTCCATGCTCATGGGTAGGAAGAATCAATATCGTGAAAATGGCCATACTGCCCAAGGTAATTTACAGATTCAATGCCATCCCCATCAAGCTACCAATGACTTTCTTCACAGAATTGGAAAAAACTACTTTAAAGTTCATATGGAACCAAAAAAGAGCCCACATCACCAAGTCAATCCTAAGCCAAAAGAACAAAGCTGGAGGCATCACACTACCTGACTTCAAACTATACTACAAGTCTACAGTAACCAAAACAGCATGGTACTGGTACCAAAACAGAGATATAGATCAATGGAACAGAATAGAGCCCTCAGAAATAACGCCGCATACCTACAACTATCTGATCTTTGACAAACCTGAGAAAAACAAGCAATGGGGAAAGGATTCCCTATTTAATAAATGGTGCTAGGAAAACTGACTAGCCATACGTAGAAAGCTGAAACTGGATCCCTTCCTTACACCTTATACAAAAATCAATTCAAGATGGATTAAAGATTTAAACGTTAGACCTAAAACCATAAAAACCCTAGAAGAAAACCTAGGCATTACCACTCAGGACATAGGCGTATTTGGATTTTGGAGGCAACACATTCCTCATTTGGGTGTGTTAATCTGGCCCATTTACCAATTAACCTGAAAAGTTGCTAGTTTTGAGTGAGGCCCAGAACAAGAGAAGCCTATGCAACAGGTTCTGGCTGCTCTGCCACTTGGACTATATAATCTAGCAGATCCAATGGTGCTTAAAATGTCAGTAGCAGATAAGGATGCTGTTTGGAGCCTTTGTCAAGCCGCTATAGGTAAACTGCAGCACAGGCCTTTAGGATTTTGAGCAAGGCCATGTTATCATCCACAGATAACTACTCCCCTTTTGAGAGACAATTCCTGGCCTGCTGCTGGGCCTTAGTAGAAACTGAACACTTGACCATGGGCCGCCAAGTTACCATGTTACCTGAGCTGCCCATCATCAACTGGGTTATATCTGACCCGCCAAGCCATAAAGTTGGGCATGCACAGCAACACTCTATCATAAAATGGAAGTGGTATATATGTGATCAGGCTCGAGTATGTTTCAAAGGCATAAGTAAGTTACATGAAGAAATGGCCCAAATGCCCATTGTCCCAATCTGCTCCTGCTATATTGCCTATTCTTTCCAAGTTTCCTGGTTCTACAACTTGCAGACAGTAGACTTCTCAACCTCCATAATCATATGTGCCAATTCCCAAAATAAATCTCTCTCTTTCTCTGAGATATACATTGGTTCTGTTTTTCTGAAGTACCCTAATACAGAGATCTTTCCCTTTAATATGCATGCATGTTTACATTTATAAAAATGTGAAAAGTAATACAACAAAATTTTAAATGTGGTTTTACCCAGTGGTAGGATTATGCTGCTTCTTCATTCTGTTCAACAATACATTATGATTCTAGGATTTGTTTGCCCAGAAAACAGAAATGAAAGAAAAAATGTTATTACAAATCAAATTTTAAAATATGAATTATGTATTTATCTACTGAAAACACAGCAAAATTGAAATAATTATAATACCCAGTTTAGAGCCTTTTGCAGAGAACTGGGTATCCTTTTAGAATGGAAATAACAGAGTAACCGTGTAAGTTGACACAACTTTATGTGGGAATTTGACCACGAAGTATAAGTTCTTATAAATGATCTATAATTTTGTTTTTAATCCTAGAAGCATCTGTTATGGAAACGATTATGGATATAACTGCAAATTTAGGTAAAAGATAGTCAACATAGTGATCTGAAATTAAAGGAGAATTGAGGACACATAAAATTTCTGACAATGTAGGAATGAAAAAATGAGTGAATTCATATTCACAATAAATATTCCAAGACCATTTTAAATGATGTAAAAAAACAAACATGAAAATATATGAGGTTTATTATTAAATAAATATTCCAGAAAAACGTAAAGATGTAAAGCATGATTTGGTATTTTACAAATATATAAATATGTAAATCATAATATGTAACAATATGTATGTATTGTACAATGCTGTCTCTCCATATATATATATATATATATATATATATATATATATATATATATATATATATGTAGGTATGCATATGTATATAATATAATCCTAGAAAGGTACTGACCAAAACATTAAAAGCAGCACTAAAGATAGGGTTATAGGTAGTTTTAAATGCTTTTTCTTATAGCCAGAAATTGCTAATATTTTGTAATAAAATTTTATTATCTATTTAATTGAAAAAGTGTAAAAATTAAAATCATATATACTATATAGTAGCAATGGGATAGTCCATGTTTGTTTGTAAGAATGTTTGTTCAGGAAACAATACTGAATTAAAGCAATGATTTCAGCATCAGAATATTCTTAGCAGCTTTGGTTTCAATGAGGAAACACCAGAAACAACAAACACCCAAATCTATCAAAATTGGAGGAGAGATGAAGGTGAAATCTATTGAAATAGATCCATGGCATAGACCAAAAGGTTGGCAATTATTATATATGCATAGGAGAATGATTATTGATTTTTATTTTCCTATGAATGTTATTTGATTTCTTGTTAAAATGAAGTTATATTATTTGAATAACAAAACTTTTTTAAAAAATTTATAAAGAAAAACAAAAAGTGAGATATGGTCCTCATAGCATTATATTGGCAAAAAAAAAAGTTTAAAATATCCAAAGAGATACTTGTGCAGGAAATGGGCATTCTCTAAAGTACTAGTGGAAGTATAAATTGGTATATTCAGGCTACTTGAAAATACATTTAAAGAATATTAAAAGGTTTCTACTTTTCAACACCCCTTTTAAGTATTTATCTTAAGTAAATAATACAAGAATGCTGCTGCAGAATTATTTACCACAGATTCATGTTTCTGGGAAAAATTTGGAAACTACTTTAAAGTCCAACGTGAAGAAACACTTTAAAAATAATTCTGATCCACTTATACAATGGCAGTGAGTTGTAGGAGGATATTGAGTAGCAAAGGATGTTTTAGATGTATTTACAACATACTTAAATAGAAATTTTGACAGAATACTTTCGCTATGAGCACATAGAATATACATTTAGTATAGAATATATTCAGTATGATTCTATAATGGTTTTAAAATTTACAAAAGGCAAAGCCTGCAAAGGCATAATCTCTTTAAAGTGGCTGTTGTGCATATATAATATGCATGTCTTTTTAAAGTAACGCACTTGTAAAATGAAATAATTTTTTAAACTACAAGCCTAAATAATTTCCCATAACTTAAAAAAATACTAACTTAAGAAGATGATCAAGGAAATATGCATTCTCTTACACTGTTGGAGGGAGTAAACTTTATGGAAGAAGCATTTGGCAAGAGAGCAAGGTATAAGGCAATTAAATATTTCTTGATGTCAGCAAACATTCAGCCCCAAATGTGTTATGGAAAAGCCATAACCATTTAACAATATATTGAGGGGCAGGATTTTAGAAATTATAATTCATCTGTAAAATGAAACACTAAGTAATTTGGAAAGATGGTAAGTAAGACTTCTCACACTGAAAATATACCACAATGAAACATACATCCTATATTACATTTTTGGAGGCATTAGTTATTTACATATATGTCTCAAATGCTTCAAAAGTTTTTTCTATTTTTGTCAAGTGGTAGAATTAAGAATGATTTTCAGTTTTTCCTTACCAATATTTTAAAAAATGCTTTTAGTATGATAATTATTGTCTGCATAAAGATGAATGTTTACAACAAATAGAAACAAAAAATCTCAAATTATAAATAATTTAATACCAAGTCTCAAAAACTGTACAGGTATCCAGGTACACTCACAATATCTGCATATTTTATGAGGGTAAATTGGTACTATCTTTATCAATGGTCACTTACTAAAGAAGGGAAAAAGAAGATTTTAAACCTCCCATATCTTTTCATCCTTCAATTATACTATTAACTTTTGT
Source organism: Homo sapiens (assembly GCF_000001405.40). Classification (NCBI taxonomy): domain Eukaryota; kingdom Metazoa; phylum Chordata; class Mammalia; order Primates; family Hominidae; genus Homo; species Homo sapiens. The sequence goes on along the minus strand of NC_000023.11, from coordinate 73,005,916 downwards.
TCAGGAAATAAACATGAATGTAATGTTTGTGCACTGTGATCTTGTTGGCAGCTTTGGCTTGCATAAGAAAACAAAATGAAACAACCCAGACGTCCAATAACTACTTAAAACAAATATATCCCTATATCTATATCTAATATGTATATATATCTATCACTCTATGAAGCCCAATCACATATTAGAGCACTAAACATCCATGAAAACTATTTTAGAAGAATATTTAATGACATGAAAGTTCAAGAATATCTATAAATCTATGTCTATAATATATATTTCTGTGTGAAAAAGCAGATATTGAAACAGTATATACAATAATTTCACATATATATCACATGAAAAATACAGGGCAGATACAGATGAAAATGTTTCAGGAATGTATAAGTAATCATCAGAAATGATTACTGGTGACATTAATTTTCTTCTGTTAACTTGTCTGCTTCGTGATTATTTTTTTCCTGCAATGACGCTGAATTATTTTTCTGACAACAGGGAAAAGGACAGGAAGTGGGCACAGGGGAAGGGGGTAATAAACAGTGTTTGATTGCAGCAAAACCACTGAGGACAGGGAAACACCCTTTGCAGCCCGCCAAGCTGGCCAAGACACACACACAAAGACACACACACGCATGCACACACGCACGCACGCACACACACGATCAATTACAGTGACCAGGAGGCTATGCAGGGGAAACGGGCATACTCTTTACTAGCTGCGCTGGCCGGCACGAGTGCAAATCGGTACAATGCTTATGAAGGGGGCCTTTTGGCAACACACAGGAAAAGTCTTTAAAATGTCTATATGTGGATCTTGCAAGTCCGCAGTTAAGGAGACCACCGGGATGCTAGCAAAGATTTGGCTTGACAAGGAAGGATTCACTCATCAAAGCACAGAGCACGCAATGTTGGTCTTAAACACAGGGAAAGAACTAGGCACCACCTGAATGTCCAACAATGCGGGAATGATTACAGAAATGTTAAGGTCCACGGATACACTGGAGCACTCTGCAGGCACTGAAGATGACATTTCATAAGCCTGTTGATAACATGGAAAGAAGTTCAATGGGTTGATTTTTGTTTGGTTTTAGTTGCTGAAAAAGCAGGTTAAGAAACACCACATACATGAACCATTCTATAACGGTGTGTTAAAAGGGAAGGCGGGGTGGGGGTGAGCAAAGGAGAGAGAGGGAGAGAAGAGAGCCTGGAAAAGCAGCACACCAAAAAGGTAAAAGTGGTTCTCTCTGGGGAGTAGGACCAGGGGAGCAATTACTCTCTTGTTTCTTCCCTCATCTGATATCCTTCTCCTTTCTGATGATTCTACCATGAAATTGTACCACCTGTGCAGTAAACAAAGAGAGAATGAAAATGCTTTTTAAACCAAACCACAGGGAGAAGAGGCAGCCTTTAACCTACAAATGGCACAGATTAGTAAGATTATTCACAACGCCCTTGGTGGGGGTGGGCGGGGGAGAGGAAGGGAAGGAGAGGAGAGGTGGAGGGAGAAAATAGGAAGCGGGGAGAGAGAAGGGGAGAGAGAGAGAGAGAGAGACCTGCACTCTCAATACAATAAATACACTGCTGGTGGGTTGGCGGGGGAGGGCTGGGGGTGGGGGGTTGTAAACCGGGTGTGAGCCAAGGTTTGGCTCTGCTGGCTGGCTAGCTCCTGGGATGTCTTCATCGCAAGGTGGCCTCCTCGTCGGTGTCTTCCTCGAAATCCTTGACGTCAGCACTAGTGGACTGCCTGGCCCAGGCTCCCCTTTCGGCCTCTCGTTCTTTATGCGACTTGAATCTCCCGACGAAAATTTTGCGGTAGTTCAGGAACATGCCATTCATCACATCGATGGCCCGCTCCGCAGATTCCTGCTTTTGGAAGTGCACGAACCCGTAGCCCTTGGGCCCCTTTTCGTCACAGGCCACTTTGCAGGAGAGGATGTTGCCGAACGCCGAGAAGATGTTGTACAGCGCCTTGTTGTCGATGGTCTTGCCCAGGTTCTTGATGAAGACGTTGCCCACCCCGCTCTTGCGGAGCGACGGGTCCCTCTGGGACCACATGATGCGCACTGGCCTGCCCTTTATGACATCAAAGTTCAGGGTCTCCAGGGCCCGCTTGGCGTCCACCGGTTGCTGGTAGTTGACATACGCGTAGCCCAATGAGCGGCGGGTGATCTTGTCCCTGCAGATGCGGATGGAGAGGATGGGCCCAGCTGGACTGAACTTCTCGTACAGCATTGCCTCGGTCACCTCAGGGTGCAGGTCGCCCACGTACAGGGAGGCCATCTGAAAATCTGGGTTCCCCTCACAGTCACCGAGGGTCTCATCCGCATCTGCATCCGCGGCGGCCGCCGCAGCCGCCACCTCGGCCGCCACCTCGGCCGCCACCTTCGCATTCGCATCCGCATCCGCATCCGCATCCGCCTCCGCCTCCCCCAAGGGGGGCCCCGCAGCCTCCGCTGCGGCGGCGGCTTCGGCCGCGCTGCCCTCCGCCACCGCCACCACCGTTGCCACCCGGGCGGCCTCCGCCTCCCCCGGGGTGGCCTCCGATGCTGCCTCCTCTATTGAGGCCTCGGCCTCCACCTCAGCCTCTACCTCTGCTTCCGCCTCCGCCACGGAGGCCTCCGCCACCGCCTCTGCCACGGTCGCCGCCGCAGCCTCCGCCGCCGCCGCAGCCGCTGCCGCCACCGCCGCCGCCACTGTCGCTGCTGTCGCCACGGTCGCCGCTGCCGCCGGGCCGCTGCCGCGACCTCCCTTCCCGCGAGCTGGGGGACGGAGAGGCGGGGGAGGGCGGGAGGGCAGGAGGGCGGGTGGGTGCGGGAACACAGACCCGATGCGCGAGCGGGAGCTGGCGCAGGGGATCCGAACTGGCGAGTTCAAGTCACCTGGGATGGCAAGTGCTGCCAGGAGCGCGCCGGTGCGAGTCGCCGCAGCCTGCAGCCAGCTGCTGTTGCCGCCGCCGCTCGGTCGTGGGCTAGCGCGCAGGGTGCGGGGTGCGGGCGGGCAGGCGGCGTGTGGTGGGGGGCGGGGGGTGTTGGCGTCTGTCGTCCGGGCAGCTGGGAAGGCTTCTGTCTCTTTGGTTCCCCCTGTGGCTGCTGCGGGGCTGCGGGGCTGCGGGGCTGCGGGGCTGCGGGGCTGCGGGGCTGCGGGGCTGCGGGGCTGCGGGGCTGCGGGGCTGCCGGGCTGCGGGCGGTGGGAGATGACGGGGGTGGGAGCAGGAGCGGGAGCAGGGGCGGGAGCGGGAGCGGGAGTGGGAGTGCTCAGTCTCTCGGGTCGCCTGGATATTTATGAAAAGGACGCCAGGGAAAGGGCTCCGCTGTAGACCGAAGGGATAAGGGTTCGATTCAGAAGGGAGCGTTATTTTTATCCCCTCTCCACATAATGGAACGTTTAAATGGTTAAATCAAGTACCTTGCAGGAGAGGGTGGGGTGGCCTTGAGAATACACTCAAGGCCTCAGTACATGCAGTCTGGAAGTGGGGGAATCAAGAGCACCCTGTCTCTAGTACTGTCCTCAATGATAAGGTGAGGAAAGCCAAACCCAGGACTGGGAACAGGGCCTGGTCCAGAGCCAGGCGCTTGTTTATTCTTGACTCTGCTCTCAAGGCGCTGAGGTTCCCAACCTGGACCAAGAAGTACATATTCAGGTTCAAAGGATAAACCAAAACAAAACCTGAGCTCTCTCTCTAGAATGAAGTGCCTGGTCCCAGTTCACCATCTAATATTTATGGAAAGCTTATCAGGTACTTGGTGCTGGGGGCTAAGGGGCCCGCAATGTGGTAAGTGAGCAGGGACTGTTGATGTGTTGGAGGTGTGGAGCAGGGTGAGAAGAGGTGAGCAGTGTGTGTGTAGTGAGAGCAGAGAGGCCACACAGAGCCAAATGCTGGGGGTATAGACAAGGGAGCAACCATGAGAGTTGAGTGTAACAGAAGCTACAGTCCCACTTCCTCCAGAGAGGAGGACCAGCCACTAACTCTTCTTAGTAGCAATTAGGTGAGGCTGCACCAAAGACAGAACCACCGAGGTGGGCTCTGAAACATGAGGAGCAGTCCACCATGTCAAGGCAGGAAGGAAGGCACTCCAGGCAGAGGGATCAGTCTGTGCCCAAGGCCCTTTGTCATGAGAGCACATGCTTGGTCGCTTCTGGCCATGCCTAATAATCTGGCAGGGACAGAGCTCATGGTCTCCAAGAGCACATGGTAGCAGACAGGGCTGGAAGGTGTGGGGCCCTGAGAATCAAGCTAAGGTGCTTCGACTGTATACCCAAGGTCACGGGGACCACTCAGCATGTTCAAGGAGGGAAGCAGTATGATGAGAACTTTAGAATGAGTACAAATTAAACATCAATGTGCATGTATAAGTGCACATTTACATGTACACGCATGTACAAAACCAAGACAGGGCTGACAGAACACAAGGAAGAAAGTCAGATGTGACCAATTCAAAAAGAGTCTGAACAATCCTTCCCTCTATTCCTTTTCATTCCATAAATAGGGGTCTCACGTTTACCGTGAGCCAGTGGGGCCAGATGTTTAAAAAGAGAAAACCATAGTGCCTTCCCTCAGGATGCCTTCACTCTGCTAAAGCTCAGTCTGCCCCCACAGAGAACAGAAGTGTCAGCAGAGGACTGTAAGTGCTATGTGATTGGACGACGGTGGCCATAGAATTTCACCTGCCCAGCACGTATTCTCTCATCCTCTCCTCCTCTGCCTTCTTTGGGTAAGTAAAGCTGTTTTCTGTGGTTGCAGTGATGGCTGGATCTTGGCAGTCATACATGATAGAACAACCGTGAACCTGAGGAAGTGACTGAGTCACTGTGGGGTGCGAGGCAGTGAGAACTCTTCGTCGCTGGCTGGAAAGCATCCCAAGGTGGCTGAGAAGCAGATACACAGACATGTACCTCTCCAGCTTGCAAAGTCCAGCTCTCTGCCTCTAGGCAGGGCTAGTGCCGGCAAAGGCAAGGGACAGAGACCTAGGAAAAGCCTGCTGTACAGCGCATGCCTGACCAAGGTGATCACTGTCACCGCTGTTAAGAGCCATCTCCTGGGGGTCTAGGTTGCTTGCAGGCAGGGAGAAGATGAAGCTGTGCCTCACCATTTCCAGGTTGGTGTCCAAGAGGGACCTGAGAAGGCAGAGGCCAAGGGGGAAGCCATGCTCGCAGAGGGGTAGGGGATGTGGCGAGGATGAGAAGAGCTCCTCGGCCCATTGTTAGGAAACAGAAATGACAAGGAAGACCAAGTCGAGGACCAGGACTCAGCAAGATCTCTGTCTCTGGCGTTGCCTTCCAGTACACAGGGCCAACAGAAATCAGTGAAACAGCAGGAGAAGGAAGTTCAGGGAAGTCATGCTATGGCTAGCAAATCCCCAAACCTGAAAACAATTCCTAGGATCCTGAACCTCTAGCAACAGGAGCAGGGCTACCAAAGTGACAAGGACACAGCAGGGACTGCTCCCCAAGTCCTTTCTCAGGGGCTTCCATGGAGTCGAGTTTCCATCTCCTTTTTATTCTTTATTTTTAAAGTTACGTTGTGGTCAGTTTCTGCCACCTGCAAATGGAATGTGTTCTGACCACTACACACTGTGACAGGGGCAAAAATAAAGAGCCCTGTGGAGCCTCAATGGAGGGAGGGGAAGTTTCCTTTCCCGTGGGAGGAAGTGCTGTTGATTTTATTTATTCAGTGATTCAATGAATATTCCTGGAGGGTCTTCTATGTACCAAGTATTCTGCCGGCCAGACCGTCCCTGAACTCAGGGAGCTTATTTTCTAGTGGGGAGACAGACAATAGACAGATCAGGGAATATGAAAACAGTTAAAGGTTGCTATGAATGCTCTCGGGGACATAAACAAGATGATTTGGTACATATTGCCTAGAACCCCAGAAAAGTGGCAAAACGGGAGACATGAAGCTCAGGGAAGGCCTTTCTGAGGACAATGATAAGCCACCAGTCTTTCAAGGAACCAGGGGGGAAACCTGCCCAGCAGAGGGAAGGGCAATTCCCCTGGCCCTGTGGCAGAAAAGAGAGGGTGCTGGGGGTGGGGGTGGGGGCAGAAAGGATGCCAATGTTGCATGGAGCCCAGTGTGAGAGGGGATAGAGGAAGGAAAGGGAGGAAGGCGCAGTGGTGGGTGGTGCCATGATGAAGAGTCTGGTTCTTCTTCAGAGAGCTCAGGAGAGCCAGAGAAAGGATTGAAGCAGGTAGTAGCATAATCTAATGCCCATTCAGTGGTTTCTCTCTAGCTGCTCTGTGTGGGCAATATCACAAGTGGGCAGGGCACAAAGGAAAGCAGGGAGACCAGTTAGGAGGCTCTTGCAGTAGTCCAGTCCAGAGACAGCAGGGGCTTGGCCCAGACTGGAAGCATCAATGTGGAGACTAGTGTGTGGATTCACATGATATTTTGGAAGTGGAAGAGACAGCGCTTGTGAGTGGATTCGAGGCAATCTCAGAGGTCTATGTACGGTCATAGGAAAGACAGAGAGTGGGTGGGCATGGTAGATTTGGAGAAGGGAGAAAGACAGATGGGGGTGTGTGTCAAGAGCTCCTATTTGCACAGGTTTAGTTACTGAGGTCTGCTTGTCATCCATAGAGGCTGGAGAAACAGAATTGTTGAGACAACAGGACACAGTTAGGGTCTAAAGCCACAAAACTGAGTAGGATCACCTAGAGAGAGTATAGCCAGGAGAAGAAGGTGCAGGGCTACTCCCTGAGATACTCTGACACTTAGAAGTTGGGTGGGGAGCACAAGCCAGCAAAATAGATTCAGAAGGACTGGACAGTGAACAGGACTCCTCTCTAAGGCCTTGCATGTCCGAACATGTCCAAACTTCTCGCCAAGGCTTTTCATCACCAGCCTCAATATCCTCACTCAGACTCTGCTCTCAATGCTCCTAGCTGTACGTGCATGGGAGTTGGTTTAAAATGGGACAACAACGACTTTGTGTGCTTGGCTTTGGACTTCACTCTCTGATCATTTCTCAGTGGAGCTTTCAAAAGAGAGAGAGGTTCGGATGCAGAGAACTTCGAAGAGTGGGGTAGGCACTGCTCTGCTATTTCATGTGGCCCATCTCCTTTTTCCTTTCAGGAGGGAGAAATCAGAAGGAGTGGGGATGCAGTTCAGAGAGCAGAGGAGAAGAGAAGAAAAGAAGGAAGAAGGAAGAGGACTAGGGTTGGGTGGGGGGGGAGGACACCAATGGGAAGAGGGACAGATCAACTCTATACACAAAAGTAAATCAAAACACCAAAAACAGGGGTCTATGTAAAGAAGCCTCTTCCCGTGAATTGCTCGTTGCATAGCTGCAGGGAGGGTGTTTAGGGGCATAGAGAATGAAAACATACCTGTATTTTGGTGTAGGGAAATTGTTTCTGTCAATTCACACCGTCCACACACCACCTCCCACCCCAACCCCGCCACTACCAAATTCCTCTAAATAAAAATAATTATGAGATACAGGCCAACAAAAACGTCAGCGTTAGGCTGTTATTTAGAGAGAATTGGAAAGCGTTTGAATGTGGCCCTGTTGTTTAATAAACGATAACAATGATTACTAAGTTGTCCTGAGTCAATACAACAAATTTAGCAAATGGTCCTTTGGGTCCTTATAAAGTGAAGAGTTGACGGAGACAGATTTGTATATGGGGCAGGGATGGAATGGTAGTCAGTCCTGGAGAAATAAGAACCCCGGGAGGTGATGAAATATGTACAAGTATGTTTATCACAGAAACACTCATATTGGGCAAATCAGGGCACAAAGCAAGTATGCATCAGGTGAGGAGTGACTGATACATTGGCAGTGCAGCCATTCTGAGGATTATTATGCAACCATTAACAAGTATGAGTTATCTCTATATAAGCTGATTTAAGGGGATTTCCAGAATGTGCTATTACCAGGCGAGAAAAGCAGGTTTGTTGTCATTTTGGTGCAAACAAAAGGAGATGGGCCTTGGAGTCAGATTGACTAGTAGGCTGAATTTCAGAGCAAAACACTTAACCATTCTTGAGCCTCAGTGTGTGCTCAGAGTTTGAATTTCAGAAACCCTAATTAAGCATCTTACAAATTTCATTTGTGACAAGCAGTTTTGCCCCAGCTCTGCTTAGAAACCGAGCCAAAGGGCTGTATTGACTGATGGTTTTTGCATAGCATTCCAGATATTTTTCTCTCTGAGAACCAATTCACCTTCTAACACACGCTTGAAGCCTTAACTCATGCCCTTCTTTGTTATAATTTTAGGCAGTTCACAAAACTGATTTTATAACAATATACCTACAGATACACCCCAGGCCATGACTTAAGAGTTGTGCTTACTTTGGTCAAGGTACTTTACCCCCCTTTTTTCCATCTTAGCTTTGGAGTCCCCATCTGTACAAAGGGATATTTATAAGGATAACAAGTGATAATGTATGGTAAATGTTTTTCACAGTGCCTGGCATGCATTCAATGCCCAATACAAGAGACTCCTTATTAATCTTATTGCCCTCTGTCCTGGGGTTGTGCTTGTTCAGCTGGTTTTTGAAGGTCCAGTGTCTTGTCTTTCTGGTGCTCCAGGCAGCCTGGAATTTTCTCTCTAACCAGGAGCAAAGTGTCAGTACAGAGGGAGTCTGATCCTCTGGGTTCTCTGGCCTGAACTCGCTTAGCTCACACTCTCATTGAGCTTCTCTGTACTAGTCCCAACCATAGGACCTTTTAATGATCCAGTTATTTATTTTCTGGAGGCTCAGGGTCCGCACATTAATTAACACATGAAAGCATGGCATTTTCTGTACTCAAGGAAACCACCCAGAAGATTTAATAACACTATCTCAACAAAATGGGGTATTGAGACAGGAGAGAATTTTCTGTCAACTGCTATTCATCCTTTTGAGCAACATCTTGGGGGCCATTTGAGAGGTAATTTACTGTAAGGTAATACACTCCTTCAGCTTCTTTGCTGCAGGCTACTGAACACACTTTGATGTCTCCATGATGTCTCTGGAACAATATTACCAATATTCACCATTGTGATGTGATGCATGCATGGATTACTGAAGCGTGAGTTGGCTGATCTCCAGTATCATGAGCTGCTGATCAATTTTAGGTTTTCGCTTTGTTTAATAGATGTAAAACGAAATCTCCTTCAATGTGGTAAAATCTTGCTAATGTCAAGGTGATTAACCTTGGGACTTCCTCCCATACAGATCATCTTTTTAAAACTGTCTCCAAATAATAGTTCTTAATTAAAAATATATATGTATGCACATGGTAAATATAATAGTGATGATCAGAAAGTACAAAGGAGCTTATGATAAAAAACAAAGATTCAAGGTCCCATCACTTCCTACTCCCCAACTGTGCTTCCCAGAGTAGACCACTTTAACAATTTCTGTTTGCAGTGTTCTGACCATTACCTCCTTATATCTAAAGAAAATGCCTAATCTGCTAATTCAATAATTCATCAACTTCAGACATCATCAAGTGACCATCCTCTACCAGAGAGGAGGATTTAACTCACTCACACTATCTTCAATCTGCCCTGTCTTTCCTTCTGGCAATTTTTATACCTTTTGATCTTTAGTTCTTCTATTGGTGACTCCAGTGACTTTAAGTGATATGCTTAACTCTCAGTCTCTAGCGTACACCTTCGTCAGTTTCCCATAAAATAAGGATGTTAGCACCCCTCCCCTTCCCTTAGCCTCTCCTCCCTCTTTCTATATCCTCTTTTCCAAACAGACTGCTGCTCATTGACATCCACTTCTGAAAACTTAGTTGAATTATTTGGGCTTTGAAAAGCAACACAAGCCTTTTACCCTTTAATGAATCTCTAATAATGTTGTCCACAAGGGTCACATTTCTTCACACTTTAAGGTGGGTAACTATAGGGAGGTTAATCCTGGTATCAAGCTTGAATCCTCTCTTTCACTGTATTTTATGAACTCCTGAAAGGTATGCCACATTTGAGGGGGTTTTTTTAAGTTTATTCATTATATATTTTTTAAATTTTTTTGTTGGTACATAGCAGGTGTATATATTTAGGGGGTACATGAGATGTTTTGATAAAGTCATTTAATGGGAAACAAGCACATCATGGAGAATGCAGTATCAGTCCCCTCCAGTGTTTATCGTTTGTTTTACAAGCAATCCAGTTACACTCTTTTAGTCATTTTAAAATGTACAATTAAGTTGTTACTTTAGTCATCCTGTTTTGCTATCAATAGTATGTCTCATCCATTCTTTCTATTTTTTATGTACTTATTAACAATCCCCACCTCACTCCCCCAACACCCCACTACTTTTCCAGCCTCTGGTAACCATCTTTCTACTGTCTATGCTATGAGTTCAACTGCTTTCGTTTTTAGATCCCACAAATAAGTGAGAACACATGATGTTTGTCTTTCTGTGCCTGGCTCATTTCACATAACATAGTTATCTCCAGTTCCACCCATGTTGCTGCAAATGAGTGGATCTCATTCTTTCTTGTGGCTGAATATTACTCCGTTGTGTATATGTACCATGTTTTCTTTATCCATTCATCTGTTGATAGACACTTAGGTTGCTTCCAAATCTTAGCTATTGTAAACAGTGCTGCAACAAGCATAGGAATGCAGATGTCTCTTAGCTTTACTGATTTCCTTTCTTTTCGGTACATACATAACAGTGGGGTTGCTGGATCATATGGCATCTCAATTTTTTCTTTTCTGAGGAACCTGCAAACTGCTCTCCATAGTGGTTGTACTAATTTACATTCCCACCAACAGTGTACAAGGGTTCCCTTTTCTCCACATCCTCACTAGCATTTCTTCATTGCCTGTCTTTTGGATATAGGCCATTTTAATTGAGGTGAGATGATACTTCACTGTAGTTTTGATTTACATTTCTCTGGTGATCAGTGATGTTGAGCATCTTTTCATATGCATGTTTGTCATTTGTATGTCTTCTTTTGAGACATGTCTATTCAGATCTTTTGCCCATTTTAATCTGATTATTAGATTTTTTTTCCTATGCAGTTTCTTGGGCTCATTATATCTTTTGGTTATTAATCCCTTCTCAGATGGATAGTTGGCAAATCCATTCTTCATGTTGTCTCTTCGCTGTGTTGATTGTTTTCTTTGCTTTGCAGAAGCTTTTTAACTATACGTGATCCCATTTGTTTGTTTTTGCTTTGGTTTCCTGTGCTTGTTGGGTATTACTCAAGAAATGTTTGCCCAGTCCAATGTCCTGGAGAGTTTTCCCAAAGTTTTCTTGTAGTAGTTCCATAGTTTGAGGTCTTAGATTTAAGTATTTAATCCATTTTGATTTGATTTTTGTACATAGTGAGAGATAGGGTATGGTTTCATTCTTCTGCCTATAGATATCTAGTTTTCTTAGCACCACTTATTGAAGAGACTGTCTTTTCCCCAGTGTATGTTCTTGCCACCTTTGTCAAAAATGAGTTCTCTGTAGGTGTGTGGATTTGTGTTTGGGTTCTCTATTCTGTTGCATTGGTGTATGTGTCTGTTTATATGCCAGTACCATGTTGTTTTGGTTACTCTAGCTCTGTAGTATATAATTTGGAGTCAGGTAATGTGATTCCTCCAGGTTTGTCCTTTTCCTTAGGATATCTTTGGCTGTTCTGGTCTTTTGTGGTTCCATATAAATTTTAGGATCATTTTCTCCATTTCTGTGAAGAATGTCATTGGTGTCTTGATAGGGATTGCATTGAATCTGTAGATTATTTGGGGTAGTATGTACATTTGAACAATATTCATTATTTCAATCCATGAGCATGGAATATCTTTTCATTTTTTTGTTATCTTCTTCAATTTCCTTCATCAGTGTTTTACAGTTTTTATTATAGAGATCTTTCACTTATTTGGTTAAGTTAATTCCTTGGTATTGATTTTATGTGTGGCTATTGTAAATGGAATAACTTTTAAAATTTCTTTTTCACATTGCTCACTGTTGGCATATAGAAATGCTACTGATTTTTGCATGGTGATTGTGTATCCCGTAAGTTTACTGAATTTATCAGTTCTAATAGTTTTCTCGTGGAGTCTTTGGGTTTTTGCAAATATAAGATAATGTCATCAGCAAACAAGAATACTTTGACCTTTTCTTTTCCAATTTGGATGCCCTTTATAGCTTTCTCTTGCTTGATTTCTCTAGCTAGGACATCCAGTACTATGTTGAATAACAGTGGTGAAAGTGGGCATCCTTGTCACATTCCAGATCTTAGAGGAAAGTATTTCTGTTTTTCTCCATTCAGTATGATACTAGCTGTGGGTCTCTCATACATGGCTTTTATTATGTTGAGGTATGTTTCTTTTATCCCCAGTTTTTGTGAGGGTTTTTATCATGAAGGGATATTGAATTTTATCAAATGCTTTTTCAGCACCAATTCAAATGATCATATAGTTTTATCCTTCATTCTGTTGATATGATGTATCAAGGTGATTGATTTGCATATGTTGAACCAACCTCACATCCCAGGGATAAATCCAACTTGGTCATGATGAAAGCTCTTTCTGTTGTATTGTTGAATTCAGCTTGCTAGTATTTTGGGGGGATTTTTCATCAATATTCATCAGAGATATTAGCCTATAGTTTTCTTTTCTGATGTGTCTAATAAGAGTGGTGAGAGAGAGAGTTCTTGTCTTGTGCCGGTTTTCAAGGTGAATGTTTCCAGCTTTTGTCCATTCAGTATGATGTTTGCTGTGGGTTTTTCAAAGATGTCTCTTATTATTTTGATGTATGTTATTTCAATACCTAGTATATTGAGAGATTTTTAACATGAAAGGTTGTTGAATTTTATCAAAAGCCTTTTCCACATCTGTCAAGATAATCATGTGGTTTTCGTCTTTAGTTCTGTTTATATGATGAACTACATTTATTGATTTGCACATGTTGAAACAACTTTGCATCCGAGAAGTAAAGCCTAGTTGATTGTGTTGAGTAAGCTTTTTGATGTGTTGCTGGATCTGGTTTGCCAGTATTCTGTTAAGGATTTTTGCATCTATGTTGATCAAGGATATTGGCCTGAAGTTTTTGTTGTTGTCGTTGTTGTTGTTGTTGTTGTTGTTTTGGTATGTGTCCCTGCCAGGTTTTGATATCAGGGTGATGCTGGCCTCATACAATGAGTTAGGGAGGAGTCCTTTCTCCTCAATTATTTGGAATAGTTTCTGCAGGAATGGTACCAGCTCTTCTTTGTACATCTAGTAGAATTCAGCCATGAATCTGTCTTGTCCTGGGCTTTTTTTTTTTTTTTTAGGCTGTATGGTACAGACTCAATTTCCAACTAATTACTGGTCTGTTCAAGGATCCAACTTTTTTCTAGTTCAGTCTTGGGAGGGTGTACGTGTCCAGGAATTTATCCATCTCTTCTAGATTTTCTAGTTTGTGTGCATAGAGGTGCTCATAGGATTCTCTGATGGTTACTTGTATTTCCATGGGGTCAGTGGTAATATTCCTTTTGTCATTTTTGATTGTATATATTTGAATCTTTCCTCTTTTCTCCTTTATTAGTCTAGCTAGTGGCCTATTTTATTAATTTAAAAATAAACAACTCCTGGATTTGTTAATCTTTTTATGGCTTTTTGGGTCTCAGTCTCCTTTGATTCAGTTCTGATTTTGGTTATTTGTTGTGTTCTGCTACCTTTGGGATTGGTTTGCTTTTGGTTCTCTAGTCCTTTTAGTAGTGACATTAGGTTGTTAAATTGAGATCTTTCTAATTTTTTGATGTGGGTGTTTAGTGCTATAAATTTCCCTCTTAACACTGCCATAGCTGTGTCCCAAAGATTCTGATATGTTGTATCTTTTCTTCTCATTAGTTTCAAAAAACTTTTTGCTGTTTGCCTTTATTTTATTATTTACCCAAAAGTCATTCAGGAGCAAATTATTCAACTTCCATTTAATCGTGCTATTTAGAGTGAATTTCTTAGTCTTGTTTTCTAATTTGATTGTGCTGTGGTCCAAGAGATTGTTTATTTTGATTTCAGTTCTTCTGCATTTGCTGAGGAGTGTTTTACTTCTGATTATGTGATCAGTTTTAGAGTATGTGCCATATGGCAATGAGAAGAATGTACATTCTGTTGTTTTGGGGTGGAGAGTTCAGTATATGTCTATCAGGTCCATTTTATTCACCACTGAGTTCAGGTCCTAAATATCTTTGTTAATTTTCTGTCTCGATGATTTGTCTAATATTGTCAGCGGGGTGGTAAAGTCTCCCGCTATTATTATGTGGGAGTCTAAGTCTCTTTGAAGGTCTCTAAGAACTTGCTTTGTTAATGTGGGTGTTCCTGTGTTGGGCGCAAATATGTTTATCATAGTCAGATCTTCGTGTTGAATTGAACTCTTTATCATTATGTAATGCCCTTCCTAGTCTTTTTTTATCTTTGTCGCTTTAAAGTCTTTTTTGTCTGAAACTAGGATTGCAATCCTTGCTTTTTTCTGTTTTCCATTTGCTTGGTAGAGCTTTCTCTATCCCTTTATTTTGAGCCTATGTGTGTCATTGCAAACAGTGTAAAAGCGTTCCTATTTCTCCACATCCTCTCCAGCATCTGTTGTTTCCTGACTTTTTAATGATTGCCATTCTAACTGGCATGAGATGGTATCTCATTGTGGTTTGGATTTGCATTTCTCTAATGACCAGTGATGGTTGAGGCTTGCCCATTTTTCTACTGGACTGCTGGTCTTTTATGGAATTCTAGGGCATCTTTTACGGCATTTGAATCTTGAATCATGGTTAGGAGGGCTGTCCCTGGAACTCTAAGGTTAGAAAGGAATTCTTCCATGTTTCTTTTCAGTGCTTTTTATTGTAATGTTTTATATTTAAATAATTGATTCCTCTCCGGTTTATCCTGGTGTACAGTGTGAAGTATGAATCTACTTTATTTTTTTCATATGGCTACCTGGTTGTCCCAACTATTTACTGAATTGTTCACCTTTTCTCCAACCATTTTAAGATGCCATCTTCATCATATCCCAAACTTCAATATTTATTTGTTTTTACTTATGAATATTCTATTCTGGCGTCCCCAGTGTCTATTGTATTCACCTTTATGTCCATGTGTACCCATTGTTTAGCTCCCACTTATAAGTGAGAACATGCAGTATTTGATTTTCTGTTGCTGCATTGATTGACAGGATAATGGCCTTCGGATGCATTCTTGTTGCTGCAAAGGACATGATCTCATTCCTTTTATGGCCACATAGTATTCCATGATGTATATGTATCACATTTTCTTTATCTAATCCATTATTGATGGGCACCTCATTTGATTCCATGACTTTGCTATTGTCAGTAGTGCTGCAATGATCATACAAATGTAGGTGTCTTTTTATATAATGATTTCTTCTTTTGCTTTGGGTTTATGTCCAGGAATGGGATTCCTGGGTTGAATGGTAGTTCTATTCTTAGTTCTTTGAGGAATCTCCAAACTGCTTTTCACAGCGGCTGAACTAACTTAAATTCCCACCAACAATCTATGAGAATTCCCTTTTCTCCCCAGCCTTGCCAGCGTCTGTTATTTTTAGTCTTTAATAACAGCCATTCTGACTGGTGTGAGATGTCATCTGATTGTGGTTTTGGTTTGCATTTCTCTGATGATTAGTGATGTTAAGAATTTTTTTCATATTTTTTTGGCCACTTTTTTGCCTTTTTGAGAAGTGTCTGTTCATGTCCTTTGCCCACACTCTAATGGGGCTGATTTTTCTCATTGATTTGTTTAGTTTCCTTATAGATTCAGGATATTTGTCCTTTGTTGGATGCACAGTTTGCAAATATTTTCTCCCATTCTGTACGTTGTCTGTTTATTCTGTTGATGATTTCTTTTGCTATACAGAAGATCTTTGGCTTAATCAGGTCCCACTTGTCAATTTTTGTTTTGGTTGCATTTGCTTCTGAGGTCTTAGTCATGAATTCTTTACCTAGGCCAATGTCCAGAAGAATTTTCCTAGGTTTTCTTCTAAGATTTTTATAGTTTGAGGTCTTACATTTAAATGTTTAACTCGTCTTGACTTCATTTTTGTATATAGTGAGAGGTATTGATCCAGTTTCATTCTTCTGCATGTAGCTAGCCAGCTATCCCAGCACCATTTATTGACTAGGGTGTCCTTTCACCATGGTTATTTTTGTCAACTTTGTCAAAGATCAGTTGGGTCTAAGTGTGTGGCTTTGTTTCTGGGTTCTCCATTCTGTTCCATTGTTCTATATATCCGTTTTTGTACCAATACCATGCTGCTTTGGTTACTGTAGCCTTGTAGTATAGTTTGCAGTCCAGTAATGTGATGCCTCCAGCTTTATTCTTTCAGAATTGGTTTGGCTATTCAGGCTCTTTCTTTGGATCCAAATGCATTGTAGAATAGGTTTTTTCTTAATTCAGTGGAGAATGACATTGGTAACTTTATAGGAATTGTGTTGAATGTGTAGATTGCTTTGAGTGGTGTGGCCATTTAATGATATTGATTCCTCCAATCAGTTTTTCCATTTGTTTGCATTGTCTGTAACTTATCAGTGTTTTTTAGCTCTCCTTGTAGAGACTTTTCACCTCCTTGGTTAGATGTATTCCTAGGTATTTTGGTTTTTCATGGCTATTGTAAATGAAATTGCATTCTTCATCAGGATACTTTTAACTCTCTAACCTCACTTCCTCTTGTTCTCTCCCTCATTCACTCGGCTCCAGCATTAATGACCTTGCTGTTTCTCCAACATGTCAACCATATGTCTGCTTTAGGGTCTTTCTTTAATTCTTGTCCCTTCCTGGAACACTATTTCCCCAGATATTCACTTGGCTAGTTTCCTCACCTACTTCCAGTCTCTACTCAACTTCCACCATCTCAGGGAGGTCAACTATGATCACTATATTTAATACTGCAGCCTAACTACGTTTCCCCAAGTACTCTCTATCTCTACTAAAGTTTTCCTTTTTTCTTTCATAGCACCTATCACCTTACAACATACAATATATATTTTACTTATTTATTTTTTACTGTGTGTCTCCCTCTGCTAAAATATAAGCCCCAATCAACAAGGGCAGGGATCGTGGTCTGTTGTGTTCAGTGATATGTCCCAAGTGCCTAGAAGAGCACCTGGCACATGGTAGGGATCTAGGAAATACTTGTTGACTATAAATGTCTAGTTTGGTGTGATCCTTCCAGAGGTTTTTCTATGAATTTACGTATGTATATGCAATCCTAGAAAAAATAATAATAGCAATGGGGTGAGTTTTTATATCTCATACATGAACTTCAAGACAACGCAAGTGTTGCCTCCTACCAACCTGTTCCTAAAATTCCCCTCAATCACGGCACCTAGTGCAATGTATTGTAGTTGTCTAATTACTTCTCTGTCTCCCTCACTAGGCTGTGAGCTCCTTGTGGGTAGGAACCATGGTTTTTCCAACTCTGTATCCCCAGGGATGGCTCATAGTGGCACATAATAAACGTTGAATGGATACATTTATGAATAAATGACGCTTTGCCTGGAAGAAGGGTAATTCCACTTCCTTGATATTGTGGTCCTCTATTGTAGAGCTGTGTCTTAGTCTAAGCAAGCTCAATATACAAGATATATGAAAACTCAAGCCAGGCACAGTGGCTCACGCCTGTAATCCCAGCACTTTGGTAGGCCGAGGTGGGTGGATCACAAGGTCAGGAGTTCGAGATCAGCCTGACCAACATAGTGAAACCCCTTTTCTACTAAAAATACAAAAATTAGCCAGACATGGTGGCACGCGCCTGTAATCCCAGCTACCCAGGAGACTGAGGCAGGAGAATCACTTGAACTCAGGCAGAGATTGCAGTGAGCCAAGATCTCGCCACTGCACTCCAGCCTGGGTGACAGAGTGAGACTCCATTTCAAAAAATAAACAAATAAATAAAAATGAAAGAAAACAGTTTTCCTCAAAAGACATAATGGTTTGCTTTGAAACTGTAAGGTAGTTAATTCACAAAATTATTCACTGGAGGATGTTTTTTCTAAATAGCAATGGCCTTTAGTGCAGAAGAACAGAAGGTTGCCATAATAAGACAAATCCATCCTCCCTTCATCCCAGGATTGGTGTTTGGCAGAGGCATGAATATTAGCATGTCTGAAGGTAAGGTTGTCTGCCTGATGTCATCCTCAAAATGC
Organism: Homo sapiens; assembly: GCF_000001405.40. Lineage (NCBI taxonomy): Eukaryota > Metazoa > Chordata > Mammalia > Primates > Hominidae > Homo > Homo sapiens. The sequence goes on along the minus strand of NC_000023.11, from coordinate 72,987,853 downwards.
TAGAAATGCAAGGCCACTCCTACCCCAGCATCCCAGTTTCTGGTAATAACATGTTATCAAGAAGGGGAAGATAACTAAAGTTTACTTAGACTCTATTATGTACTAGATATGTTCCACATGTTAGTCTTATTTAATCCTAAAAAATAACTCTTTGAGGAAGACAATGCTATTCCTGTCTTATCAATGAGGATGCTGAGCTCTGAGTGGTATATTGCCTATGATCACACAGAACCAGAATAAAGGCAAACTAAAGGCTTAATATTAAGTGTGTTTGTCAGAGTCAATTCCCATATTTCAGACTCACTATTCAAACAGTGTCGTCAAGCTTGAGGTATGACCTAAAGCAGCACAGTGTTGAGAGTCCTGTTCTAGACATAGATTGGTCAGTAAGATAGGGTCATAAATATAGGCTGAGAATTTTCACCAGGATGGGTGGATTGGAAGGAAGTTGTTGGTGAGAAACGTTCAGTATGCTGGTAGAGTGGGAAAGAGAGATTGTGAGGGTAAAGTTGTAACCCAAGAAGCAGAGGTGGGAGACGGGAAATGTAGCAGCTGCCTCAGAGGCAGCTGTTATGATGGTACTGAAAGAAGATTGCTGCCAGTGTTACTTATGAATTGTGGCTTAGGGTTTCCCAGTGCCTTCCTGAATTTAGTTTGTGATGTTCTAAAAGACAGCAGTAAGGAAGGTGCGGGGCGCAGATTGTTCCTCCTGTAGTCCTGGATTTTTTTCTCTGTTTCCCTTTTGGGAAATTTTTAATTTCTAAAAAATTCTGTAGAGACAGTGTTTTGCTATGTTTCTCAGGCTGGTCTCAAACTCCTGGCCTCAAGTGATCCTCCCGCCTCAGCATCCCAAGTACATGGAATTACAGGCATGAGCCACTGCATCAGGCCTTGGAAAATGTTATTATAGTAAAATATATGTAGCATAGAATTTAAAATCTTAACCCTTTTATTATTATTATTATTATTATTATTACTATACTTTAAGTTCTAGGGTACATGTGCACAACATGCAGGTTTGATACATAGGTACACATGTGCCATGTTGGTTTACTGCACCCATCAACTCGTCATTTACATTAGGTATTTCTCCTAATGCTATCCATCTGCCAGCCCCCACATCCTGACAGGCACCAGTGTGTGAAGTTCCCTGCCCTGGGTCCAAGCATTCTTACTGTTCAATTCACACCTATGAGTGAGAACATCCAGTGTTTAGTTTTCTGTCCTTGTGATAGTTTGCTGAGAATGATGGTTTCCAGCTTCATCCATGTCCCTGCAAAGGACATTAACTCATCCTTTTTTATGGCTGCATAGTATTCCATGGTCTATATGTGCCACATTTACTTAATCCAGTCTATCATTGATGGACATTTGGATTTCCAAGTCTTTGCTATTGTGAATAGTGCCACAATAAACATGCATGTGCACGTGTCTTTATAGGAGCATGATTTGTAATCTTTTAGGTATATACCCAGTAATGGGATCGCTGGATCAAATCGTATTTCTGGTTCTAGATCCTTGAGGAATCGTCACACTGTCTTCCACAATGGTTGAACTAATTTACACTCCCACCAACAGTGTAAAAGCATTCCTATTTCTCCACATCCTCTCTAGCATCTGTTGTTTCCTGACATTTTAATGATCACTATCCTAACTGTGATATGTGGTTTTGTGGATTGTGGTTTTGATTTACATTTATCTGATGACCAGTGATGATGAGCATTTTTTCATGTGTCTGTTGGCAGCATAGATGTCTTCTTTTGAGAAGTGTCTGTTCATGTCCTTTATCCACTTTTTGATAGGGTTGTTTGTTTTTTTCTTGTAAATTTGTTTGAGTTCTTTGTAGATTCTGGATATTAGCCCTTTGTCAGAGGAGAATATTGCAAAAATTTTCTCCCATTCTATAGGTGGCCTGTTCATTCTGATGGTAGTTTCTTTTGCTGTGCAGAAACTCTTTAGTTTAATTAGATCCCATTTGTCTATTTTGGCTTCTGTTGCCATTGCTTTTGGTGCTTTAGTCATGAAGTCCTTGCCCATGCCTATGTCCTGAATGGTATTGCCTAGGTTTTCTTCTAGGGTTTTTATGGTTTTAGGTTATACATTTAAGTGTTTAATCAATCTTGAATTAATTTTTGTAGAAAGTGTAAAGAAGGGATCCAGTTTCAGCTTTCTGCACATGGCTAGCCAGTTTTCTAAGCACCATTTATTAAATAGGGAATCATTTCCCCATTGTTTCTTTTTGTCCAGTTTGTCAAAGATCAGATGGTTGTAGATGTGTGATGTTGTTTCTGAGGCATCTGTTCTGTTCCATTAGTCTACATATCTGTTTTAGTACCAGGACCATGCTGTTTTGTTTACTGTAGCCTTGTAGTATAGTTTGAAGTCAGGTAGTGTGATGCCTCCAGCTTTGTTCTTTTTACTTAGGATTTTCTTGGCTATGCGGGCTCTTTTTTGGTTCCATGTGAAGTTTAAAGTAGTTTTTTCCAATTCTGTGAAGAAAGTCATTGGTAGCTTGATGGGGATGGCATTGAATCTATAAATTACCTTGGGCAGTATGGCCATTTTCACAATATTGATTCTTCCTATCCATGAGCATGGAATGTTCTTCATTTGTTTGTGTCCTCTTTCATCTTGTTGAGCAGTGGTTTGTAGTTCTCCTTGAAGAGGTCCTTCACATCCCTTGTAAGTTGGATTCCTAGGTATTTTATTCTCTTTGGAGCAATTGTGAATAGGAGTTCACTCATGTTTGGCTCTCTGTTTGTCTGTTATTGGTGTATAGGAATGCTTGTGATTTTTGCACATTGATTTTGTATCCTGAGACTTTGTTGAAGTTGCTTATCAGCTTAAGGAGATTTTGGGCTGAGACAATGGGGTTTTCTAAATATACAATCATGTCATCTGCAAACAGGGACAATTTGACTTCCTGTTTTCCTAACTGAATACCCTTTATTTATTTCTCTTGCCTGATTGCCCTAGCCAGAAGAATTTCCAACACTTTGTTGAATAGGAGTGGTGAGAGATGGCATCCTTGTCTTTTGTCGGTTTTCAAAGGGAATGCTTCCAGTTTTTGCCGATTCAGTATGATATTGGCTATGGGTTTGTCATAAATAGCTGTTATCATTTTGAGCTACGTCCCACCAATACCTAGTTTATTGAGAGTTTTTAGCATGAAGGGCTGTTGAATTTCGTCGAAAACCTTTTCTGTATCTATTGAGATAATCATGTGGTTTTTGTCATTGGTTCTGTTTATGTGATGGATTACGTTTATTGATTTGCGTATGTTGAACCAGCCTCTTGGATCCAGAGATGAAGCCAACTTGATCATGGTGGATAACCTTTTTGATGTGCTGCTGGATTCAATTTGCCAGTATTTTATTGAGCATTTTTGCATGGATGTTCATCAGGGATATTGGTCTAAAATCCTTTTTTTAGTTGTGTCTCTGCCAGGCTTTGGTATCAGGATGATGCTGGCCTCATAAAATGAGTTAGGGAGGATTCCCTTTTTTCTATTGACTGAAATAGTTTCAGAAGGAATGGTACCAGCTCCTCTTTGTACCTCTGGTAGAATTTGGGTGTGAATCATCTGGTCCTGGACTTTTTTTGGTTGGTAGGCTATTAATTATTGCCTCAATTTCAGAGCCTATTACTGGTATATTCAGAGATTCAACTTCTTCCTGGTTTAGTCTTGGGAGGATGTATGTGTCCAGGAATTTATCCATTTCTTCAGGATTTTCTAGTTTATTTGCATAGAGGTGTTTATAGTATTCTCTGGTGGTAGTTTGTATTTCTGTGGGATCTGTGGTGATATCCCCTTTATCATCTTTTTTATTGCATCTATTTGATTCTTCTCTCTTTTCTTCTTTATTAGTCTTGCTAGTGGTCTGTTTTGTTGATCTTTTCAAAAATCCAGCTCCTGGATTCATTGATTTTTTTAATGGTTTTTTGTGTCTCTATCTACTTCAGTTCTGCTCTGATCTACTTATTTCTTGCCTCTGCTAGCTTTTGAATTGTTTGCTCTTGCTTCTCTAGTTCTTTTAATTGTGATGTTAGGGTGTCGATTTTGGATCTTTCCTGGTTTCTCTTGTGGGCATTTAGTGCCATAAATTTCCCTCTACACACTAATTTAAATGTGTCCCAGAGATTCTGGTATGTTGTATCTTTGTTCTTATTGGTTTCAAAGAACATCTTTATTTCTGCATTCATTTTGTTATTTACCCAGTAGTCATTCAGGAGCAGGTTGTTCAGTTTCCATATAGTTGTGTGGTTTTATGTGAGTTTATTAATCCTGAGTTCTAATTTGATTGCACTGTGGTCTGAGAGATAGTTTGTTGTGATTTCTATTCTTTTACATTTGCTGAGGAGTGCTTTACTTCCAATTATGTGGTCAATTTTAGAATAAGTGTGATGTGGTGCTGAGAAGAATGTATATTCTGTTGATTTGGGGTGGAGAGTTTTGTAGATGTCTCTTAGGTCTGCTTGGTGCAGAGGTGAGTTCAAGTCCTAGATATCCTTGTTAACCTTCTGTCTCATTGATCTGTCTAATATTGACAGTGGGGTGTTAAAGTCTCCCATTATTATTGTGTGGGATTCTAAGTCTCTTTGTAGGTCTCTAAGGACTTGCTTTATTAATCTGGGTGCTCCTGTATCAGGTGCATATATAGTTAGGATAGTTAGCTCTTCTTGTTGAATTGATCCCTTTACCATTATGGAATTGCCTTGTCTCTTTTGATATTTGGTGATTTAAAGTCGGTTTTATCAGAGACTAGGATTGCAAGGCCTGCCTTTTTTTTTTTTTTTTTTTTTTTTTTTTTTTTTTTTTTTTTTTTTGCTTTCCATTTGGTTGGTAGATCTCCCTCCATCTCTTTATTTTCAGCCTATGTGTTTCTCTGCATGTGAGATGGGTATCCTGAATACAGCACACTGATGGGTCTTGACTCTTTATCCAATTTGCCAGTCTGTGTCTCTTAATTGGGGCATTTAGACCATTTACATTTAAGGTAAATATCGTTATGTGTGAATTTGATCCTGTCTTTATTATGTTAGCTGGCTCTTTTGCAAGTGAATTGATTAAGTTTCTTCATAGCATCAATGGTCTTTACAATTTGGCATGTTTTTGCATTGGCTGGTACTGGTTGTTTCTTTCCATGTTTAGTGCTTCCTTCTGGAGCTCTTGTAAGGTAGGCCTGGTGGTGACAAAATCTCTCAGCATTTGCTTGTCTGTAAAAGATTTTATTTCTCCTTCACGTGTGAAGCTTAGTTTGGCTGGATATGAAATTCTGGGTTGAAAATTCTTTTCTGTAAGAATGTTGAATATTGGCCCCCACTCTCTTCTGGTTTGTAGGGTTTCTGCCAAGAGAGCCGCTATTAGTCTGATGAGCTTCCCTTTGTGGGTAACCCTACCTTTCTCTCTGGCTGCCCTTAACATTTTTTCCTTCATTTCAACCTTGGTGAATCTGAAAATTATGTGTCTCGGGATTGCTTTTCTCGAGGAGTATAGTATCTTTGTGGTGTTCTCTGTATTTCCTGAATTTGAATGTTGGCCTGCCTTGCTAAGTTTGGGAAGTTTTCCCAGATAATATCCTGAAGAGTGTTTTCCAACTTGGTTCCATTCTCCCCGTCACTTTCAGGTACACAAATCAAACGGAGATTTGGTCTTTTCACATAGTCCCATGTTTCTTGAAGGCTTTGTTTGTTTCTTTTTATTCTTTTTTCTCTAACCTTGTCTTCTTGCTTTATTTCAATAATTTGATCTTCCATCACTGATACCCTTTCTTCCACTTGATCGAATATGCTATTGAAGCTTCTGCATGTGTCAAAGTTCTCATGCCATGGTTTTCAGCTCCATCAGGTCATTTAAGGTCTTCTCTACACTGTTTTTTCTAGTTAGTCATTCATCTAACCTTTTTTCAAGGTTTTTAGCTTCCTTGCAATGGATTGGAACATGCTGTTTAGCTTGGAGAACTTTGTTATTACTGACCTTCTCAAGCCTACTTCTGTCAACTTCTCAAAGTCATTGTCTGTCTAGCTTTGTTCTGTTGCTGGTGAGGAGCTGCAATCCTTTGGAGGAGAAGAGGCACTTTGGTTTTTAGAATTTTCACATTTTCTGCTCTGGTATCTCCCCATTTTTGTGGTCTTATCTACCTTTGGTATTTGATGTTGTTGACCTACAGATGAGGCTTTGGTGTGGATGTCCTTTTAGTTGATGTTGATGCTATTCCTTTCTGTTTGTCGGTTTTCCTTCTAACAGCCAGACTCCTCAGCTGCAGGTCTGTTGAAGTTTGCTGGAGGTCCACTCCAGACCCTGTTTGCCTGGGTATCAGCAACGGAGGCTGCAGAACAGCAAATATTGCTGCCTGATCCTTCCTCTGGAAGCTTCATCCCAGAGGGGCAGCTGCCTATATGAGGTGTCTGTCAGCCCCAACTGGGAGGTGTCTTTCAGTTAGGCCACATGGGGGTCAGGGACTCACTTGAGGAGGCAGTCTGTCCTTTCTCAGAGCTCAAACACCACGCTGGGAGAACCACTGCTCTCTTCAGAGCTGTCAGACAGGGACGTTTAAGTCTGCAGATGTTGTCTGCTGCCTTTGGTTCAGCTATGCCTTGCCCACAGAGGTGGAGTCTGTAGAGGCTGTAGGCCTTGCTGAGCTGCAGTGGGCTCTACCCAGTTCATGCTTCCTGGCCTCTTTGTTTACCTACTCAAGCCTCAGCAATGGTGGACACCCCTCTGCCAGCCAGGCTGGTGCCTTGCAGGTTGATCTCAGACTGCTGCATTAGCAGTGAGTAGGGCTCCGTGAGCATGGGACCCACTGAGCCAGGCACGGGAGAGAATCTCCTTGTCTACTGGCTGCTAAGACCTTGGGAAAAGCACAGTATTTGGGTGAGAGTGTCCTGTTTTTCCAGGTACAGTGTGTCACGGCTTCCCTTGGCTGGGAAAGGGAAATCCCCTGACCCCTTGCACTTCTGGGGTGAGGTGATGCCCTGCCCTGCTTCAGCTCACCCTCCATGGGCTACACCCACTGTCCAACCAGTCCCAGTGAGATGAACCAGGTACCTCAGTTGGAAATGCAGAAATCACCCATCTTCTGCGTCGATCACGCTGGGAGCTACAGACTGGAGCTGTTACTATTTGGCCATCTTGGAATGGAGACCCAACCCTTTTAAAGTGTCCAATTCAGTGGCATTAATTACATTGGCAACATTGTGACACCATCACCACTATTTCCAAACTTTAAAGGGAAACTCTGTACCCATTGGTCAATAACTCCCCATTCCCTCCTCCCTTTAGCCCCTGAAAACCTCTAATCTACTTGATCTCTCTATGAATTTTCCTATACTTGGTATTTCATGTAAGTGGAACCATACAGTATTTTTCCTTTTGTGTCTGGCTTATTTCCCTTAGAATAATGTTTTCCAGGTTCATCCATGTTGTGGCATATATCAGAACTTCATTTCTTTCCACAACTGAATAATATTCCATTGCATACACATGCCATATTTCATTTGTCCATTCATCTGCTGATGGACCCTTGGGTTGTTTCCAACTCTTCGCTATAGTGAATAACATTGCAATGGACATTGGTGTGAAACTGTCTGTCTCAGATTCTATTTTCAATTATTTTGGGTGTATTTCCATAGGAGTGGAATTGCCTGGTCATAAGGCATCCTATGTTTAACTCTTTTAAAATTTATTTCTAATTGATATAATAGCTGTGTATATTTATGGGGTGCAATGTGAAGTTTTGATCTTTGTATACATTATGGAAAGAGCTCTTTGAGGGACGGGAAGCTTTTCCACAGAGGTGCACCATTTTACATTCCCATCAGCAATGTGCAAGAATTTCAACTTCTGTACATCCTTACCAATGCTTCTTATTTGCTTCATGAAAAGTTTTTTAAATTATAGATGTGTATGTAATGTGTTAATGGTGGTATCTCAATCTAGTTTCCATTTACATTTCTCTCATGTATTAACATGGCTGCTGAGCTCATTGATTTGAGACTTTTCCTCATAGAGGTGTTTTTACTGCTACGAAATTTCCCAAGTCCTTTTTTTTTTAACTGGCATCTCACAACTTTTGATATGCTGTTTTTTCCTTTTCCGTCAGTTCAAAACACTTTCTAATTTTCATTATGATTTCTTATTTGATTCATAGGGTAATTGAAAGCACATTATTTGGTTCCCAAATATTTGTAGATTTTCTGAATAACGCTCTCGTTGATTTCTAACTTAATTTTATTGTATGTGGTTGAAGAACACACTTTGTGTTACTGGAATTGTCTAAAATGTACTGAGACTTGTTTTATGGCACGGAATACAGTCTCTCTTGGTAAATGTTCCACATACACTTGAAAATAATGCATAGTCTTCTGTTGTGGGGTGGAGGGTTCTACATGTGACAATTAGGTCAAGTTGGTAATAGTGATGCTCGAGTCTTCTATATTGTCATTGACTTTCTGTCTGCTTGTTTTACCAGCAATATATTGAGGGGCATTGAAATCTTTGTCGAGAATTGTTGATGCAGCTATTTCTCTGTGTAGGTCTATTCATTTTTGCTTCATGCATCTTGAAGCTCTGTTTTTAGGTGCACAAACACAGAATTGTTATCTACTCATCATAAATTCACTGAGTTGTCATTATGACATGGTCTTCTTTATCAATGGTAATATTCTTTGTTCTGAAGTCTACTGTGTCTGATATCAATGTAACAACTACGTCTTTATTGTGATTAGTCTTAGCTTGGTATACTGCCCTCACCTTTATGTTTAAGCTATGTTGTGTCTTTATATTTAAAGTGGGTTTATTATAGGCAATATAGAGTTGAGTCTTGCTTTCTTATCCAGTCTGGTGGTTTTTGTCTCTTAATTGGCATGTTGGGACCATTTATATTCAATGTAATTATTGATATGGTTAGGTTTAAATTTACCATCTTGTGTTATGTTTTCTATTGGCTTCATGAATTTGCTCCCCTTTCCTTCTTTTTGGCCTTCATTTTTGAAAGACATTTTCACTGGGCATAGCATTCTAGGTTAGCAGTATTTTTCATTTAGTACTTCAAAAATGTTGCTCCAGTGTCTTCTCACTTGCATTTTTTTCTGATGAGAAATCTGCTGTCATCCTCATTTCAGTCCCTTTGTATGCAACGTGTGGCCTCTCCATCTTTCCTGACTGCTCTTCAGGTTTTTTTTTTCCTCTCTGGTTTTGTAAAATGTTATTGTGATGTGCCTTAGTGTAGCTTTCTCTACGTTTCTTGTGCCTGGTGTGTGTTCAGCTTCTTGGATGTGTGGGCTTAAAGTTTTTAGCAATTATGGGTAGATTTCAGCAGCTATTTATTCAAATATATTTTTTCTGTCCCTCCCTCCTTTATTTTCTCTCTTTCAGGGCCAACAATTGCACATATATTTGGCTGTGTGACATTGTCCTATAGTTCTCTGTTGCTCTGTTCATTTTTCTTACATTTTTTTCTTTGTACAGCTTATATTCCCATGTCTTTAAGTTCACTAATCTTTTTTCCTGCAATGTCTCATACACTGTTAATCCCATCCAGTGCATTTTCCATCATAGATATAGTAGTGCCCATCTCCAGAAGTTTGATTTGCATTTTTTCTGTATCTTCCATGTCTTGACTTGACTTTGAGCATATGAACTACAGTTATTATAACTTTTAATATTCTTCTCTTCTAATTTAAGCATCTTTGTCAATTCTGGGTCATTTTCAGTTGATTGATTTTTCTCCTTGTTATTGTCATGTTTTCTTGGTTCTTCATTTGTTTGCTAGGTTTTAACTGGATGCCAAGACATGATGAGTTTTAGCTTGTTGAGTGCCGAATATTTTTGTATTCTCATAATTTTTCCTGAGCTTTGTTCTGGGATGCAGTTAAGTCGCTTGTAGTTTCATACTTTGGGGTCTTGCTTTTAAGCTTTGTTAGATGATACCAAAGCTGTGTTTAGTCTAGGACCCATTACTCTCCACTAGTTAGGTAAATCTCTTTTCAGCACTTTGTATATTGCTCAGAGAATTGAGAGACTTTCCAGTCTGATAGTTGAGAATAGGCATTATTGCTAGTCTTGTGAAAGTACCAGGTACTGTTCCCTCTAATTCTTTTGCATGGCTCTTTCTTATCCGGGGCAGTTTTCTTACATGCTTATGTTGATCAGTACTATGAGAGGCTTTAAGTAGCAATGTATCAGGTGTCTATTTCTCGAGATCATCATCATATTAGCTAACTTTTATTAAACACTTTTTATACAGAACATAATCTGTAGTTAGACTGGGGTTAATCCCTTCTGTTCCTTCTGTTGTCGGACGAGCTGTTGATGAGCAGGCCTGTGCTAAGCATGCTAGTTTATTTAATATATTAATCCAATGAAGAGAGTGCTGTTATTATTATTCTCATTTACAGATAAGGAAACTGAGGTACAGAGAGTTTAAGTAACTTGCTCAAGGACACACGCAGATAGTAAGTGGTAAACTGAAATTTGAACCTAGATGGTTTGACTTCAGAGATTGAATTTAACTTGTAAATCATCATGTGCTAGGATGATCGGAAATACAATCAGGATGCAAGCTGATGATAAGCCTGCCATTTCATATCTCCCCCACAGCAGCCAATCAGCCTCTAATACACGAACAAGTCCCTCCCTCTAAGCTAAGGGCAAGGAAGTGGGGGTGGCAGATGGGAGGAAGGAAAGAGAAGGTATGTATAATTATTGTGTTGTCACAAATTGCCATTATCCTGTTTGTCCCCAGAGCCCCTTAGCCTCCCAGTTTTGAGGTGGTACCCAATTCTTTGGAACAAATATGGGAGCCTGGTGCCAATGTTGCTGCCCTGCCAGTAAGGGTGCTGACAAGGTCTCTTGTGCAAGAAGCAAAGACCTCCAAGGGATAGTAACAGCTTTGTCTGGGGCCACCAGTACTGGCCTTACACATTTGGGGATGGAGTTTAGGGCCTGTTTTCTCTTGTTCCATGTATCTCATTTAATGAAAAACAGCTTCCTTTTCCATCTCTGTATCCACATGCTGCAGTGGACTATAATGCCTAAGAAGTTCCTCTCCTCAGCTATCACATGTCCCAGAAAATGTGCTCACATTCTGCTCTCCCTTCCCACATCCAGCCAGACACTTCCCCTCTGAGGTCTGTCTTCTGATTTGATTTATTTTCTCGTAAGTATTCTATACTTTCTCCCCAACCAGGTAAAAAGCCTTTCTAATCCTCTCGAGGTTACATCTTCCTTGTTCCCTTCGTGGAATGACAAATTGGCTCTTGCAAACATTTAACTGGAGCACTCTGGCAAATGCTCTTGTTCTTGATTCCAGACATCCTCCAAATGAGAATGATCTATGTATATGGTGCCTTCCTAAGATATATCAGGAACAGTATGGCAATAGGAACACAAGATAGAGTTTGTGCCTCCGTGTCTGTGAAATACTGCCCTAGGAACTGTCTGCTTCTTTTGCAGAGAACACTATCACAATTTTTCACTGACACTTACTCCTGAACCCTGAGCATTGGCCACTGCTACTTCCACCTGCCTCTAATCAGTAGGCTGCCAGCACCTTCCAGAACATTGGTGTACCAGCACAGACCAATTTTAATCAGAGTCTCCTCTGTTTGGTATCTTTAGACCAGCAGATGCCACCAAGCCTCATTTCTCTGTCAATCTCAATACTGCCCCAAATGCAGGAACTTCTGGCTATTATTTTCTTGTTTCCTCTCTATGTCTGACTCTGCCCAACTCTTTTCTTGAATGCACTCTGGCTTTTTGTTTCATACTTTAAATAAATCTCCCCTATATCCTCCCACTTTGTTTTCAGTGTTCACTCCAGCTCCTTTTCTTAATTGTAGCAATACAAGAGAACTAGGTATCATTCCTTATTTTTACCTAGTTCACCTAAAGACACCACTGCCCCACAGCATTTTTCACTAGATGATTCTCTTATTGTCATACCCCAAACACCATATAGACCTGGGGGCAGAGACCTCATTGTCTTCATTCCCTGGATTAATACAACATAGCAGTTAAGAGCTCCAGCTCTACAGTAGCAGCTCAGCTTCCAGTTCGAATCCTGGTATTTCTTCCACTTACTAGCTGTGTGACCTTGGGCAAGTGAATTCACCTTTCTAAGCCTGTTTTCTTATTTATAAATAAAGATAATAAGCCCTTTCTACTATGATTGTTGTGAGGATCAAGCTTAAATGATGTAACAGGGCTGGGCGTGGTGGCTCAGGCTTGTAATCCCAGCACTTTGGGAAGCTGAGGCACGAGGATCATTTGAGCACAGGAGTTCAAGACCGTCCTGGGCAACACAGCAAGACCCCGTCTCTACTAAAAATAAAAAAATAGCTGGGCATGGTGACGCGTGCCCGCAGTCCCACCTACCCAGGAGGCTGAGACACGAGGATAGCTTGAGTGCAGGAGTTTGAGGCTGCAATGAGCTATGATCATGCCACTTCACTCCAGCCTGGGTGACAGAGCAAGACCCTGTCTCAAAAAAAGAAAACAATGAGGTAACATTTAAAGTGTCTAGTATTGATCCTACCAGAGGAGAACCTCCACACAAGTATTATCATTATTGTTGTTACTTTCAGATTATGACTCCCTCACCCTCTTAGAAAAGCCCTTCCTCCTCTGAAGTTTGACTCAAGACAGCTACCGAGAGCCTAAATAGAATATAACCAGAGAACTGTAGCACGATGCAGAAGACAGAAGAGGGAATGCGGTTAGAGCTTCCAGAACATGTAACAGAAAAACATATCCAAGTTTCTCTCTTCTTGAGCACCACCATGTGGTACAACTAGACATGTAGGACCACAACTTTGGGAAGAGGCTGGCGTTGGAGGAAGCGACTTGGAAGGCTTCTGCTGAAAAGTAGTAAGAGAAGCCATGAGCGTGGATGAGACAAACAAGGGAGGAAGAGTAGGAAGAAAACAGGGCAATGGCAGAAAATTGGAGTAATAGGCGTCTAGACTGCCTTCAAAATAAAATGTCACCTTAACAGACATCTGGTGACTATGGATCCCATAGGAAATAAGACAGTGTGTAAAGATAAGTGAGCATGTGCACGGGCCAAGGAATAGAGCAGGACAACCTGAGTTACTTCTCCTTCTCTCCCTCCCTCCCCTCTTCTTTTCTCTCTCCCTCCTCATTTTCTCAATGTTCCCCTTTCTCCCCCTTTTATTCTTATTCATCCATCCATCCATCCGTCCATGGAGCCATCCATGATACATCCATTCACCACTGGAACTGGGGACAAAAAATAAATAAGCCACAGGCCCTGTTCTAACAAAGGTCACAGTCTGTGGGATGGGGTAGGGTGGAGGCAATTAAGCAGATCTTTATAATATGTCAGTGCTCACGACCCAACAATCACCAGGAGCACGCCTGTAGTCGAACAAATTTGGGTTTATTGCTTGTTGTATTAAGGGAGAATGCACCCCATGGGAAACTGCGGAGCAACTCAGCAGGAGGGCATTAGAAAGGACTTACAGGATTTGGGCAAACTTTGCATTAGATACTTCTAAGGAGCAGAGGCAATCCTATGATTGGGTATCTTAATAAATCTTATCTAGAATGAGGGAAGAATAAATGATGCCTAGGGCTGTAAGTGGTAAAGAAGCAGCAGTTACCAACAGTGTATAGGCGTTCCTTTTTCACTGCAGCCTCGCCACCATCTATCGTTTTTGGACAGTTTAGTAATAGCCATTCTGACTGGTGTGAGATGATGTCTCATGGTGGTTTTGATTTGCATTTCTCAGATGATTAGTGATGCTGAGCATGTTTTCATGTTTGTTGGCCGCTTATACATCTTCCTTTGAGAAGTGTCTGTTCATGTCCTTTGCCTGTTTTTTTTTTTTTTTAAATGGGGCTATTTGTGTTTTACTTGTTGATTTGTTTAAGTTCCCTATAGATTCTGGATATTAGGCCGTTGTCACATGCATTGTTTGCTAATATCTTCTCTCATTCTGTAGGCTGTCTGTTTACTCTGGTGCTGGCTTCTTTTGCTGTGTAGAAGCTCTTCAGTTTAATTCGGTCTTGGGGTGTCAATTTTTGTTTTTGTTGCAATTAAATCTGGAGACTTAGTCAAAAATTCTTTGCCAAGGCTGATGTCCAGAAGAGTGTTTCCTAAGTTGTCCTCCAGGATTCTTATGGTTTGGGGTGTTACATTTGAATCTTTGATCCACCTTGTGTTTATTTTTGTATGTGGTGAAAAGTGGGGGGGTCCAGATTCAATTTTCTGCAAGTGGCTAGCCAGTTATCCCACCATCATTTATTGAATAGGGAGTCGAGTCCTTTCCTCATTGCATGTGTTTGCCAGCCTTGTCAAAGTTCAGATGGTTGTAGGTGTGCAGCTCTATTTCTGAGTTTTCCATTCTGTTCCATTGGTCTATGTGTCTTTTTTTTTTTTTTTTTATCAGTATCAAGCTGTTTTGGTTCCTGTGGCTTTATAGTGTAGTTACAGAGGTAACCCCATCAGGCTAGCAGCAGTCCTATCAGCAGAAACCTTACAAGCCAGAAAAGATTGGGGGTCTAATTTCAGTGTCCTTACTGAAAAGAAGTTCCAGCCAAGAATTCCACATGCTGCCAAACAAAGCTTCATAAGTGAAGGAGAAATAAAATCCTTCTCGGACAAGCAAATGCTGAGGGAATACATTTCCACTAGGCCAGCATTACAAGAGGTTCTTAAGGGAGTGCTAAACATGGAATCAAAATAATGACACCTGCTACCACAAAAGCACCCTTAAGCACATAGCACACAGGCAGTATAAAGCAACTACGCAGTCAAGTCCACATAACAACCACCAGGCATCATGATGACAGGATCAAAATCCCGTATATGAATACTAACCTTGAATGTAAATGGGCTAAACACCCCACTGAAAAGGCACAGAGTGGCAGGCTGGACAAAAGGACAAGACCCAACCATCTGCTGCCTTCAAGAGACCCATCTCACATGCAACGACACCCACAGGCTCAAAGTAAAAGGGTGGAGGAAGATCTACCATGCAAATGGAAAACAAAAAGGAACATGAGTCCCTCTTCTTATTTCAGATAAAACAGACTTTAAACCAATAGAAATTAAGAAGGACAATGAAGGGCATTACAAACAATAACAATCCAACAGGAAGCCTTAGCTATCTTAAATATATATGCACTCAACATTGGAGAGCCCAGATGCATAAAATGAGTTCTTCTTGACCTATCAGAAGACTTAGACAACCACACAATAGTAGTGGGAGTGTTCAACACCCCACTGACAGCATTAGACAGATTACTGAGGCAGAACACTAACCAAGAAACCCTGGACTTAAACTTGACACTTGACCATTTGGACCTAATAGACATCTACGAAACACTCCACCCAACAACCACAGAATCCACATTCTTCTCATGTGCACACAGAATATATTCTAAGATCAACCACATGGTCAGTCATAAAGCAAGTCTCAATAAATTAAAAAAAATTTAAATCATACCAAGTGTACTCTTGGACCACAGTACAATAAAAATAGAAATCAGTATCAAGGAGATCTCTCAAAACTACACAGTAGCATTTTAGATGCTAGACATGATATGTTGACAAACTGCAACACAGGCAGTTAACAAAAATGAAATGATTATTAGCCCTTGCTGCAGATCTCCAAGCCAAGGGTGTCTAGGTTATAAAGCCTAGGCAATGAAAGCATGTCCCAGAATCCAGCTGGGTCTGCCTTAGAGATCCAGATGAGTTTATTTTCTTTTAATATACCGTAAACTGTTCTACTTGCCGTGTAATATTTACACAGGTGCAGCGAGATGTATTTACTCTAACATGAGCTCTCCTTTGGATAGCTAAGAGGAAACCAAGGGCTATGCAATTGTCCATGAGAACTCTAGCTAACAGATTTAGAGTAGTTTTTGGAGGGCATCCAGAGTAGAAATTGTTCCATTTGTGACTTCTTCCAGGTCCAGAGAAAAATTCTGCACCACCTCTTCTAGTCGTATTATTTCTGCTGTGCGAATTGTAGCCAGCATAGTATGCAAAAAGAGGGAGTCAGTTATCTCTTCTGGGAATTCTCCCAAGTAGTTTGTGCTCACCTCACCTTGAAGGTTTCTGGGCTTCTTCCCCATGCAAACATGGAGAGGTACTAGTTCTAAATATCTCAATTCTCTGTCAATCATCCAGATTCTCCAGGCTGATTTAGTGGCAGAAGAGGGTAAGCCTGATGTCCACTTAAGTAGTATCCAGGTGGGATACAGGCTGCATTGGGAGTATGACTATAACTTGGCCCATCATGAGTAAGCCCATTTTTCTTTTCTTTTTTGAGACAGAGTCTTGCTCTGTCACCCAGGCTGGAGTGCAGTGGCACGATCTCAGCTCACTGCAAGCTCCGCCTCCTGGGTTCACACCATTCTCCTGCCTCAGCCTCCCGAGTAGCTGGAGCTACAGGGGCCCGCCACCACGCCCGGCTAATTTTTTCTATTTTTTAGTAGAGACGGGGTTTCACCGTGTTAGCCAGGATGGTCTCAATCTCCTGACCTCGTGATCCACCTGCCTCAGCCTCCCAAAGTGCTGGGATTACAGGCGTGAGCCACCGCTCCCAGCCAGAGTAAGCCCATTTTTTGTCACTTAGGGGGGTAAATTCCTTGAGTGGAGCCAAATAGTTCCTGCAAAGCAGCTGCAGTGTCTTTGAATGGAACAAATATTTATTCCCATTCCTGAGGGTCTAGGTTTCTGTGTAACGTTGTAATGACCTCAGTAGAAGCATTTTATTGATGTGAAGTCAAAGTCTGTTTTTCTCACAAGACTAGAATTTGGAGAGGAAATTGTAAGTACCAGAAGGAGTCTGCAAAAGGAAACCTACTTTTTTTGGTCAATTTAATTTATTTATTTACTTTTTTTTTTTTTTTTTTTTAACACTGAGTCTCACTGTTGCCTAGGCTGGAGTGCAGTGGTGCAATCTCTGCTCACTGCAACCTCTGTCTCCCAGATTCAAGTGATTCTCCTGTCTCAGCCTCCGGAGTAGCTGGGATTACAGACACCCACCACCACAACTGGCTAATTTTTATATTTTTAATAGAGACGGGGTTTTGCCATCTTGGCCAGTCTGGTCTCGAACTCCTGACCTCAGGTTATCTGCCTGCCTCGGCCTCCCAAAGTGCTGGGATTACAGGTGTGAGCCACCATGCCTGGCCTTATTTATTTATCTATTTTTTATTATATTTTAAGTTCTAGGGTACATGTGCACAACGTACAGGTTTGTTACATAGGTATACATGTGCCATGTTGGTTTGCCGCACCCATCAACTCGTCATTTACATTAGATATTTCTCTTAATGCTGTCCCTCCCCCATCCCTCCACCCCCTGACAGGCCCTGGTGTGTGATGTTCCCTGCCCTGTGTCCACGTGTTCTCATTGTTCAACTCCCACCTGTGAGTAAGAACATGTGGTGTTTGGTTTTCTGTCTTTGTGATAGTTTGCTGAGAATGATGGTTTCCAGCTTCATCCATGTCACTGCACAGGACGTGAACTCATCCTTTTTTATGGCTGCATAGTATTCTATGGTCTATATGTGCCACATTTTCCTAATCCAGTCTATCATTGTTGGACATTTGGGTTGGTTCCAAGTCTTTACTATTGTGAATAGTGCCACAATAAACATACGTGAACATACGTCTTTATAAGTAGCATGATTTATAATCCTTTGGGTATATACCCAGTAATGGGATCGCTGGGTCAAGATCGCTAGTTCTAGATCCTTGAGGAATCGCCACACTGTCTTCCACAATGGTTGAACTAATTTACACTCCCACAAACAGCGTAAAAGCATTCCTATTTCTCCACATCATCTCCAGCATCTGTTGTTTCCTGACATTTTAATGACCGCCATTCTAACTGGTGTGACATGGTATCTCACTGTGGTTTTGAGTTGCATTTCTCTGACGACCAGTGATGATGAGCATTTTTTCATATGTCTGTTGGCTGCATACATGTCTTCTTTTGAGAAGTGTCTGTTCATATCTTTTGCCCACTTTTTGATGGGGTTGTTTGGTCTTTTTCTTATAAATTTGTTTAAGTTCTTTGTAGATTCTGGATGTTAGCCTTTTGTCAGATGGGTAGATTGCAAAGATTTTCTCCCATTCTTTAGGTTGCCTGTTCACTCTGATGGTAGTTTCTTTTGTTGTGCAGAAACCCTTTAGTTTAATTAGATCCCATTTGTCAATTTTGGCTTTTGTTGCCATTGCTTTTGGTGTTGTAGTCATGAAGTCTTTGCCCATGCCTATGTTCTGAAGGGTATTGCCTAGGTTTTCTTCTAGGGTTTCTATGGTGTTAGGTCTTACATTTAAGTCTTTAATCCATCTTGAGTTAATTTTTGTATAAGGTGTAAGGAAGGGATCCAGTTTCAGCTTTCTACATATGGCTAGCCAGTTTTCCCAGCACCATTTATTAAATAGGCTATCCTTTCCCCATTGCTTGTTTTTGTCAGGTTTGTAAAAGATTAGATGGTTGTAGATGTGTGATGTTGTTTCTGAGGTCTCTGTCCCGTTCCATTGGTCTGTTTATCTGTTTTGGTACCATGCTGTTTTGGTTACTGTAGCCTTGTAGTATAGTTTGAAGTCAGGTAGTGTGATGCCTCCAGCTTTGTTCTTTTTGCTTAGGATTTTCTTGGCTATGCGGGATCATTTTTCGTTCCATATGAACTTTAATGTATTTTTTTCTAATTCTGTGAAGAAAATCAGTGGTAGCTTGATGGGGATAGCATTGAATCTACAAATTACCTTGGGCAGTATGGCCATTTTCACCATATTGATTCTTCCTATCCTTGAGCATGGAATGTTCTTCCATTTCTTTGTGTCCTCTTTTATTTTGTTGAGAAGTGGTTTGTAGTTCTCCTTGAAGAGGTCCTTCACATCCTTGTGAGTTGCATTCCTAGGTATTTTGTTCTCTTTGTAGTAATTGTGAATGGGAGTTCACTCATGATTTGGCTCTCTGTTTGTCCATTAGTGGTGTATAGGAATGCCTGTGACTTTTGCACATTGATTTTGTATCCTGAGACTTTGCTGAAGTTGTTTATCAGCTTAAGGAGGTTTTGGACTGAGATGATGGGATTTTCTAAATATACAATCATGTCATCTGCAAACTGAGACAATTTGACTTTCTCTTTTCCTAACTGAATACCTTTATTTCTTTCTCTTCCCTGATTGCCCTAGCCAGAACTTCCAACATTATGTTGAATAGGAGTGGTGAGAGAGGGCATCCCTGTCTTGTGCGAGTTTTCAAAGGGAATGCTTCCAGTTTTTGCCCATTCAGTATGATACTGGCTGTGGGTTTGTCATAAATAGCTCTTACTATTTTGAGATACGTTCCATGAATACCTAGTTTATTGAGAGTTTTTAGCATGAAGGGCTGTTGAATTCTGTCAAAGATGTTTTCTGCATCTATTGAGATAATAATGTGGTTTTTGTCGTTGGTTCTGTTTATGTGATGGATTACGTTTATTGATTTGCATAGGTTGAACCAGCCTCTTGGATCCCAGGGATGAAGCCGACTTGATCATGGTGGATAAGCTTTTTGATGTGCTGCTGGATTCAATTTGCCAGTATTTTACTGAGGATTTTCACACAGATGTTCATCAGGGATATTGGCCTAAGATTCTCTCTCTTTTTTTTTTTTTTTTTTGTTGTGTCTCTGCCAGGCTTTGGATCAGGATGATGCTGGCCTCATAAAATGAGTTAGGGAGGATTCCCTCTTTTTCTATTGATTGAAATAGTTTCAGAAGGAATGGTACCAGCTCCTCTTTTTACCTCTGGTAGAATTCGACTGTGAATCGTCTAGTCCTGGACTTTTTTTGGTTGGTAGGCTACTAATTATTGCCTCAATTTCAGAACCTGTTGTTGGTCTATTCAGGGATTCAACTGCTACCTGGTTTAGACTTGGGAGGGTGTATGTGTCCAGGAATTTATTCTTCTAGATTCCTAGTTTATTTGCATAGAGTTATTTATAGTATTTTCTGATTGTAGTTTGTATTTCTGTGGGATCCGTGGTGATATCCCCTTTATCATTTTTTATTGTGTCTATTTGATTCTTTATTTTTAAAGTTTATTTATTTAAAAATTAGAAAGATAAAAAAATTTATTGTTATTCATAGTACTTTTTATATCACCGCCCATTACACACACACACACACACACACACACAAACTCACAGCAGAAAGAAACATTTCATAAAACAAATGTATCTTTTCCATTTGTGTAATATCCTGATCTGTTCTATTTTTTTTTAATTTTTTTTATTATACTTTAAGTTTTAGGGTACATGTGCACAACATACAGGTTTGTTCCATATGTATACATGTGCCATGTTGGTGTGCTGCACCCATTAACTCTTCATTTAACATTAGGTATATCTCCTAATGCTATCCCTCCCCCCTCCCCCCACCCCACAACAGTCCCTGGTGTGTGATGTTCCCCTTCCTGTGTCCATGTATTCTCATTGTTCAATTCTCACATATGAGTGAGAACATGTGGTGTTTGGTTTTTTGTCCTTGTGATAGTTTGCTGAGAATGATGGTTTCCAGCTTCATCCATGTCCGTACAAAGGACATGAACTCATCCTTTTTTATGGCTTCATAGTATTCCATGGTGTATATGTGCCACATTTTCTTAATCCCGTCTATCATTGTTGGACATTTGGGTTGGTTCCAAGTCTTTGCTATTGTGAATAGTGCTGCAACAAACACACGTGTGCATGTGTCTTTATAGCAGCATGTTTTATAATCCTTTTGGTATATACCCAGTAATGGGATGGCTGGGTCAAATGGTATTTCTAGCTCTAGATCCCTGAGGAATCACCACACTGACTTCCACAATGGTTGAACTAGTTTACATTCCCACCAACAGTGTAAAAGTGTTCCTATTTCTCCACATCCTCTCCAGCACCTGTTGTTTCCTGACTTTTCAATGATCGTCATTCTAACTGGTGTGAGATGGTATCTCATTGTGGTTTTGATTTGCATTTCTCTGATGGCCAGTGATGATGAGCATTTTTTCATGTGTCTGTTGGCTGCATAAATGTCTTCTTTTGAGAAGTGTCTGTTCATATCCTTCACCCACTTTTTGATGGGGTTGTTTGTTTTTTTCTTGTAAATTTGTTTGAGTTCATTGTAGATTCTGGATATTAGCCCTTTGTCAGATGGGTAGATTGCAAAAATTTTCTCCCACTCTGTAGGTTGCCTGTTCACTCTGATGGTAGTTTCTTTTGCTGCGCAGAAGCTCTTTAGTTTAATTAGATCCCATTTGTCAATTTTGGCTTTTGTTGCCATTGTTTTTGGTGTTTTAGATATGAAGTCCTTGCCCATGCTTATGTCCTGAATGGTATTGCCTAGGTTTTCTTCTAGGGCTTTTATGGTTTTAGGTCTAACATTTAAGTCTTTAATCTTCTCTCTTTTCTTCTTTATGAGTTTTGCTAGTGGTCTATGTATTTTGTTGATCTTTTCAAAAAACCAGCTCCTGGATTCTTTGATTTTTTTTTTGAAGGGATTTTGTGTCTCTATCTCCTTCAATTCTTCTCTGATCTTACTTATTTCTTACCTTCTGCTGGCTTTTGAATTTGTTTGCTCTTGCTTCTCTAGGTCTTTTAATCCTGATGTTAGGGTGTTGATTTTAGATCTTTCCTCCTTTCCCTTGAGGGTATTTAGTGCTATAAATTTCCCTCTACGCACTGCTTTAAATGTGTCCCAGAGATTCTGGTATGTTGTGTCTTTGTTCTCATTGGTTTCAAAGAACACCTTTATTTCTGTCTTCATTGCGTTATTTTACCCCCAGTAGTCACTCAGGAGTAGGTTGTTCAGTTTCCATGTAGTTGTGTGGTTTTGAGTGAGTTTATTTTTTTTTTTTACGTTGACATTAATTTTTTTTATTATGCATTAAGTTCTAGGGTACCTGTGCAGAACATGCAGGTTTGTTACATATGTATACATGTGCCATGTTGGTGTGCTGCACCCATTAACTCGTCATTTTACAGTAGGTATATCTCCTAATGCTTTCCCTCCCCACTTCCCCCACCCCACAACAGGCCCTGGTGTGTGATGTTCCCCTTCCTGTGTCCAAGTGTTCTGATTGTTCAGTTCCCACCTATGAGTGAGAACATGTGGTGTTTGGTTTTTTGCTCTTGCGATAGTTTGCTGAGAATGACGGCTTCCAGCTTCATCCATGTCCCTGCAAAGGACATGAACTCATCCTTTTTTATGGCTGCATAGTATTCCATGGTGTATATGTGCCACATTTTCTTAATCCAGTCGATCATTGATAGACATTTGGGTTGGTTCCAAGTCTTTGCTATTGTGAATAGTGCCGCAATAAACATACGTGTGCATGTGCATTTATGGCAGCATGATTTATAATCCTTTGGGTATATTCCCAGTAATGGGATGGCTGGGTCAAATGGTATTTCTAGCTCTAGATCCTTGAGGAGTCGCCACACTGTCTTCCACAATGGTTGAGCTAGTTTACAGTCCCACCAACAGTGTAAAAGTGTTCCTGTTTCTCCACATCCTCTCCAGCACCTGTTGTTTCCTGACGTTTTAATGATTGCCATTCTAACTGGTGTGAGATGGTATCTCATTGTGGTTTTGATTTGCATTTCTCTGATGGCCAGTGATGATAAGCATTTTTTCATGTGTCTGTTGGCTGCATAAATGTCTTCTTTTGAGAAGTGTCTGTTCATATCCTTCACCCACTTTTTGATGGGGTTGTTTGTTTTTTTCTTGTAAATTTGTTTGAGTTCATTGTAGATTCTGGATATTAGCCCTTTGTCAGATGGGTAGATTGCAAAAATTTTCTCCCATTCTGTAGGTTGCCTGTTCACTCTGATGGTAGTTTCTTTTGCTGTGCAGAAGCTCTTTAGTTTAATTAGATCCCATTTGTCAATTTTTGCTTTTGTTGCCATTGCTTTTGGTGTTTTAGCATTTTTTTTTTTTACTTTAGAACGATTTATTTGGAAACCATTTTCAGAATGTTTTAGAGTGAAAAGTAGTCAGTTAGGTTCTCAATACAATGTATCAGATTAAATGCACTAAATCCCTAAATTTGATAAAGACAATAGGGGGGAAACTCCAGTAACAGAAAGCATTGAGGAGGCTGTGTCTAAGGGACTTTTTGAGTGATGTAAGAGAGAAATAAAGGCAAAGTTGAAAATAACTCAATATGTGAGAAGACAGGAATGGAAGTTTGCTGGAAAGTGTTAAGGAGAGAAATGAGTTTAGTTTCTAAATTCTAAGGCATTGTATGGAAACTTCCAGCAGGTAGTTAGAATTCAGGTCTGAGAATTGAGTGAGAGGTGAGAATTGAATCAATGGGAGCTTGACAGGGAGAGTAAGGAATTAGACAAAGATGGGAAGAGGCCAAACAGAAAACTTCAGGTGGCATCTACTTTCTATGAAGAAACCTGACTAAAATAAGGAAAGTGACTGAGCCAGCAGAGGAGGAGAAAGACAACTGACGTCAGAGGAGCTGGATGAGCATTCCAGGACGAGGCTCCAAGGTAAAGCATGTGGTAACTGCACAAACGTCAAGTAGAATGAAGAATGAGGAAATGCCTGTAATAAAACAGGCATTTGAGGGTATCTGGTGACGTTTCAGAGCCCTAGACTCTTCTTCTGTGTATGGTAGCATCTAGATTTCCACTTTGACAAAAGCAGTGGCTACTTCTTTCAACACTGTTATGGACTGAATTGTGTCACCCAAAATTCATATGTCGAGCCCTAATGCGATGGTATTTGTTGATGAGACCTTTGGGAGGTAATTAGGGTTACATAGGGACATAAGGGTAGGGCCCTAATTTAATGGGATTAGTGCCCTCATAAGGAGAAGGAGCACAAATCAGCTCTCTCTTTCAACGCAGTCACATAGAAAAGTCATGTGAGCACACAGTGAGAAGGCGGCCATCTGCAAGCCAGAAAGAGAGCCCTTACTATAAACCAGCAATGATGGCACCTTGACCTTAAGATTTGTAGCCTCCAGAACTGTGAAAAATGAATGTCAATTGTTTAAGGCACCCAGTCTGGAATATTTTGGTATGGCAAGCAAAAGACTGATACAATAACCAATAAAGCAACAAAGTTTGATTTGCCAGTTCTGGAAAATGCCCCCCTCAGGAATACTTAGACCTCGGTTCTATCCCTGGATCCTAACTAACTCAAAACTACTGGATTAGTAACTTAACCTCTCTGAGCTTCAGTTGCAGAATCCAGAGAAAGAGGACACTGAAGTAAACCATCTCAGAGGTTCTTTTGAACTTTTCTGGTGTATTTTTCCAAGAAGCAATTTCAATATTGGAATGTTGGTAAATGTTGTCAAGCCCCCAAATAGCAACCACATCATCTCCATTACTAGAGATAGGTGGTCAGAAAATGGGCCTAGATGGCATTTTAAATACTTTTCTACTACAAAGATTCTTTGCTGTTTAACAAGGTTGTTGGCAGCCCCTGAGATGGTATAGTCAAGAAAAGACCTGGCAGGAAAGAAGTGCCATTCAGAGAAAACACCACTGATTTTTAAAATGTGAATTGCAGGCTTCTCCTCCCCTTTCCTTTATCAACTGTGATTAGGCTGTACTTTGCTCGAGTTTACAATAATGATACTTTTACACTCAGCACTGTGCATTCTGAAGAGTGGGCCTAAAAGTACTTTACCATCTCATAGAGAAGAGTTCTTTCCTAGCAGGGTGTATTGCCAAGCCCTCTCTGCTTTGTCCTTCCCTCCATGGTTTGTTAACCAGCAGGAATGCTTTTTTTTTATTATTATACTTTAAGTTTTAGGGCACATGTGCACAATGTACCGGTTAGTTACATATGTATACCTGTGCAATGCTGGTGTGCTGCACCCATTAACTCGTCATTTAGCATTAGGTATATCTCCTAATTGTTTTAGCAGTCTTATACACCAATAACAGACAAACAGAGAGCCAAATCATGAGTGAACTCCCGTTCACAATTGCTTCAAAGAGAATAAAATACCTAGGAATCCAACTTAACAAGGGATGTGAAGGACCTCTTCAAGGACAACTACATACCACTGCTCAAGGAAATATGAGAGGACACAAGCAAATGGAAGAGCATTCCATGCTCATGGATAGGAAGAATCAATATCGTGAAAAAGGCCATACTGCCCAAGGTAATTTATAGATTCAATGTCATCCCCATCAAGCTACCAATGACTTTCTTCACAGAATTGGAAAAAACTACTTTAAAATTCATGTGGAACCAAAAAAGAGCCCGCATTTCCAAGACAATCCTAAGCCAAAAGAACAAAGCTGGAGGCATCACGCTACCTGACTTAAGTGAGTTTGTTAATCCCGAGTTCTAATTTGATTGCACTGTGGTCTGAGAGACTGTTTGTGGTGATTTCTGTTCTTTTACATTTGCTGAGGAGTGCTTTACTTCCAATTATGTGGTCAATTCTGGAATAAGTGCGATGTGGTGCTGAGAAGAATGTATATTCTGTTGATTTGGTGTGGAGACTTCAGTAGATGTCTATTAAGTCCACTTGGTCCAGAAGTGAGTTCAAGTCCTGGATATCCTTGTTAACCTTCAGTCTTGTTGTTCTGTCTAATATTGACAGGGGGGTGTTAAAGTTTCCCATTATTATTGTGTGGGAGTCTAAGTCTCTTTGTAGGTCTCACTTGCTCTATGAATCTGGGTGCTCCTGTACTGGGTGCTTATATATTTAGGATAGTTAGCTCTTCTTGTTTAATTGATCCCTTTACCATTATGGAATGGCCTTCTTTGTCTTTTTTGATCTTTGTTGCTTTAAAGTCTGTTTTATCAGAGACTAGGATTGCAACCCCTACTTTTTTTTGCTTTGCATTTGCTTGGTAGATCTTCCTCCATCCCTTTATTTTGAGCCTTTATGTGTCTTTGCACATGAGATGGGTCTCCTGAATAGAGCACACCAATGGATCTTGACTCTTTATCCAATTTGCCAGTCTGTATCTGTTAATTGGGGCATTTAGCCCATTTACATTTAAGCTAAATATTGTTATGTGTGGATTTGATCCTGTCATTATGATGTTAGCTGGTTATGTTGCCCGTTAATTGATGCAGTTTCTTCATAGCTTTGATGGTCTCTACAATTTGGCATGTTTTTGCAGTGGCTGATACCGGTTGTTCCTTTCCATGTTTAGTGCTTCCTTCCGGAGCTCTTGTAAGGCAGGCCTGGTGGTGACAGAATCTCCCAGCATTTGCTTGTCTGTAAGAGATTTTATTTTTCCTTCACGTATGAAGCTTAATTTGGCTGGATGTGAGATTCTGGGTTGAAAATTCTTTTCTTTAAAAAAGTTGAACATTGGCCCCCACTCTCTTCTGGCTTGTAGGGTTTCTGCCAAGAGAGCCACTGTTAGTCTGACCAGCTTCCCTTTGTGGGTAACCTGACCTTTCTCTCTGGTTGCCCTTAACATATTTTCCTTCATTTCAACCTGGGTGAGTCTGACAATCATGTGTCTTGGGGTTGCTCTTCTCAAGGAGTATCTCTGTGGTGTTCTCTGTATTTCCTGAATTTGAATGTTGGCCTGCCTTGCTAGGTTAGGGAAGTTCTCCTGGATAATATCCTGAAGAGTGTTTTCTAACTTGGTTTCATTCTCCCCATCCCTTTCCGGTACACGAATCAAATGTAGATTTGGTCTTTTCACATAGTCTCATTATTTCTTGGAGGCTTTGTTCTTTTGTTTTCACTCTTTCTTCTCTAATCTTGTCTTCTCTCTTTATTTCAATAATTTGATGTTCAATCACTGATATCCTTTCTTCCACTTGATTGAATCGGTTATTGAAGCTTGTAAATGCATCACAAAGTTCTCGTGCCATGGTTTTCAGCTCCATCAGGTCATCTAAGCTCTTCTCTACACTGTTTATTCTAGTTTAGCCATCCGACTAACCTTTTTTCAAGGTTTTTAGCTTCCTTGTGATAGGCTAGAACATGCTCCTTTAGCTCAGAGAAGTTTGTTGTTACTGACCTTCTGAAGCCTACTTCTGTCAACTTGTTAAACTCATTCTCCATCCAGTTTTGTTCTGCTGCTGGCGAGGAGCTGCAATCCTTTAGAGGAGAAGAGGCACTCTGGTGTTTGGAATTTTCAGCTTTTCCGTTCTGGTTTCTCCCCATCTTTGTGGTTTTATCTACCTTTGGTCTTTGATGTTGGTGACCTACAGATGGGATCTTGGTGTGGATGTCCTTTTTGTTGATGTTGTTGCTATTCCTTTCTGTTTGTTACCTTTCCTTTGAACAGTCAGACTCCTCAGCTGCAGGTCTACTGGAGTTTGCTGGAGGTCCACTCCAGACCCTGTTTGCCTAGGTATCACCAGGGGAGACTGCAGAACAGCAAATATTGCTGCCTGATCCTTCCTCTGGAAGCTTCGTCCTAGAAGAGCACCTGCCTGCTTGAGGTGTCTGTTGGCCCCTACTGGGAGGTGTTTCCCAGTCAGGCTACACAGGGGTCAGGGACCAGCTTGAGGAGGCAGTCTGTCCATTCTTGGAGCTTGAATGCCATGCTGAGATAACCACTCCTCTCTTCAGAGCTGTCTGACAGGGATGTTTAAGTCCGCAGAAGCTGTCTGCTGCCTTTTGTTCAGATATGCCCTGCCCCCAGAGGTGGAATCTATAAAGACAGTAGGCCTTGCTGAGCTGCAGTGGGCTCCACACAGTTTGTGATTCCCAGCTGCTTTGTTTACACGGTAAGCTACTCAAGGCTCAGCAGTGGTGGACGCCTCTCCCCCCGTCAAGCTGCAGCATAGCAGGTTGATCTTAGACTGCTGGCGCTAGCAGTGAGCAAGGCTCCGTGGGCATGGGACCCACCGAGCCAGGCATGGGAGGGTATCTCCTGATCTGCCGGTTGCTGAGACCGTGGGAAAAGTGCAGTATTTGGTCAGGAGTGCACCGTTTCTCCATGTACGGTCTGTCATGGCTTCCTTTGGCTAGGAAAGGGAAATCCCCCGACCCCTTGTGCTTCCTGGGTGAGGCAACGCCCTGCCCTGCTTCAGTTCACCCCCAGTGGGCTATACCCACTGTTCAACCAGTCCCAATGAGATGAACCAGGCACCTCAGTTGGAAATGCAGAAATCACCCATCTTCTGCATCGATCTTGCTGGGAGCTGCAGACTGGAGCTGTTCCTATTAGGCCATCTTCCTAAGTCAGCATCTGTTTATTTATTTTCTAAGTCAGAGTTTCACTCTGTCACAGGCTGGTGTGCAGTGGCATGATCCCGGCTCACTGCAACCTCCGTCTCCCGGATTTAAGCAATTCTTGTGCCTCATGAGTAGCTGGGAATACAGGCAGGTGCCACCACACCGGGCTTATTTTTGTACTTTTGGTAGAGACAGGGTTTCACCATGTTGGCCAGACTGGTCTCAAACTGCTGAGCTCAAGAGATCTGCCTGACTCAGCCTCCTAAAGTGCTCGGATTACAGGCGTGAGCCACCGTGCCCAGCCCTACCTTTTGAACTGTTTAAAGGGATGGCTATTAAATTTTGGCCAGAAAGGAGAACAAGGGACTATAAATCCTAGAACCAGTGAACTTCAGAGCAATAGCTAGAGTCTGGGAAAAAGTACAAAAGAGTTTTGCTTTTTTCTTAAGTGGTAGAAGAAAACCATAGCGGGGGCAGAAAAAAGATAAAAAGATCATGTTAATGTTCCAGAGGGTGACACAACATGATAGGCCATAGGACAGGTGAAAAAAGTGCTGGGAAAAAAAATCAGAAAATTAACCTCGTTCTGCAGTTTTGGGCAGAAGTTGTCCACTTCCGAAGTAGGTGGTTCATTCTATAGTCTTGGACGGAATCTGTCCATTTTTGAAATCAGCTGTTTCTGAAGAATTTCTAAGAATCCTCAGTTTGAGGTTCCCTAATGGAATGGGCTTCCAGTAGTCGGGACAAAATGATGTATTTTTTTTCTAATTGGGAAGTATGATTCCCGGATCTATTCCGTGTTGTTTTATTGTTGTGTCAGTTATTAGCAGTGTCTGATGAGGTCTTTTTAATTGAGGTTCAAGGGCAGTTTTCCTTTTATGTCACTTCCAGAAGACTAAATCTCCCAGTTACAGATCTTACAGAAGCTTCTTAGCTGGGGTTTTGGAAATGAAGCTTGTACTTGGTGAAACACCTGGAAGCATCATATGATCTCTTGTATTCAGACACATTGACTGTAGTGTGGCAGAAAGTACGACTGGAAGCAATTTCCAAATGTGTGGGGCAGTCTGATAATTAACTCCAGAGTAGAGAACTTGCAGGTCCTGAGGGGGATTGATCTTATTGTCATCAAGGCCAGTGGAAATAGTTCGGTGCTTGGAAGTTTAAGGATACCTGAGAGCTTTGAAAATTCTAAGTTGAGAATTCCATTAGCTCTCTTTATTTTCTCTGCAGTCTGCGGATGATAAGGACAGTGGAGTTCTGAATAAAAGGTGTTAAATTATTCTTTAATAATACTTCTAGTGAAATATGTGTCCATGTTACTGAAGAGATAAGTTGGAATTCTCCAGTTTTTGAATATAAAGTAATTTTAAAAATCATGACGGCCATAGCTGTTCAACTAAGAGAGTGCACCCACCCTAAGAACGAAAACCAATAACCAGAACATATTTATGGACCGCTGCTGAAGGCACTTGTGGAAAATCCATTTGGAGGTGTTCAAAGAGGCCTTGAGCTTGTGGCTCTGTCCCATGTCTTGCCTGCATAGTCTTGCCAGGATTGTGTCTTCAGCTGGTAGATATGTATTGGAAATTTTCTTGGCAATATTCTTAAAATTACTCAACTAATATTGAATGCTTCAATATCATGGCCAACTTATCTCTGCAATTGTGAGAAATATCAGGAAGCATTTTTTGTTTAAACTCCACTTTTATTATGGCCATACCTCTGGATGCAAGTAAAAGATGTCAAGGTTTTAAGATTTATGTCCATTTTATAGGGCTTCCTGTAAGGAGAGAAAACAAAGTTTAGATATAGAGAAACATTTTGATAAACATACACACTAAAGAGAGTGACAGTGTGGCTGATTTGAGGACTTAAGCCCTAGACAATATTATCAAGCCACGCGAATAAAGAGCTGGGATGTATTAATCCAAGTGATGGAAATGAAGATGGGACTGACTCCTATATTAAACAAAATGATCTCTCATTTAGGCAGCCAGGAAAAACAATCTCCTCATGAAGATTGATTCACATTTTGTTTTGTTTTTAGGGTACCTGTCAAATGAAAAATCTGATTCGTGTCAAGATGTCCCAAAAAAGGCCATAGCAATTTTCAAATTGGCCCTAGTGAAATTGTGTCCGTTAGGGACAAGTACATACGCTAACATTATAATGAGAAAACATGAAGGAAACAGGTGTTTGTCCTGGAAGAAATGCAGTTTTAGATAGAATGACCCCATAAGAAACAGCAGTCTACAAGCATGGCGCTTTTGTAACTTAGTGTCTGTGGAATTTGGTGCAAGGCCAGTTGTCCCCCATCAGGGGCCAGACAATACCAGCTGTTTCTGGGCAAGTGAAACTGAACAAAGCAGTTTTGGCAAACTGACACAAACACAAGACTAAGGAAAAGGTCCTTAAAGTGTTTCGATATGGTGACCTGAGACAACATACGTCTGAAGAAAAACGGTCTTGGGAGATCGTCTGAGCTTCTCAGTCCAAGGGACTGGCTTGCAGACAGACTTACTGAGTTTATGCCTATCCTCCCCCACTCAGTAATCATTTTACAGACAAATGGCACTTAAGATACTAAACAAGCAGACAGACCATAAGAGCAGATTTAGAAGGCCAGAAAGCAACTGCACCAAGGAACAACACAAATCTGACCAGTGAATCAAACAAATCCCAAGAGACTGTATTCCTAGGAAACTGAAACAAACCCAATGATGGAGTGATTCAATAAACCCAACGATGAAGAGATTCAAAGCTTAATTCAGCATGAACTTTCTACCAGCCATGGGTAAGATGACACCTTGAACAGGTAGAGACAACAAGAGGTCTCAGATATGCACACTCTTATTGAGTTGACGATTCAGATCCAATACAGTGACAAGTTCAGCTGAATCCTGGCTGGAAACCCCGTTTGTGTAAATAACTTCCAGGCAACGACCAGCAGGATCTGATCAAAATATGAAAAATAGAACTACCATACAACCCAGCAATCCCACTGCTGGGTATCTATCCAAAGGAAAAGAAATCAGTACATCAAAGGAATACCTGCACTCACATGTTTATAGCAGCACTATTCACAATAGCCAAGATATGGAATCAATCTAAGTGCCCATCAGTGGATGAACGTATGGAGAAAATGTGGTATATACACACAATAGAATACTATCTGACCACAGAAAAAAATAAAATCACGTCATTTGCAGCAACATGAATGGAACTGGAAGTCATCATGTTAAGTGAAATAAGCCAGGTGCTGAAAGACAAATTTCACATGTTCTCACTTGCACATGGGAGCGAAAAAAGTTGATTTTAAGGACATAGAGGATAGACTGATAGATCCCAGAGACTGGGGAGATTGGGTAGGGTGGAAGGGGGTGTGAAGAGAGGTTGGTTATGGATACCATCACACAGTTAGAAGAATTAAGTTCTAATGTTTGGGTAGTGGATTAGGGCAACTATTCTTAAAACCAATACTGTTTACATTTCCAAGTAACTAGAAGAGAGGGGTTCAAATGATACCAACACATAAAACGATAAACACGCAAGGTGATGGGTACTCCAGTTACCCTGACTTGATCATTATACATTCTTTGCATGTAAAAAACACTCACATGTACCCACATGTATGTAAATTATTCCATGTCAGTAAAAGGGGAAGAAAAAGAAAATATAGGAGACAATCTTTGTGATAATAGATTAGGCAAAAAATTCTTATATCTGACACTAAAAGGATAAAGAAAGAAAAAACACCATAAAGAAAAAAACTGGTAAATTGGACTTTGTCAAAATTAAAAACTTTTGCTCTTGCAAAGACCCAAGTTAAGAGTGTGAAAAGACAAACCACAGACTGAGAAAAAAATATTTGCAAAGCTTATATTTGATAAAGCATTTGTGTTAAGAATATATAAAGAATTCTCTGCTGGGCACAGTGGCTCATGCTTGTAACCCCATTGCTTTGTGCGTTGCCTTTTTGATTTCTGTTTCAGCTATTTCATAATTGGTGTCTGAAATTGCTACTGATTTCTGTATGTCAATTTTGTATCTGCAACTTTACTGAATGTGTTGGATCAGTTCCAACGGTTTTCTGGTGGGGTTCTTCTGTTTTTTCTAGATATAAGATTATGTTGTCTGGAAGGAAGGATATTTTGACTTCCTTTTTTCCAGTTTGAAAGACTTTTATTTCATTTTCTTGCCTGATGGCTCTGGCTAGGACTTCCAGTACTGTGTTGAATAGAAGTGGTGAAAGTGGGGATCCTTGTCTTGTTCTAATTCTTAGTGGAAGGGCATTTAATTTTTCCCCACTTAGTATAATGTTAGCTATGAGTTTGTCACATATGGGCTTTATTATTTTAAGGTGTGGTCCTTCTATGCCTACTTTGTTGAGAGTTTTTTTTTTTTTTTTATCATGAAGCGGAGTTGAATTTTGTCAAATGTTTTTTTCTGTGTCTATTGAGATGATCACATGGTTTCTGTCCTTTATTCTGTTGATGTGATGTATCATGTTTATTGATTTCTGTATGTTGAACCATCCTTACATCACTGGAATAAATCACACTTGATCATGGTGTATTTTCTTTTTGATGTGCTGTTGGATTTGGCTTGCCAGTATTTTGCTGAGGATTTTTGCATCTAAGTTCATCAGGGATATCGGCCAGTAGTTTTCTTTTTTTGTTGTGTCCTTGTCTGGTTGGGGTATCAGGGTAATGCTAGCCTCATAGAATGGGTTAGGGAGAATTCGCTCCTCTTTAATTTTTTTGAATAGTTTGGGGAGGTGCCATTGTCTACCAAATTCAAACACAAAATAAAGCCTTTAAATGAAAGAGGCCCATAGGTGACAATAAGGATCCCTGACACCCAATTCGCCAAGATCTCAAACAGGCTCTCTGACACTAGAAACTGAGATTTAGGTTTCCTCGACCACTTAGTAGCAGGGAAAACTGTTTCAGAACTATAGGTCATCTACACTCTCACCACTTCTATTCAACATAGAACTGGAAGTCCTAGCCAGAGCAATCAGACAAGAGAAATAAATAAAGGGCATCAAAATCAGTAAAGAGGGAGTCAAACTGTCACTGTTTGTTGATGATATGATCGTATATCTGGAAAACCCTAAAGACTCCTCCAAAAAAGCTTCTGGAACTGATACACAAATTCAGCAAACTTTCAGGATACAAAATTAATGTACAAAAATCAGTAGCTCTGCTATACACCAACAGCAACCAAGCTGAGAATCAAATCAAGAACTCAACTCCTTTTACAATAGCTGAAAAAATAAAATAAAATAAAATAAAATAAAATAAAATAAAATAAAATAAAATAAAATAAAATAAAATACTTGGACTATACCTAACCAAGGAGGTGAAAGACCTTTACAAGGAAAACTACAAAACACTGCTGAAAGAAATCATAGATGACACCAACAAATGGAAACACATCCCATGCTCATGGATGGGTAGAATCAATATTGTGAAAATGACCACACTGCCAAAAGCAATCTACAAATTCCATGCAATTTCCATCAGAATACCACCATCATTCTTCACAGAACTAGAAAAGACAATCCTAAGATTCATATGGAACCAAAAAAGAGCCCGCATAGCCAAAGCAAGACTAAGCAAAAAGAACAAATCTGGAGGCATCACATTGCCGGACTTCAAACCATACTACAAGGCCATAGTCACCAAAACAGCATGGTACTGGTATAGAAATAGGCACACAGACCAATGGATCAGAATATAGAACCCAGAAATAAAGCCACATACTGACACCTAACTGATCTTTGACAAAGCAAACAAAAACTTGAAGTGGGGAAAGGACACCCTATTCAACAAAGGGTGCCGAGATAATTGACAAGCCACATGTAGAAGAATGAAACTGGATCCTCATCTCTCACCTTATACAAAAATCAACTCAAGGTGGATCAAGGACTTAAATCTAAGACCTGAAACTATGAAAATTCTAGAAGATAACATCGGAAAAACCCTTCTAGACATTGGCTTAGGCAAAGACTTCATGACCAAGAACTCAAAAGCAAATGCAACAAAAACAATGATAAATAGGTGGGACTTAATTAAACTAAAAAGTTTCTGCACAGCAAAAGGAATGGACAGCAGCATAAACAGGCAAGTCACAGAGTGGGAAAAAGTCTTCACAATCTATACATCCGAAAGAGGACTAATATCCAGAATCTACAAGGAACTGAAACAAATTATCAAGAAAAAGACAAACAATCCCATGAAAAAATGGGCAAAGGACATGAATAGACAATTCTCAAAGAAGATATACAAATGGCCAGCAAACATATGAAAAATGCTCAACATCACTAATGATCAGGGAAATGCAAATCAAAACCACAATGTGATACCACCTTACTCCTGCAAGAATGACCATAATCAAAAAATAATAGATGTTGGCGGGGATGTGGTGAAAAGGAAACACTCTTACACTGCTGGTGGGAATGTAAGCAAGTACAAAGCACTAGTGCGCAACTAGTACAAACCGTGGAAAAGAGAAGTGTGGAGATCCCTTAAAGAACTAAAAGTAGAACTACCATTTGATCCAGCAATCCCACTACTAGGTATCTACCCAGAGGAAAAGAAGTCATTATATGAAAAAGATACTTGCACTTGCATGTTTATAGCAGCAAATTTTGCAATTGCAAAAATATGGAACCAGCCCAAATGCCCATCAATCAGTGAGTGGGTAAAAAAATTGTGGTGTGTATATATACCATGGAATACCACTCAGCTGTAAAAAGGAATGACATAGTGGCATTTGCAGCAATCTGGATGGAATCGGAGACCATTACTCTAAGTGAAGTAACTCAGGAATGGAAAACCAAACATTGTATGTTGTCGCTCATAAATGGTTGCTAAGCTATGAGGATGCAAAGGCATAAGAATGATACGGTGGACTTTGGGGACTTGGGGGAAAAGGTTGGGAGGGGGTGAGGGATGAAAGACCACAAATTGGGTACAGTGTATACTGCTTGGGTGATGGGTGCACCAAAATCTCACAAGTCACCACTAAAGAACCTAGGTAACCAAACACCACCTTTTCCTGAAAACCGTATGGAAATAAAATGAAAATGAACTATAGGACGTCTAATAATGGGCCATTTAAATGGCCCACAAGTATCCTTTTCTGGGTCAAATGCTGGGCCATTGATTTTCTATGGCTCTCCCACTAAATGGCCTCTCTACTTTCCCCAATCTTTGTCAATGGAATCGATAGCTCCATATAATAGAGACTTGGCCATCTTTGGTGCCACCCTCCAGGGTCATATGGCCATATACAACCCTGGTGGTCCATTGGTTCCCTCATAATACTCAACACTTTCTGGCCTTACTCAACACAGGTTCTCTGGTCACTTGGATTCCTGGGGATCCTTCCAAATTCAAGCAGAGGATTCTTTTTCACCAAGGTGGATTATAGGCTATAGAAGCAAGGGTATGCCACCCCCTGCCAGCCCTCACCATTGAGACCATTATTCTGTGTGATTTTTACCATGGTCATAGCACCCATCAAATTCGCCAGCCTGATCATTTGCACTGATGCCCTGACTCAAAGGACAACAGGATGGGTCAAACTAAACACGGTTGTGTTAATTATTGGAGCCAAATGGACCCCAGTAATACTTTCCATATGGGTGAAATTTGTCAATCCCCACAAATATATGAATATATTTGGACTCCAAGTCATGGATTCCCAACTCTGATTCCCATTTCCTGAGCACAACCTCCATACTGCATTTCTGTGTCCTTTTTTTTTTTTTTTTTTACCCAAATGCAATCCACAAAGAGTTGACACCTGGACCCAAGGCAGGATAATACACTGGGATCCTCTGGCCATAGATGGAACAGTGAAATATCCAACATGACTTTTCTACTTTTTCTGGAAAGCAGGCACTACCACTTTCTAAGGCTTTCCACAGTTATGATGGATTTAAAGGTTAGCTAATTACAGGCCCTTCCCAACAGGAAATAAAAGTGTTGGCCTATAGACCCATGCCTACCACCATGTAGATCTTGCAGAAAGGAGAGAACGATGGCTATCACTGGCCTAGCTATGCCTGATATGGCTGGTGGCTTGGATCTGGGACACAGTTTCCCCTACTCAATGCCAGGCTACCAAGGCAGTATTGCACCCACAGTGTCATCTCTATCCGTAGTGTACAACTAGTCCTCTGCAAAACCATTGACTAGGCATATGAACAGTATCCAGACCAGCCATCAGGATGAATAAAAAATAATGTGGTCCTACACTGGTTGTGCTCCCTGGAGCTACCTTTAGCGTAGTTATGATGATAGACTTTCTGACCTTGACCTGTGCCTCCAAGTCCTGGATTTGGCTCAAGAGTCATACTGGCCCTGGGAGGCCATCGCCACATCCTGGATGATGACTACAGCCCAGCCAACCAAAGTATCTCAAAGGATGACCACAGTCCAAACAACCACCACCTTCTAGACTCCTGGGTTATAACCCTCTCCTTCCCCATCCTCCTCATTGTGTGCATAAAACCACACTTTTAAGACCAGCCTCACTAGAGTTTCCATACCCACCCTAGGAGAACAAAGCCCATTTCCACTAAGGCTAAAACCTTGTCCCCGTGTGCCTCCTGAGGCAAGGCTACTGCTTGAGGCTACCTACCCCCTGTGATAATCTGTGTGTATACATAGCTGAAGTTACATCCCAAAGGCTGGACCTCACACAATGCCAGGCCTGCTTCCTGCCCCCAGGAACAGACCCCCCCCTCTTATTTGCTGACCCAAAGCTCATGAAACAAACCCATAAAGCCATCCATAGCAAACGTTATCGTTTTAAGGCCGTGGGTTTCCCTCTATGCTGTCCAGGTCCAGATCAAGGGGATGCTGATGTATCAGGTCTGGTCCCAGGCCCATGATTGCAGGTCAGGCACCTATCCAAATGCATGTGCTCCTATTTGTTTGCCTATGCCCACACAGCATAAGCAGACATAATACCCCACATAATAAAGGAACCTCCAGGTAAACCTGAGAGTGGCATGTGCCAGTCTCCTAGATAACTCCCGCCTGCTAAGCTCACTCTTAGAAATCTCGCCTGCACATTGCTAACACTGCTCTTCCTCACTCCACTCACTCCTCAGCCGCCCCTGCACTCTGTGGGCTGTCAGAAATTGGTCCATTCCCCCTCCCCCGACACTATTAAAAACTCCTACAGGGGGGCTCCTTATCCTGTATATATTTCCAGGTGCTCCACTCCCTCCCCCACACCTCCCTCTCCCTTCCTCGGGGACGCCCCTCACTTTAACTACCCCCGGGTGACTAATACACCTTTGAAATACTTGAGATAATTGCTGGCTCTGGTGTGGAGTGTGTTGACACTGATACCTTTAAAAGGAGGGGAGCAGCAGACCTGGCAGCTAGCCAGGTCATCGGGCTGTACCACCGTCAATAGGAGAATAAACACACTGTGATGTACTCGTACAATGGAATACTACTCAGCAATAAAAACTAACAGACTGTCAATGCACACAACAACAAGGATGAATCTCAAAAAACGTTAAGTTGAGCAAAAGAAGCCTGAAAAAAATGAGCACTGTGGCTCAGTTTCTATAAAGTTGCGGAAGAGGCAAAATTAATCTGCGGTGATAGAAATCAGAAAAGGGGTTGCCGCTGGAGGGATGGGTGGATACTGACTGACTGCGAAGCAACGCAAGGGAACTTTCTGGGGCGATTGAAGTCGTCTCTATTCTGATCTGTGTGACAGTTACCAAAGTGAATGCATTGGACAAAAATCAGCCATCTCTATACTTAACCATTTGGATTTGTGCATTTTTGTGCATGTAATTTATGCTCCCAATTTAAAGTGCTGCCAGTATAAGAAAAGGAATAAAACAAAAAAAAAATTGCTACCCCAACTTTCTTTTTGTTTTATATTGTTTTCCACACTTTTGTTCTCAATCTTTCTGTTTTTTATTTTTATTTTTTATTTTTTTGATGTAAACGTGTTTCTTGGTTCTCATTTTAAAAATCCAACCTGAGGGTCTCTTTTAATTGGTGAATGTAGCAGATTCACAATTACATTTACTGTAATTATTTTGCATTAAGACTTACTCACGCTGTGTTATTAGGCCATATATGAACAACCCATAGCCCAACAGCCTGAGATCTATTTGGAAGCTTCAATGAACAGAGCTGGGATGGAACTATATGGGTGACCCTTGTTTCCTGACCAGGGTCAAACTGAACTTGCCAGTTGAGAATTTTCTTATGGACGGAACAGAATAGGACATGCAGCTAATCTTACGCATTTCTGAATAGTAAGAACTCAGAGGGGAACTTGCCATGATGTAAATTATGTGTATGATAAAGATATCCTAATTAGAACAGTGTTGTGCTGGCTCTTGAGATAAATAGGTCAACAGAAAAGAACACAAAACCCAGAGACAGACCTTTGCATGTAGGGAATTTGATAAGTTTAACATTTGTTGGCACTGCAAGTCAGTGTTGCAATGATGGACATTTGATAGAAAGTACGTACTTCCAACCCCCCAAATAGAAAGCCCCACTCCAAAGGTGACCACTCTTAGGCCGGGCGCGGTGGCTCACGCCTGTAATCCCAGCTCTCAGGGAGGCAAGAGGCGGGAGGATAGCTTGAGCCCAGGAGTTCGAGACCTGCCTGGGCAATATAGCGAGACCCCATTCTCCAGAAAAAGGAAAAAAACAAAAAACAAAAAACAAAAGACAAAAAAAAAAAAAATAAGCGTAGCAAAGGTGACCACACTTAAAAGGTTGATGCGTATCCTTTTAGACCTGTTCTATGCTTTTACACTAGTGTATTTTTACCCACAGAAATGTATGATTGAGTTTTGCTTTGTCTGACTAAATGATGACAATCCTATATATTGTTCCTCAACATTTTAAAACTCAAGAATAGATGTTTTTTCACGTCATACCTGTAAATCTTCCTTAATCTTTCAACTTACACATGGTAGTTAGTCACAGTGTAGTTTTTAAAAGCATTCTCTTATTGATGAATATTTCTGTTATTTTCAATTTTGGTAACCATTATATACAAGACAGCAATGACAATTCTTGCACACATCTCCTTGTGCATAGGATTGGGTGGTTCTCTAGGATTAGGGTTGCCAGAGTTAGCAAATAAAAGTACAGGAAACCCAGTTACATTTGAATTTCTTAGCATTTAGTAAGTGTTTTAGTGTAAGAATGCCTCAAATATTGCATACAGGACACACTTACACTAAAAAAGTATTTGCTGTGGATCTGAAATTCAAGCTTAACTGGGAGTCCATTATTTTATTTGGTACCAATATGAAGGATGAATACCTATAAGTGAATTTTTGTTGTTGAGTGTATACGCATTTAAAATTTTACAGCTGATTGACAGTCTTTACAATTGTGTTTTGCCATATTTGATATGAATCTACTTAAAAATGGATTTGCTGTATGTTGGGTAAATAATTGTATCTCTTTGTCGTTTTATGAGTATTTCCCTGATTGTTGGTGGGATCAAAGAATTTTTTTTTTTTTTTCGATTCCCCTGCCTCAGCCCCCTGAGTGGCTGGGATTACAGGCGCGCACCACCACGCCTGACTAATTTTTGTATTTTCAGTCAAGGCAGGGTTTCACCCTGTTGGCCAGGCTGGTCTCGAACTCCTGACCCCAAGAGATCTGCCCTCCTCAGCCTCCCAAAGTGCTGGGATTACAGTTGTGAGCCACTGTGCCCGGCCTGAAGATTTTGTTTTTTTTTTTTTTATTATTATACTATAAGTTCTGGGGTACATGTGCACAACATGCAGGTTTGTTGGCCATCTGAATTTCTGACTCTGGGGAGTAGGTCCATAAGTTTTGCCCGTTTTCTACCTTTTCTTTACTTTTTTAGAGCGGGCCAGTGTGAGCAGTGTGTGGGGCGGTAAAGGGAGGCAGGGCATAGGCCTATGCTGCTGCAGAGAGAAGCAGAGAGAGAGCATGAGGAGAAGGAAGCTTGAATGCGTCACTCAGCCTGAGTATGCCTAGCAAGCACACTGCTCTCAGCTTGGGTCATCCTCTGGTGGCCCCTCTTCAAAAGTGTAAAGCATTTTGGCCTTGGCTTTTCCCCTTTCCTTGGCCTGCAGAGGCCCTCTCAGGTCTGTCTGTGGACAGAGTAGTGGATTGGATAGCTTTTTGAGGAGGTTGGGTGACTTTGTCGTGGGGAGAACAGAGAACAGTTGTGAACAAATACTACAGTGGGGAGCGTTCCAGGGAACAGAGCTCTCCTTCACCTCACAGGCTAAAACCCTCCACATGGCCAGCAGTTGGGTTCAGCGGGCAATGTAGAGAGGATTCTATAGTACTTACAGTATCTTAATGAGAGTCTGCAGCCAAAGACTCACCAAGGACAGTTTTAAAGAAATCTGTATGATTCCCACTACTGTGTGTTGCAATGATTTCTTTTTTCTTTTCTTTCTTTCTTTCTTTTTTTTTTTTTGAGACAGAATCTCTCTCTGTCACCAGGCTGGAGTGTGCAGCGGCACGATCTCAGCTCACTGCAACCTCTGCCTCCCAGGTTCAAGCGATCCTCCTGCCTCAGCCTCCCGAGTAGCTGGGACTACGGGCACACGCTACCACGCCCAGCTAATTTTTGTATCTTTAGTAGAGACGGGGTTTCACCACGTTGGCCAGGATGGTCTTGATCTCCTGAACTCGTGATCCGCGTGCCTCGGCCTCCCAAAGTGCTGGGATTACAGGCGAGAGCCACTGTGCCCTGCTCATTGCAATGATTTCTAATGCATATCTCTTGTTTGTGTTGTCTGCATTTTTCCAGGCTTCTTTAAATATAAAAAGCCCTTATGGAAGCAAAACCATGTGAATAATTTGATCGATAATGACAAGACGTTTGATGAAATTTAAAGTACATTTGCAAACAAGAAGAAGAAGAGGAAGAAGATGAAGGAGGAGGAGGAGGAGTCGGCGGCGAAGGTGAAGAAGAAAAGAAAGCCTGCTAGAAAGTTTGGTTTAGAGGGAAACATCTCCAGGTTGATAAGTGGTATGTGAGTCGGGGCCCAACCAGGAGACGGAAACCGTGCAGGTTATTTGGACAGAGCACAGTGAGTAGAAAACATGGCTAAGTGGTAGAAGGGGGTTACCTCCTAAAAGGCACAAAAGAGAACTTTAAGGGGTCCAGGAGTAGCAGTTGCAAAAGAGCAGCTACTACCTCTAGGATGAGGAATAGCAGGCAATAAAGGAGTAGGAGAGTTCACCGTTCCTCCCGAGCTGAGAATCAGACCTCTTTGAAGAGGATGTAGCTGCCAAAAGAACTTGCAGCCTGCCAGTGGTGTCGAAACTTACCAGAGAGTGTGGGCCTTTGCTGGTCTGTAGAAGAGACCACCAAGGCAGGAAGGTGGTGGGTGGTGGTGGTGCATGGGAAGGCTGGAGCTGCTCAGAGGCAACTGATAGTGGGGAAATCATGGTCTGGAGGTGCAGCTGGAGCTTGTCTGCACTGGTCTCTG
This sequence comes from Homo sapiens, assembly GCF_000001405.40. Classification (NCBI taxonomy): domain Eukaryota; kingdom Metazoa; phylum Chordata; class Mammalia; order Primates; family Hominidae; genus Homo; species Homo sapiens. Next base: position 72,946,207 of record NC_000023.11, on the reverse strand, counting down.
ACCTCCTTCAGTGAATATCATCAAACGGGAGACTGCTACTAGCAGGAGGGACGAATTTTCCTGCTGGGATTCGTAGGGTCACCCCCAGTGCTCTCTATGGCCAGAGCCTAACATTCTGTTAGCTGGCATAGGAGAAAGACTCACAAGGATCATCTCTAGTGTGACAAAGCAGGGCAAAGAAGGAGTAACTTGGACCTGACAGACAACACGTTGATAAATGTCACAATCGGTATCCAAAACCAACAACATATTTAGCCCCAAATGAACGGAGTCCTTCCCGTTAAGAGTGGGAACAAGGACAACAAAAAAGTTTCACATCACCGCTATTAGCTAACAGGGTACCACGGTCCTAGTCAATGTAATAAGAAAAGGGAAAATGAATACTGTATTAATAATATGCAGAGACTGTGATTGCCTACCTAGAAAACGCGCGAGAATCCACTGAAAAAGCATTCTAATTAAGGAGAGGGGATATTAAGATGGCCGTATGCCCCAAAGTATACAAAACCAGTAGGCTTCCTATATGTCAGAAATAAGTAATTAGAAGACATAATGGGAAATACACAATTCATAGCAGCAATGAAACTAAAAAGACTGCCATGGACAAACTTAAGAATTATGCAAAAGCTATATAAAGCAAACTAAAAGGTGATTGAAGTACCCTGATTAAAGAGCAGAATCAATGGAAGAACATGAAGAACATGCTATATTTTGTGGCTGAGGACCCTCCATCTTCTCATGTTAATGAGATGTTAATTATTCTCATAGTAAACTATAAGTCCTAAGAAATTCTAGTTAAAATTCAAGCCAGGGAATTTTTTTTAACTTGAAAACTTTGATTTTGAAGTTCTTACAGATGACGACATTTTCCAAAATATTTTGAAGAAATTTTGTAAAAGAAGAATAGTGAGGGGGGAGTTAGTTCTACTCACACAAAAACAATTTCTAAATCTTTATAGCAGAATTAGCAACAACAGAATTTAGATCAATGGAAGAAATTTGAAGTGCAAGCGTGGACATTATATGGAAATTTAGTACGTGTTATTTCGAGGTATAACAATTGCTGTATAAAAGTCGACCGTAATCCCAGCACTTTGGGAGGCCGATGAGGGCGGGCCTGAGGTCAGGAGTTCAAGACCAGCGTGGCCAACATGGCAAAACCCCGTCTCTACTAAAAGTACAAATATTAGCCGGGCGTGGTGGCGGGCGCCTGTAATCCCAGCTACTCAGGAGGCTGAGGCAGGAGAAGCTTGAACCCAGGAGGCGGAGGTTGCAGTGAGCCAAGATCGCACCACTGCACTCCAGCCTGGGTGACAAGAGCGAGACTCCGTCTCAATAGCAGCAATAACAACAACAACAACGACGACGACGACGACGTCGACCGTTTTGTTATGTGTGAGGAGGCTATACTGGTTACTGTCTAGAAAGGTTAGGATGAAAGAAAGGAATGCTAAGTTGTACCACGATACAATAAGAGAATGCACTTGCTAGGGTGGAGGAGTCTTCTTGCTATTTATTTGCAGGCTTCCTAGGGGCTGACCTCAAAGCAGGAGTCGATTTAAGGTCCCCGAATCGCAGATGAGAGGTGAAATGGGAGAGAGCGCTCTGTAGAGAAAGGATGAGGCGCAGTGACATGAGAGTAAGAGAGGCAAGAAGAGGATGTCATTATGGGAATGGTGGTTTGCAAAGTTAGATTACAATTAACAATAACTTTCCAGACTGTGTAGGAGAGAAAGAATACGCAAGAGAACTGATGTTGTGCACCCCAGATCCACTGATCATAAAGAAAAGGAAACACATCTTCAGTTCTCCATGGAGGTCACTTGTTTCCCGGGTCCTTCCTCCACATCTAGATGACCACACAGGGTGCAAGCAATGTAGATGCGATGTACACTATAATAATGAAACGAACGCAAAGGAAAACTCACTAAGTGCTTACTCTAGGCCAGGCACTGAGCAAAGCAACTTCAGGTAGATGATCTGAAGAGGAAGCTGCAGAGGCAGCCGCTGGACAGAAATGCCTACGCTCTTAGGAGCCTTCTCCACAGGAGAGAAGGAGGGATACGAAGATAATCCAGAATGATCGGATTCATCACAACAACAGGTAACAGTTATTAAGCGCTTACACTGGGCCTGGCTTTTAGGCTTATGGTCTCTTTCAAGCCTCACATGAGCAGCCCCACCTCTGGGAGCAGCGCCCCCGCATCCCTCAGGCTGTAGCCTGCGGTACTGTTTTCTGCCAGAAGAGGCACTGCGGGGCGGCGCCCGCCCATTCCCACAGCTCCGGGAAGACCCGGGCGGCGGAGGCTTAGCCCCCTCCCCTCCCGCTTCTTCCTCCTCCTCCTCCTCCTCCTCCTCCTCCTCCTCCTCCTCCTCCTCCTCCTCCTGCTCCTCCTCCTCCTGCTCCTCCTCCTCCTCCTCCTCCTCCTCCTCCTTCTCCTCCTCCTCCCGGTCTGAGGGCGGCGGTCTCCGACTCAAGACCCTGGGGCTCCGGGTCTTCTTAGCAGCCGCCGCAGCAGCCGCGGCGACGTCACTGTCCTCTCGGCCTGGCACACAGCGCTCCGGCCGCCGAATGCCCGTGGACGCGCATCTCTTCCCAGAGTTCCTGCTTCCTGGGCCAGCCAAAGCCGCAGGTGAGAACGTCCGCGGTAGAGGTGACACCCAGGGCCTGCGGGTCTCAGAGGCCCGGTGGCCTGCTCCTCTCCTCCTTGCCCAAGAAACCCCCACGGGGGCGCCTGCAGCGGGGACACCAAGTGCTCCCCGGAGCCCTGGGAGCACTTCTTCTGAGGCATGGAGCCCCTGCTCAGGTGCTTCTGAAAGTTCCTTTGTGGACCCCAGAAACCCCTAGGCAACTGTCTGCCCCGCCCCGCGCCCCCGCCGCCCCCCGCCCCCGCAGTACCCCTCCGGCCCCCGACATCCCTGATGCGCATGCCCAGGGGCCCTGTGAGCTAGAAAGTAGCTGAGCTGGTGCAGTACCTGCTGGTTAAGAACCGGAAGACGGTGGCGATCAAAAGGGCAGACATGCTGAAGTATGTCATCAAAAGGTACAGGAGCTTCCTCCCTGAGATTTTCAAGAAAGCCTCTGACCTCCCCGAGTTAGTCTTTGGGTTCTATCTGAAGGAACTTGATCCAGCAGAGCACTCCTATGTCTTGATCAGAAAAATCGATCCTGCCCTGGTTTGGGGCCTGACAGGCGACCAGGGCACACCAAAGACCCGGCTCCTGATGATTACTCTGGACTCGATCTTCATGCAGGCCAGCTGTGTCCCCGAGGAGGTGGTCTGGGAGGTGTTGAGGGTGTTGGAGGCACATTTCGTCTAAAAAGCATTTCGTCTTTGGGGAGTCCATGAAGCTCATCACCAAAGCTAGTGTGCAGCAGGAGTATCTGGTGCACAAATAGGTGTCCCACAGCAATCCCACGCTCTAGGTATTCTTGTGGGGGCTCTCAAAGGAAACAAGACAGATGGAAGTCCCGGAGTTTGTGGCCAAAGTGAATGACACCCACCCCAGTTCCTTTCCGTGGCAGTAAATGAGGCATTGAGAGAAGAGGAGGAGATACCCCGTGCCCGAGATGGCAGCTGCCGTTGGTGACGTGACAAGTGCCAGTGTTAGTGCCAGTTCCAGTTCCAGGGCCTATGCCATGGCTGAAGCAAGCATCAGCACCAGCACCAATGCAAGTGCCAGTTGCCAGTGCCAGGGCTAGAGCCATGGCTGGAGCAAGTATCAGTACCTGGGACAGTGCCAGTGTGGTTGCAATCTCAGGCTAGTGTCAGGGACTCCTCCTGCCAGCAGTGAAGGCTGGGGCTGAGTCTTCACTTTGTTTTGCTGTGGGTAGTCAAAAGGGCCCCACAGCAGTGGGTGCTGGGGTCCTGACTTTTCAAGAGTCGAGGGGTAGAGTGGGGTTAGGGAGAACCTGCCGCCCATGGTATCTGTGTTCCAGTTCTATTTGTCTTTCTCAGTGATTTAGCTTTCAATTTGCATACTGCAAAGTTTTGTTTGCCTTAATTAACTTTCTTTTATAATGATGATCATTTTACAGGAAATAAACTGGTTAAAACTACATGATGACAGAATTATATCAGAGTTGAAACAAACGCCATACCTAAGCATTTTTTTCAAAATCCTTTGTTCCATAGACACTTGATTGAGTACTTAAGTTGAACATCTAGGTCTATGAATGACGTTGGTCAAATGTTTTATTGTTCTCTGTTTCGGTTTTAGCAGGAGAGATTTGCTGTTTCATAAAAGAAATTGGGAGAGTATATCATTTTATGCCTGTAACTTATTATAGCATTGGAATAAGCTGTTCTTTGGAGGTTTGAGAGACTTTACCAGTACAATCATTCCCCCCCTCCCCCAAATATAAAAAGATAAAATAAAAAGCCGGTCAGTGTCTGTTGCACAAAATTACAACCGCTCTCTGCTTGTATTTGCCTAGTTCTCCAGAATGTAGGGAAAAATAAAAATTCAATGAATTAGACACCTTGCTCATCGACTCATTTATTCAACATACATTTACTGACTACCTACTATATGTGAGGCACTGTGCCGGGCGCTGGAGATAGAGGAATGCACCAGACTCAGCCTCTGCCCCACATCTGAGAGTCTAGATGGGGCTGTCATGTAAGTAAATCAGCCAGATGTGGCAGTTTGATGTATTAATTGCCGGGATGAGGATAAGGACCAGGTGGTATGGGAGCCCGGAGGAGAGACACTTAACCCTGGGTGGTGGATGTCTGGGAACAAGGAAGGCTTCCTTGTAGTGAGATGCCATCTGAGATCTGAAGCACTGAAGGAGTAGTAAGTGCAGTGTGTCCCCGAGGCAGGGTATTGTGGGCATCGGGAGCATTCCATGTTCTTCAGTGGAACTGGAAGGTTAGAATTTGGGGAGACTGGGGAGAGATGATCTGGGGGTGGGGACCTGTACAGGAGCCAGGATCCTCAGTTGGTGGACTTCACAGCTGAGAGATTAAAAAATAATAGTAATAAAGTAAACGTGTAGTGGAAAGTGACTCTTTGGAAAGCAGCTGCTCTTGGCTCTTGGATGAGCCAGAGAAAAGACTCCACCTGTGGCATGCCTAGAAGCTGTCCTGGCCTCCTGTCCCTGTGCAGTTTCTACAGTGCACACAGCAGGTGCTTTACATTCAGCATCCGTAAGGAGTGATGGGCAAGGGGGTAAGTGTTGCACTCACCGGAGCTGATTCCCAGAAGCTACTGAGCAGATGTTCGCCCCTGAAGCCTGGGAGAGACAGAGCTCAGTGGGTTATATGACTACGGTTAGTTGTTGTTGTTGTTTTAAGAAACAAAGGCCTAGATGTTAGAATGGATAAGTTATCCTGTTTATACAGAGGGAAAACTGTTTGTAGGGGTGAGAGATAAGTCTAGACTAGCCTGGAGCGAAGCCAGGAAGAGCCTTGATGGCTCAAACCTGATTTGGCTGGCCCAGGAAGCTATGGAGGTTTCCTGAGCAGGGAAGGATCTGATGAAGGCCAAACCCTACCAAAATTACAGTGGCCAGCACCAGCGTGGTTTTCAAAGGACCAGTATTCTCCATGCCTTAGAATGGTCCTGGTGGGTATAGTGATCATAATAACTAGCCTAAAATTATCTTCAGTTCTTAGAGATTGACATGCATGTTTTACATCCCTGCCCGTTGGCCTTGCAAAGCCTTTTTGTGCCCTTCGTCACAAACACTGTGGGATCCTGGCACCAGTTCTCTCAGGGCCTACCCTAGGATATGTAGGATCCAGAGAATATTACACTGTAACCCCTCACTTGCATTCCTCTGCTGGCGTCAAGGAAAGGCTGGAGGTGGTGGTGGTGGTGGGGTGGTGCAGTGGGGGTGGGGGTATCATAATGTGAAAACATGCAATCTGAGGTGAATGGGGAAAGGGTTTTGGAAGGGCTCTGTCTTAGTTTGGGGTGGGGATAGTTGGAGCTGATTATGTGTACCTCAATCTGAGGCCTTTCCTCAAAATCCCGAGCCGCCTGCTCTCCATTTGAAGCCAATAAACATTGTCAGTTATGAAGGGTATATGCATTTGGGCAGGGAGAGATGATATTTTTTCTGCATTGTTACACTGAATTGCCCTCCTCAAGGCCATAGCAAGATACCTGTGGAAAAAGCATTGTCTATAGGTCACAGTCCTAACAGGTACTTAGGAAGAAGCAATGCTGTCCCATGACTATAACCACATACATGAGTCCAGATACGTATGTATGTCTTAAGCTCCTCTCCATCTCCAACAGCCAACCCTATCCCGATTAAATATCTTTCTCAAGAGGTGTAAAAAGATATTGACCCATAAAACCACCAAACACTTCCAGATTTATTTCAGTCTTAATGAGAGAGAAGCAAGAGAATGTGCCAGCAGGGAGGATGGGTCAGCCTCCTGTGGGAGTGGGTCCTCGAGAGTGTTGCTGTCCCCTGGGCATGCTGAGACACTAGAGCTGCCCAGCCTGCAAAGCTGAGGACCCCACTCTGGGAGCACCCGTGGGACTCAGCTCCTCATTCAGAAAGTGAACAGATCAATGTAATTTGACGTGGGCCTCTGTGAGGTCCTCCCACCCATTACTGTGTGTCTGAAAGGCCCGCCGTCTCTCCATTGACCTTGGTGATTGCTTGTGTTGCAATTTCTAACAGGTTAAAGGAACAAGTATGCTCCAACCCCCTTTGTAGAATTCTCCTGCTGATACTGTGTTGCAGCACATATCAAGGTCACCTCAGGAAGGCAAAAGAAAGAAAAAATGAAGCCCTCCTCTTATGAAAACGAGCAACGCGTAGGTGGAGACGAGGTCGTCTGTTGGAAGGGCTCTCTCTCTTGCGGTGGGGTAGGGGGGCCTGGGAGCTCTTTGTCAGTTTAGGGGTTAATGCCTTTTCTGAGATCCACAGATTCTTCCTCCACATGACCCTCCCGCCTCTGCATATAAACACTGCCCAGTTTTCCTCCGATATGAAGACCGTGCGCATTGCTGGGGGAAGAGAGATGTTATTCCGTCGTCATTCCTGCATGTAAGTGCCTCACCAGGGTCCGAGCTGCCAGCTGTGGAAAACTCACCATTGATTGGCCACAGCCCATCGCCACCAGGACCCAGGAACAAGCAGCGCTGCCTCGAGGAGGAGGGCGGACAGCCTAACAGGGCTCAGGAAGATGCTAGCTCTCTCCCTCCACAACCCCACCACCACCAAAGCTGACCACTCCCACTTCACCCGACGTGTTGAAAGTTACATCAAATGCCACAAAGCAAAAACAGTCAAGCGTGCCAGCATTTATTTCAGGCCTGGTGACTGGGACACTGCGGCGAGCAGGGGCATGGAGCAGCAGAAGGGGCTTGGTCACCGTTCATGGCTCTGTGTCTGTGGCTCCGGTGGTCTCAGATTCCGAGTGCCCGGTATCCTCCCCTAGGGAGGAAAGCAGAGTGACAAGTGGACCCTCGGGAGCCCTGGGGATTTCTGGCTTGGCCTGAGGTTCTCTTGGTGGAACAGGAAGGGGAGGCGGATGGGCTTGGTGGCGAGCAGTGAGAGAGGCAGAGGCGTGCTCCGAAGGAGCTCTCACCTGAAACACTTGGTGAAACATGCCAGGGCTCTCTGGAACCGGCTCCTCCAAGACCCTCGCAGAAGAGCAGGTTCCCTGGGCAAGCCTGTGCCACCGGATGGGTCCTCCGTGGCGTCAGACACAGCCACCCATTCCTCAGGGTCGTTTTGCAGCCCTTTCACATTCTGAAAGACAGACTAAATAGCCAGATCCTAATGCTCCCTCCCATCCCTGGCTTCCTTCACCCCACCCAGCAACTATTGTGTGTGTCTCTGGCCCTCTTGCAGGGGCTGGGGATGCAGCAGTGACCTGCACAGACCAAAGCCCAACCTCCTAGGGGACATTCCAGGACAATGGAGGGAAGCCAGACTCACCAGGTCAGCAGGTGGAAGGAAGGGAGTGAAGATCATGCTTCCAGGAGTGTGTGATGTGCCGGTAGGGACCGACAGGACTTCGTTGAAGACACCGGCGAAGCTCGTCACTCTGCCGGGTGCAAAGAGGCCGAGGGCCTGCCCCCTCCACGCCCCATTCAGCCCCTCTGCCCCTGCCCCATCGTCCCTCCCTCCTACAGCCTTGTGCTCCAGCAGGGGATACATTTCTGGTATGTCACATTCCGTCTGTTCCTGTGTTTCTTACTCCCACTCCTCCAATCTTTCTTTCCTTTGTTTCTTCCTCCTGGCCCTCCCAGCAGGCTCGAGTCACGCTTCTGCTTGCTGAGCAGAACAGCCCCGAGGGTCCTCCTCGAGAGAACATGATGTGTAGAGGTCTTCTACAGGTAGCTCATTTTATTTGGCCATGAATGGTTCATTGCATGCCAAGGTCACACATGGTCCTAGTTTGCCATGAGTGGGACCATTCCGGTTTTAAAACTTAAAGGCCCCTGTCCCGGGAAAGCTCTCAGTCCCAGGGAAACTGGAACTACTTCATTCATGTGGACACTATTGTCACATTACTGTGCACTGTTTTTCTCACATTTAACAGTTGGACCTTGTAGATGAAATTGTAAGAGTGATCCTGATACCTAAGAAGTAGACATTTATGAGTAATCGATGTGTATTGAAGGCTCTGTATATCTTCATAGTGTGGAGGTAAATGCAGCATTATGTGTTTGCCCCTGAATACATATCCACTAAAAGCCTATGATTGGACCTCAGCCATCACATCTGCTCTTGGGGTGTCACACCAGAGTTCTAGATGGACCCAGAATTGCAGAGAGACAAGGTCAGGGGAAGGAGCCGGGAAAGAGGTTAACAAGACCACAGATGCTGCAGATGGGACTCACACGAAGATGTCCTTCCCACCAGCCAGGCCATCGCTGGCTTTGTAAGGTAATGAGATTAGCAACATTAGAGGTGCTGAAACACAGCCTGAGTGGTCACTTGTACCGTATGCTGCAGAGAGGAGGGTTCAAATGGTTTCAGACAGCCCTGTGATTCATAGGATTCGTGTGCAAATCAGAGGTAAAGAGCCCTTAGCTTTCATGTAAATACGTAATTCCCTCTGACGTGTACAAAAATTCTCCTCAAAATCTTGTGAATTTCCAGGCAAGTGTTGTGAAATACTTAGAAACTCCTCCAAGAAGTGAGCAGGTCTCATTGTCTGTCCTATCTCCCTTTTCTCTCCTTGAATCTACTCCAGTTAGGCTTTCTCCTACACCACTCCACTGAAACTTAGGAGTTAATTGAACATGAACCAATGAACAAGTGAAAGTAATGTTTCTTATAGTTGTATATGACTAGCTATGTGATTAAAATGACCAAACCGGCAAGTTGTATTTAAATGCTTAATAAAAGCTAGGTTTAAATTGTTAACTTAAAAAATGAATAGAAATGAAGACCCAAGTAACTACACTGTCATCTCCCAGCACAACTTTCATTCTCATATAAAGAAACTCATTTTCTAAGTAGGAAGGTTGTTCCAAACTGCTGGAAATTCCCAGGAAGAAAGGCCCAGGTTTTATGGAGCTTCCACCTGTTTCCTTGTAGACGCAGCCAACTGCCACCAGGTGGCAGAACAAGATGAGAAAACCGTGCCCCACGGAGTCCCTGAGCCCCTGCTGCTGCAGTTTTTGAGTGAGTTTTCTCAGGGGCTGGAATCACTCCTGGGGAACCATCCCAAGGTTCTGCCCTCTTAAGCTATTCCAGGGTGCACCCAGGGCCTGGTCCAGGGTTTCTGACGTCTATGATGACGCTTAAGGCAGTGACATCGATCAGCCGGGCCTCTGGGCTAGGAGACCCAGTTCACCTCCTCATTAGTAACCCTGGGATGTGGTAGTAGGTGGCTTTAGGCAGGATGAGGGGCCAGTTGTATCTGTCAGTATGTCAGGGTAGTGACATCTGTGATTCTGCAGGGACATTTGAACAGCAGGGAATCAGAAACGCCAGAAAGTGAGGGTCCGCAACACAAAACCTTGCCAACTGCTGTGGACTGAATTGCGTTCCCCCGCCCTGCAATTAATATATTGAAGCCCCGACCCCTAATGGGACTGTATCTGGAGCTAGAGGCTTTAGGAGGCAATTAAGGTTAAATGAGGTCATAAGGGTGGAGCCCTGCTCCTACAGGATTAGTGTCCTTATGAGAAGAGACGCCACAGAGCTCATTGTATCTGTCAGTATCTCGAGGTAGTGACAACTGTGCTTCTGCAGGGACATTTGGGTAGCAGGGAGGTCTCTTCTTCTCTGCACTGCATGCACCCAGGAAAGGCCATGTGACGTCTTAGCAAGAAGGAGGCAAACCATGAGGAGAGCCTTCAGCAGAAACCAAATCGGCCAGCACCTTGATCTTGGACTTCCCAGCTGGCAGAACTGTGAGAAAATAAATGTCTGTTGTTTAAGTCACCCAGCCTGTGGTATTTTGTTATGGCAGCCCGAGCGGACTAATACACCAACCTAGCGGTTTTTCAAAGAAAGGAGTCCCGGGCTGGCCCAGGAGGCCAGGCTGCTCAGTCCCCGAAGCCTGATGGCAGGTGAGGTGGACAACCCTGTTGTCCCGCCCAGTAACATTTCCTTTTTTTTTTCTGAATCTCCTTTGAGAAAATAAGCTGCCTCTGTGCAACTGCCTTGAATGGACCCAGAGTTCTGCAAAGAGTCAGGGAAGGGCTGTGAGTGATGGTGATAAGACCCGCCCCGCACCACCCTGTGGATGGATGGGATTTATATCGAGAAAGGCTACGAGGTCAGCCCCTCGTAGCTTTATACCATGTCTCCCTCAGCTGAGATTAAACAAGTGTGTAGGGATTCAAGAAAAAGTTGATTTTTTAATTTGGAGTGGTTGTTACAGGGAGTAGGGGTCAACTGGATTTTGCCAGCCCTGAGATTGAACTGGATAAATTACAGGTAAATTATATGTGTGAAAGCACTGGGTACATGAGAGGATCTCAATACAATTTCGTTGACTTGCACGCAAGTTTCGCAGAAGCTCCTGCAAGAGGCGAAGTGATTCTTATTATGACAAATAATAACAGTTTCTTTTTATTAAAGACCTAGTAAGTACAGGTATATCACCTGTTTACAATACTGTCTTATTTATGCAAATAATCCTCGTGTATGAAAACAATACAGACAAAACAATAGTCTCCCTTGTCCACCCCTCTCCGTCACCAGCCCCCTCAGCAATGGTTTAATGTGTTTCCTCAAAAATTCCTCAATCGATGCATTTACATACACATACATGCACTAATAGAAACATACGCTTGTCTTTTATGGGGCCATAAGATACAGACTGGCTCAGGATGCACGTATTGTGTGGCACTTGATTTTTGCATTTTACAGCAAGTCTGGGTGAACTTCTCCTGTCAGTTCATGGAGAACTGTCTCATCATTTTTAACTTCTGCATAGTGTTCTAAGTGATATGCCATAATTCTTTAACTACTTCCATACACAAGGACCTTCACATTTTTTTCCTCAACTTTTAAAGTTCTCAAAAGTTTTTCCAATATCTTTGTTTGCAGAGGATGTGTCGCTCTAGAAGAGATACACATAAATAGAATTTTGGCACAAAACCCTACAAATATTTCAACACTGAGTAGCCGTTGATAAATGGATCTGAAAAGAGGTGGCAGCAATTTATTCTCTCAGGAGCAGTGTAGGATAGTGTTCATTGTCCTTCACCGTCGCTCTTGATGTTATTCATCCCTTTAACTATTTGCTAATCTGGTGGTTGATATATAAAAGGTTTTGAGACAAAGCCTTCCTTACAGAATCTGTGAAGGTCCAGGGCTGGTCATGCCTGCAAGCCCATACTCAGATGTCGCCTCCAGTGGGCTGGGTGGGGAGAGGCTGAGAAAGGCACAACAGAGTACAACAGAGAGTGACAGGAGGAAGTTTCGGGGTCCATGAGAAGGCTCAGACAGGGCACCCACTCAGCCTTGGGGATGTTAATGGAGTCAGTGGAGGTTTCCCAGAGGATTAGGTGCCTGAAAGGCGTGAGGAAAGAAATTAGACAGGGAAAGGGAGAGGAGGAACAGCACTTGAAGCACAAAGACCAGGCCACTGAGGTGATTTTGGAAACTGCAAATAAGCAGACCCAGTTTCTATTCTGTGCACTTGTAGCAGTCAAGGTTGGCTACCATGAAACGGTGCTGGATCAGAAACGTGTGTCCCAGTGGAGACTCTGAGTTCCTCTGCTGCAGTTCTCTAGAATGAGGGTGCTCAATCAGGGGCTAGCCTGAGTTCCAAGGTCCAGCCCTTGAGGATCTTCTGGGTTGCATCCAGGCCCTGGCCTAGAGTTTCTGAAGTCTGTCATGGGACATAAGATAGTGATACATATATATATAGTCTCCTAAGGACCTAGCCTGGGAGACTCTAGTCAGCTGCCCACCCATTCTGTAGCTCTGGGGTATGAAAAGAAGCAATTTTAGGCAGGGTGAGATGCCAATGGTGTCATGCAGTATCTTAGGGGGTAGTGAGGGTATCCTTAGAGGATACTGAAAATACTTGCAATGGGGCTCATGGGAGGCATAATAGCCCCCAGGGCAGCAGTGCCATCAGGGGACTTGCAACTAGGCAGCTGGCTGACACAGCAGGTAGCTGTGAATGTAGTAGTCCCCTAAGCCACGGGGTCACTAAATGTGTGAGAAGAACAAGAATTTGGAGGTCATTTAGCCAAAGATTTCAGTATGTCAATAGGGCAATGGAAGCTCAAGAAGGTATAGCAACTTGCTCAACACAGAGAGAAAATGTATCACTATGGTGAGACAGTGAAGGGAGGACACTGTGACTAACACTGACAGATGAAACCTGTCTTCCCCTGAACCTGAGAGGTTCTAGAAATCAAGAGCCTGTGCAAATGGGTCATCACAGCAAACAGCTTGAGGAGGTTCATGGCAGCCAGGTCCCAATCAGCAGCAGTGTTGTGCCTCTGAGGATATAATGTGTGAGGCTGTGTTGGTGTGTGAATCAGCCTCTGGTGGGTGGTGAACAGGGGGCTCCAGGCTGGCGTTCGCTCTCTCTCTCTCTCTCTTTCTCTCTCTCTCTCTCTCTCTCTGTCTCTCTCTCTCTCTCTCTCTGTGTGTGTGTGTGTGTGTGTGTGTGTGTGTGTGTTTTAGAGGTGAGGTCCCCTTGACACCAAGCCCTGCTCTATTAAATCCCCTATGACTACTTGGGTTTTGACTGCTGTTTTCCAAGTTATGGCCCCTCGTAACCCACTGGATTGGTTGGACGGTGGTATCGTTGCAGACAAGGGTCCTCCCTCTGAGCCCAAGGGAAGGAAGGAGGGAACAAGGTGGCCTCAAATCTTGTCCCCTGGGCCTGAGCCTCTTAAGCTACAGTGGCAGCTTCATCCATATCTGTGTCCCACACAGTCTCATATCCCTTGCCCTACCCACATTCAGCCAGCCCAGATTCATTTCTGGACTGGAGAAAAGGCCTCAGCACCTCCAGGAAGACAGCTCTGAGTCCAGACATTGAAAACATCTGGTTCCTGCTGAGCAGGAGGCTCTGGGCTCCAAGCTAGAGGAAATAAAAGGAATACTTCTCACCCTTATCCCAGATCAGAGAGTCCAGGCACAGCAAAGCTCTGGTGGACACATGCTCATTGATTTGTTTTCTTCAATAAAGGTTTATTGGTGCCGTGCTGTAGGTAAAGCCCTGTGTCCAGGTACTGGCTGTTCCAGGACTAACAAGGCAGAGCTCATGCTCCAGAGATGAGAACCTGGGTGAGGACAGTCATGCAAATTAAGCTGCCAGAGGGGGCAGTCTAGCATGAGAAATGCTATGATAGAGAAGAGTACACAGTATGTTTGTGTGTTAGTCAAATATTTCATCATATAGATAGGGAAATGGAAGCCCAGAAAGGTATAGCAACTTCCTCAAGGTAACACAGAGAGAAAATGTATCACTATGGTGAGACAGTCAAGTGAGGAGACTGTGATTGGGACTGGCATGGTGGAGGGGAGACATGTTACCAAGGGAAGAAGGACGTGTTCTTTTTGAGGGTAGGAACATCAGAGATCAAAAGGACAAGTGACAGGCTGAGCAAGGAAATGGTGGCTCCAGAGGAGAGCCATAATGCAAAGGCCCTGAGGCAGGGCAGAATTAACAGCTATTTTCGGGGGTACTGAAGGCAAATTTTAGCCACGCTGTGGAGAGAGACGAGGCTGTAGGAGAGGAGCAGAGTTGAGATGTCCAGATGGAAAGTCTGAGGGATGAGAGACAATGTCCTGGATAGAAAGGGGCTCTCACAGAATCATCTCATTTGGATCTGGATGGTATAGAAGGAAGTCTCCATTGCTGGTCCAGGATGAGTCCTGGGCTCCCGTCCCTGTGCAGTTTTCTACAGTGCATACACTGGGCCTTCTAAACACACCAACTCTAAAGCGCAATGGTGAGGTCAGAGTGATGCCCACCCAAGCTGTTCCCTAGAAGCCAGTGATCGGATACCATCCTGTGTGGCTGGGGAAGCTGGCAAACAGTGCATAATGAGGACATTGATATGGGTTCATCTAGAATAAAACCAGGATGACATAAAGAAGGGCTGGGTTTCTAGTAGGGGTCAAATGAGTGTGAAGAGGCAGAATTGTGGGGTAAAGATATTGGAATCAGGCCTCGGCGAGAGGGGAAGGCAGAGAGAGAGAGAAAGTGAGGAGAGGGAGAGGAAGGGAGTGACGGAGGGAGGGAGGGAGGAAGGGATGGATGGGGGCAGGGAGGAAGAGAGGAATCTAGGGAGGGAGGGAGGGAGGAGAGCATTTGGTCCTTTGCATAAGGGATATGGCCTATGAGCTGCAGCCTGCTGGGGCTGCCTCCCTCACACCAGAATTTTTGGAAAAGTATCCACTGTGATGGGCCTCTCTTCCTGGAGAACAGACGCCTTTGTCCTACTTGCTAGGAAGATATTTTTCCTGCACTGTTTTTGGGTTTTGGTTTTTGTTTTTTGGCACTGGAATGACCCGGAGTCACCCGGGAGCTCCCAAGAGGAGGATGCAGGGTCCCAGGTCAACTATATTACTACTCATGGCTGCCACTTACTGAGGGCCTAATACACATCAGACACTCTGTCGTGTGGATTACATAAGCTGACACTTATCTTTCCAACGGTCCTGCAAGTTCAATGTCAGTCAAATTTTACAGGGTGTAATCTGGAGCCGGAGACTTCAAGATACTTGTCCAAGGTCACACAGATATTTACTGACAAAGCTGGGACTTGACCCCAGGTCTGACTAAAACGTGGGCGCACCATGCACCACCCTGGCACCTGAGAACCCCTCCCAGCCTTAATGGAGCCTTCTGTGTCTTGCACCCAGTCCCTAGCCCCCAGATATTCCTGCTGTCTTAATTGTTATTGATTGCTGCATAAAAAACTACCCCAAGCATATCAAGTTAAAATGATAAGCAGTTTTTCTCTGAGAGTTCTGTAGATCAGGGATCCGGGTATGGCTTAACTGGATCCTCTACTTCCCAGTCTCTCACAAGGCTGCCAGCCCAGGGACAACAGTCTCATCTGTAGGCCTGACTGGGGAAGGATTGACTTCCAAGCTCACTCATGCGGCTGTTGGCAGGATCCAGTTCCTCATCTGTAGGCTCAGCTGGGGAAAGATAGACTTCCAAGCTCACTCATGTGATTGTTGGCAGGCTCTAGTGGGTCGCTGGCCTGAGGGCCTCAGTTCCTCTATGGCTGTTGGCCAGAGACTTTCATCAGCTCCTCGCCAGCTGGCCTTCTCCATCTGGGCAAACACGCGTGCAGGAAGAGCCTGAGGGAGAGAATGAATGCCAGCAGGTCAGAAGTCACAGTCTTGTTATAGCCTAAGCATGGAAATGACACGCCATCACCTTTGCCAAATTTTGTTGGTTAGAAGCAAGCCACTAGGTCCAGCCCACCCTCAAGGGGAGGGAATTCCATAGGAGCATGGGTGCCAGGAAGGGGGATCCTTGGAAGCCATTCTGGAAGGCTGCCCACCACACCTGCTCCTGCACCCACCTCAGTATAGTGAGCCCCTCTGGGTATCAACCACCTTGACGGAGCAAATGGTTGATGGGCCACCTTGGACTGTGCTATGTGGCCTGCATCTATCTGATCCCACCTCTCTTCCAGCAGGCCCAGGACTCGAGTCTGCCTGGCCTTGCCTTCCTCCCCAAACCTACCAGCTACTCCTGGCCACTGAGCCCATGAGATGTCACAGCAGCTGAAAAGGGACCTGCTCCCTGTGACTGAAGCACACACCCATCACTCGGGTGGGACTGGGACCCAGGATGGTGCTCCAGGCCTCTCCTGGTAAAACAGAGGTGAAGGGCTCAGCTCTCCCACTGAGACAGGGCCCACCTCAGGAGAACACGGGTACAGGTGGGAGAGGGCTGGGTCCAGAGTTATCTGTGAAAGCTGCAGAGATGTTCTTGCTTTTACCCTCTGGGTTGGGATTCTGGGTAGAATCCCCCCAAGTTCTCCAGCAGGCATCACAGAAACATCTCTAAGGCAACGTGGGAGCACCCATGCCAGAGAAGGAGCTGCTCTGAAGCTGCGTGGAGACCCAGAAGTGTTCAGACGCCTAAGATGGGGGACCTACTCTAGGGAGGAGAGGAGTGAGTATAGATTGGGGATGGTTTGTGTGTCTCCAAAATGTATTTAACTCAAAAGCAGAGAGAGATGTGAAGCACATATAGCAAAGCATTTTTAAGTAGGGATGGTGGCTGCTGTATTCTTCTCTCTGTTTTTCTGTAGGTTTGAAATATTTCAGTAGTACAATACTCTAAAAGTAGAAAACAGAAGAGAAGGAGGGGGCTCTCAGGACCCCTGGACTCCACATTTCCCAGGCGTGTCTCAGAGCCAAATGCGTCAAGCTGGGGGGTGGCATTGTGAACTTGTGAGTTTCCTAGGAACCCAGTGGTTCCATTAGGCTGTGGGGATCGGGACTGCAGGTGGCTGGACTCCCATGGCAGAACCTTAGCCAGGAGCAGAGCCATCCCGGAGAAGCCTGGGCTTTTTCCAGTTCTGGGAAGCATCCACCAGACTCAGCTCTTCCCACTGCTGCTATTTTCTTGCAATATATATCAGGGGCAGCTTACAAAGAGACACGGTGTCATAATAAGAGACAAACAACCTGAGGTGATGGATATGAGGCCATGTGCTGGAGGGGCTCTCTCCAAGGTTGAGGTGGGGGTTGTTGTGGTCAGATTATAACTTAATGCCTCTGAAGCCTTTCCTGTGGATTCTGTGACATCTTCTCTCCTTCTGACCTCACCTCCCTGTCCCTCAACCTACAGCCCTCCTCTCCGGCCCAAGGGCTATCACTCAGTCAGTGCCCATCAGCCACCCTATATGAAGTGTTTGAAACCAGTAGCATGTTTACTGTCCATCAACCATTGTGCTATTGCAAAAGTGACTGGGGGACATGCAGTACTGCTCCAAGGTACGAGGACAGTAACCCATTTGGCTAGGTACCCCGTGCCTAACTCTCTCTCCACAGCGACCCCCTTCCCTGCCACCTTCACCGAAAGAGGCAAACCATAAATCACAGGAGGTGGATATTCATGTGGAGAGGGACATCAAATATCATAACACCAAAAGAGTCAAGTGTGCCAGTATGTATTTCAGGCCCACTGGGGTGAGCAGGGGCATGGAGCAGCCGAAGGGGCGTGGTCACCGTTCACGGCTCTGTGTCTGCGGCCCCCGTGGTCTCAGTTTCCGAGTGTCCGGTATCCTCCCCTAGGGAGGAAAACAGAGTGACAATTGGACCCTTGGGAGCCCTGGGGATTCTGGCCTGGCCTGAGGTTCTCTTGGTGGGCTTGGCGGTGAGCAGTGAGAGAGGCAGAGGCTCTCACCTGAAGCACTTGGTGAAACATGTCAGGGCTCCCTGGAACCAGCTCCTCCAACACCCTCTCAGAAGAGCAGGTTCCCTGGGCAAGCCTGGTCCTCTATGGTGTTGGCAAAATAAACCAAGGGCATAGTGTCTTTAGCTGAACCAGTTCCGTTCAGGAAAATAGGGAAAAATCATTCTAGCCAGCACTAACATTGCTTCCTTCATTCGTCGGGTGTTCGCTGGGGGCCTGTTTTGTGTACACCAGGATCAGTTGCAGGTACTGGGGATACAGCAATGAACTCTAGAGATCTAGATCCCAGCTCTCCTGGGGCTGACTATCTGCCACGCTGGAGGGAAATCAGGCTCACCAGGTCCTCAAGAGTTTGCTCTTCCTTGGGAAGGCTAAAAACTGCAGCTGCCCACCTTGCAAAGCTGAGAGCACCAGTCTGGGGGATGCGGCTTTCTCCATACAGTCAGATCAGGACTCAGCAGCAGCAGGAATGCCAGTGAAGTTCATGTTTTCTGAGAAGTGCGATGTACATGTGGTGTCTGAAAGGACTTATTGTCAGAGGCCGGCAGAACTCTTCATTGTGCTGGGCCTCTGGCTCAGGGCCTGTCCCCCCCTGTGAAAATCCATCCCCGTGTCCCTGGCCTGGATCTTCACCCTCCCCTCCTGTAGATGAGTATGCTCTTTTCAAGCAGTTGATGATACATTCTCGTAAACTCCCTCACGTGCTGAGATGCCTCATTGACTAGTATCATCGCTTCCCTTTCCTCTCTCCCGACTCCCCCTTGAACCCACTCTAATCAGCTTCCAGCCCCACAACGCGACTCTCATGTAGATGATTAAATGACGAATTGAAAGTGATGGTTTCTGATTTTCACATTACTCTACTTATATAAGCCTAAAGACTTAAGGGAAGATCTATTTCTGCATTGTTATCTTTAAGGTTTACTGAAATTCAAACCGGGGTACTTGCCAATTATATTTTTCCCCCCACCAGCTCCATCTTCATGTCAAGAAACTCAGTGAGTAGACAACCCTGAAACTACCCCTAAATTCCCAGTGAGCCGAACCCCAGCATTGCTGGGGATCCACAATCAAACTCCAGGTTTCTCTTCTGTGCATTAGTGGAAGCCAACGTAGGGTGCTTGAGGGAAGCATGGATGTAGAAAACTGTGTCTCACGGAGCCCTGAGATTTTTAGCTATAATTTTTGAGTCAGGCTGCTCAGTCAAGGCTCAGGCTCAGCCTACGGGAGCCTTCCAAGGTCCTGGCCTTGAGGATGCCCAGGGGTCTGTCAAGGGCTTGACAGAACCCTTTTAGGACCCTGTGATGGGCCTTGAGACAGTGGCATCTGAGCCCCCAGGGCTCTGGTCTAGGAAGCATCAGTTTTCCCACCCTACTTCTAGTTATGATTGGTGTCAGGAGGAAGAAAGAATTTGGGGATGCACCATAGGGTAAATATATTAAAACTGTTTAATCCCTGACAAATGGCACTCCAAATGTGGAGTGCACATTTGGCGCGTAGCGTGAATCTGTGCCAATTCACACTACCAGCGTCAGAACCTCAGTATATGATACCCGATTGGTATCATTATAATTTTAAGTGTTTGTCAGGTTGCAGTTTGAAAAGTGGAATCTCACTGTTATCTTAATTCCATTATGACTTGTGATGTGGAGCTCCTATTCCTTTCATAGTGGCCATTTGTATTTCTATAAATGGCCTGCTCAGATTGTTTGTTAGCTCTTCTATTGTTGTTTGTTCTCGCATGTGTTTCTTGAGTTGTCTCATCAGAGCTCTCTGTATATTGCAAATGTGATTATTTAGTCTGTTATAATTGAAGAAGATGTTTGCTCCCTGTCTCTCACTTGTGTTTGCATTTTGTTTCCTGTGTCTTCTTGCATGGACACTTTTCATTTGGGGTGTTCATACAGACTGCTTTATTCAGGCCTCACCACAACCATGTGAGGTTGTTCGTATTTACCTCAGTTTTCTTTTTGTTTGGTTGGTTTTATTTACATTTAATAAATGCTCATTGAGTTGGGTGTCAGAGGTACTCTGCACACTGGGGATAGAATCACCATAGTTCCATGCGCCAAGATCACACTGAGGGCTGGCGGCACAGTAATGAGCTGTACCCTTACAGAGCTTTCCACCTGTAAGAGTTTCGGGCACACTCTTAAGCTTCTTTTTCTTTTCATTCATGATTTAAAAATGCATTACTTACACATAATTGTACATATTTATGGGGTACCGTGTGATGTTTCAACCCCTGTATACATTGTATAATCTTCAAGTCAGGGTAATTACCATATTCATCACTTTAAACATTTATCATCTCTTTGCAGTGTTAACATTTAAAATCTTCTAGATTTAAAATCTTGAAGTATACACTACATTGGTATTTTCTATACTCGCTCTACTGTGTAATAGAACACCAGAACTCGTTCTTTATGTCTAACTGTAACTTTTTACATTTTTGCCAACCTCTCCCGTTGCCCCACACCCCCTTCCCTCCCCAGCTTCTGGTAACCACTACTCTAGTTTCTGCTTCTGTGAAATCAACTTTTTAAGATTCCACATCTGAGTGAGGTGATGTGGTGTTTGTCTTTCTGTGCCTGGCTTATTTCACTTAACATAATGTCCTCCAGGTTCACCCATGTTGCCTCAAATGACAGGATTTCATTTTGTTTTATGGCTGGATGGTATTCCATTGTATATACAAGCCACATTTTTCTTTATCCATTCATCTGTAGATGGGCATTTAGGTTGATTCCATATCTTGGCTATTGTGAATATTGCTGCAACGAACACGGGAGTGCAGATGTCTCGTCAACGTGATGATTTCCTTTTCTTTCGCTATATACCCAGTAACGAGATTGCTGAATCACACAGCAGTTCTATTTTCAATTTTTTGAGGAATCTTCATACTGTTTTCCATAATGACTGTAGTAATTTTCATTCCCACCAACAGTGCATAAGTGTTCCTCTTTCTCAACATCCTCTCCAGCATTTGCTACTTTTTGTCTTTTTGATAATAGCCATTCTAACTGGGGCGAAGTGATATCACATCGCGGTTTAGATTTGCATTTCACCGATGATTGGTGATGTTGACTGTTTTCATATATCCGTTGGCCATTTGCACATCTTCTTTTGAGAAAAGTCTATTCAGGCATTTTTCCCAATTTTTAATTGAATTATTATGAATTTTGCTATTGTTTGGGCTCCTTATATATTCTGGATATTAACCCCTTGTCAGATGCATAGTTTGAAAATACTATTTCTCTCATTCTGTAAGCTGTCTCTTTACTCTACTGATTGTTTCTTTTGCTGTGCAGATGCTTTATAGTCTGATATAATCCTATTGGTCTATTTGTGTTTTTGTTGCCTATGCTTTCGAGGCCTTACTGAAGAAAAGAATCGTTGCCCAGTTCAATTTCGTGAAACGTTTCCCCTATGTTTTCTTCTAGAAGTTTCACAGTTTCAGGTCTGACATTGCAGTCTTTAAGTCATTTTGATTTGACTTTTGTATATGGTGAGAGATAGGGGTCTGGTTTCATTCTTCTGATTGTGAACGTACAGTTTGTCCAGCACCATTTATTGGGGAGACTGTCCTATCCTCCATGTATGTTCTTGGCTCCTTTGTAGAAAATCAGTTGGCTGTTAATGCTTGGATTTATATCTGGGTTCCCTATAATGTTTTATTGGTCTATGTATCTGATTTTATGTCAGTGCCCTGTTGTATTGGTTGCTTTTGTATATTTCGAGGTCAGGTAGTGTGTTGTCTCCAGCTTTGTTCTTCCTGCTTGGGATTGGTTTGGCTATCAGCATCTTTTGTGGCTCCATACAAATCTAGGATTTTTTTTTTCTATCCGGACTGTCATTGGTATTTTGACAGGGATGTCAAATGTCGAACATGGAGATCACTTTGGTTAATATGGACATTGTAACAATATTAATTCGTCCATGAATGTGGGATCTCTTTCCATTTATTTGTGTGCTCTTCAGTTTCTTTTATCAGTGTTCTACAGTTTTCACTGTAGAGATCTTTCATCTCCTAGCTTAAGTTTATTGCTAGGATTTTATTTTTTATTTTTTTGTGGCTATTGTAAATGGAATTACTTTCTTGATTTCTTTTTCAGATAGTTTGCTATTGGCAAACAGACATGCTACTGATTCCTGTATGCTGATTTTATATTCTGCAACTTTACCGAATTCACTTATTAGTTCTAATAGTTACTTGGTGCAGTCTTTAGGGTTTTCTCTATATAAGACCATGTCGTCTGTAAACAGGGACAATTTGACTTCCTCCTTTCAGGTTGGATGCTGTTATGGTTTGGCTGTGTCCCCGCCCAGATCTCATCTTGAACTGTTGCCCCCATAATTGCCATGTGTTGTGGGAGGGACCTGGTGGGAGATAATAAAATCTTGGGGGCGGTTTCCCCCATACTGTTCTCGCGGTAGTGAATAAGTCTCACGAGACCTGTTGGTTTTATAAGGTGTTTCCCCGTTTGTTTGGCTCTCATTTTCTCTCTTGCCTGCCGACATGTAAGATGTGCCTTTTGCCTTCCATCATGATTGTGAGGACTCCCTAGCCACGTGCAACTGTGAGTCCATTAAGCCTCTTTTTAAAAAATAAATTACCCACTCTCGGGTATGTCTTTATCAGCAGCGTGAGAACAGACTAATACAGGCGCTCTTTATTTCTTTCTCTTGCCTAATTGCTCCGGCTAGAACTTTCAATACTAAGTTGAATTTAAGCAGTGAAAGTGAGCATTCTTTTCTTGTTACAAATCTTAGAGAAAAAGCGTCCAACTTTTTCCTATTCAGTATGATATTAGCTTTCGGTTTATCATATGCGGCCTTTATTTTGTTGAGGTATGTTTTTTACCTCTTTGCCCACTTTGCTGGGAGTTTCTATCATGAAGGGATGTTGACATTTTTTGAATGCTTCTCAGCATCTATCGAAATGAGCATATGGATTTTGTCCTTTGTTCTGTTGATGTGAGGCATCACTTTTATTACATTGCACATATATTGAACCAACCTTGCATCCCTGGGATGAATCCCACTTGATCATGATGGATGATGTTTTTAATGTGTTGCTGGTGTTTGGTTGAGGGTTTTCGCATCCATGCTTACTAGGGATATTGGTCTTTAGCTTTGTTGTTTTGTCGTGTCCTCGTCTGGCTTTGGAATTACAGTAATGCTGGCCTCGTAAAATGTGTTTGAAGCTATTCCCTCCTCTTCATTTATTTGCTTGTTTGTTTGTTTGTTTGTTTTTAAGCCTTTGAGAAGAATTGGTACCAGTTCTTTACATGTTTGGTAGAATTCACCAGCAAATCCATCAGGTCCTGGACTTTTCTTTGATGGGAGAGTGTTTACTCCTGCTTCAATGTCATTATTCCTTATTGTTTCTGTTCAGGTTTTCTATTTCTTTGTGATGCAATCTTGGTAGCTTGTATGTGTTCAGGAACTTATCTGTTTCTTCTAGATTTTGAATTTCTTGGCAGATGGTTGTTCATGATAGTCTCTTATCATCATCTCCACCGCTGTTGTGCCAGTTGTAATGTTTCCTTTTTTTATCTCTGTTTTTATTTGAATCTTCTCTCTGTTTTCCTTAGTTAGTCTAGCTAAAGATTTGTCAATTTCTTTATCTTTTAAAAGGCTAACTCTTTGTTTTTTGATTTTTAAGTTGTTTTTAAAAAATCTCTATTTTGTTTATTTCTGCCCTGATCTTTGTTATTTCTTTTCTTCTGCCAACTTTGGGTTTTTTTTTTTGTTGTTGTTGTTGTTCTTTTTCTAGTTTCTTGGGGCGTAACATTAGGTTGTTTATTTGAGATATTTCCACTTCTGTTACACAGGCATTTATTGCTATAAACTTTCCTCTTAGAACTGCATTTGCTGTATCCCATAGGATTTGGTATGTTGTGTTTCCATTTTCATCTGTCTCAAGGAATCTTTAAATTTCCTTTTTCCTTTTTAATTCCTTCATTGACCCATCCATTGTTCAGGAGCATGTTGTTTCATTTCCACGACTTTGCCCAGTTTTCAATATTCCCTCTGTTATTGATTACTTCATTGTGGTCAGAAAGTACTCAATGTGATTTTGATTTTTAAAAGTTTGTTAAGACTTGCTTTGTGAACTAACGTATGGTCTATTCTGAGGAATGTTTCATGTGCTGTTGAGAAAAAATATGTATTCTGTGGCTTTTGGATGGAATGATCTGTAAATATCTGTTAGGTCCATGGGGTCTAGAGTGCAGTTTAATGCCGACATTAATTTTCTGTTTGGTTAATTTTCTGTTTGGATGATCTGTCCACTGCTGAAAGTGGGGTATTAAAGTCCCTCACTATTATTGTATTATGGTCAATCTCTCCTTTCAGGTCTTTTAATATTTGCTTTACATATTTGGATGCCCTGGTGTTGGGTGCATATATTTATAACAATTATAAGTATTTATATATATTTACTATATATATATTTACAAAATATGTATATTTACAATGGTTAGAATATACGTATTTAACAATTAAATATATATTACAATATATATTACAGTTGTTAAAATATATATATTTTGTAATATATATTACTATATATACAATTGTTACAAAAACATATGTATATATATACACACACATATATTTACAATTGTTATATCCTTTTGCTTTATTGACCTGTTTAACATCATATAATGGCCTTCTTTGTCTTTTTCTTTTTATGGTTCTTGACATAAAGTCTATTTTATCTGATCTAAGTAGAGGTACTCCCACTCTGTTTTGGGTTCCATTTGCATGGAATGTCTGTTTCCAACCCTTTGCTTTCAGTCTGTGTGTGTCTTTGTCGGTGAAGTGAGTTTCTTCTAGACAGTATTTAGTTGGGGCTTGTGTTTTTAGCCACTCTATGTCTTTTAATTGGAGAACTTAGTCCATTTACATTCAAGTTTATCATTGACAGGTAAAAGTTTAACACTACCATTTTGTTACCTGTTTTCTGTTTTTTGTTTTTTGTTTTTTTTTTTGGTAGATCTGTTCTTCCTTTGTTTTGCTCTTACTGTCTTCTTTTGCTGTTATGTATTTTTCTCTAGTAGTAAATCTTGATTCCTTCCTATTTATATTTTAGTGTCCCTATTATAGGTTTTTGCTTCGTGGTTACCATGATGAGATGTATAAAATATGTCTTATAATTACAACAGGTTATTTTAAACAGATAGCAGTTTAACTTTAATCACAGGAAAAACGAACAAAAACAAACTCTACACTTTAACTCATCCCTCCCTCCACACTTTGACTTTCTGATGTTTTAAGTTACATCTTTTTGTATTCTTATCTCTTAACCAATTGTTGTAGTTATTACTGTTTTGAACAGTTTTGTCTTTTAGGTTTCATACTTAAGATATATTTGGCAACCCGCGATGACAATATTATAGCATTGTAAATCTGTCTGCTTTCTTACTATTACCTGTGAGTTTTATACCTTCGGATATTTTTTTGTTACATGTTAGTGTTCTTTTCTTTCAGACTGAAGAAACCCCGTTAGCATCTCTTGTAAGACAGGTGTTGTGTTGATGATTTTTCTCACGTTTTTTCTTTTCTTTCTTTTCTTTTTGTTTCAGCAAGTCTTTTTCTTTCTTTTTTGCTGGAAGGATAGCTTTGCTGAATATGGTATTCTTGACTGACAGTTTTTTTCCTCTTCATCACGTTGAATGTATCATTCCTCCCTTCCCTGGCCTGCAGGGTCTCTGGTGAGAAATCCACTGAAAGCTGTATTGGTGACCCATTGAGTGTGATATGTTGTTTTTGTTGTTTTTCTCTTGATGCTTTGAGCATTTTTCTTTGCCTCTGATTTGTTTAAATAATTTGAATATGGTGTGCCTTGGGGAATTTGTCTTTGGGTTGAATTTTATTTGTCACCTCTGAGCTTCCTGTGCCTGAATGCTATGATCTTTCTCCAGATTTGGGAAATTTCAGCCGTTATTTTTCTAAATATGCTTTCTAGACCTTGTATTTTTTTTTGTCTTCTTCAGCAATTTCTATTATGCAGAGTCTAATTTTCTTGATGATGTCTTATAATTCTTAAAGGCCTTCTTCCCTCTTTTAAAATGCTTTTGTCTTTTTCCTCCTCTATATATGTTCTGTCTTGGAGCTTACAGATTCTTTCCCCTGTTTGGTCAACTCTGCTGTTAAACCTTTCTAATGAGGTTTTCAGTTCAGTCACTGTATTCTCTATTTTAGGACTTCTGGTTTTTTTTTTTTTTTTTTTTAATTGTTTTTATTTCTTTGTCAAATTTTTTGTTTTGTTCCTGGATTGTTATTCAAATTTTATTTAGTTTGTTATCCATATTGTCATGTAATTCCCCAAACTTCTTTAGGATTATTCTGAATTGTCTGTCAGACATTCCATAGATCTTCAGTTTTTCTGGGTCTGTTACTGGAGTTTGGTTGGTTTCTTTTGGCGTGTCACATTTTGTGAGTTTTCACAATCCTTGTCTCTTTATGTTGATGTCTGTGTGTTTAAGGAGATGCTCACCTCTTCCAGGTTTTGCAGCTGCTCCTTGGTGGTGTCAAACCTTTACTACTTAATATTGGAACTTAATCCCTGGCCAGCTGTTGCTTTCAGTCTGGAAAAGACTTACTGTGAGCACCAGAACTTAAATGCTCCACTTAACTATGTTGCTGCCCTGCCACTGTTTCTTGGTCTGGGGAAGACTTAAGCGAACACTGGCCCATTATTGCCAACCTTTTAGTTCTTTCCAGGTCAAGGGAAGGCTCCATGTGATCACATGGGCTTAGTGAGAAATCTGGCCAGGGATCTGGGCCTTCCTGTGTGTTGCGCCCCCAGCAGTGCTGTGGTTCTGGCCAGTCTCCTCAGCATTGGCATGCCCACTGATCGTGGCACAGAGCAGCTGCCAAGATCCACGTGAGAGTTGCTGTGATCAGTGCACCCACTTTCTGTTCCCAATTCACCCCAGGTGTTTCAGCTCTCTTCTGGAACTCTGAAGGGTACCCGTGGGATAGGGCTGGAGGGGACTTCCCATGAAGATTCCCAGACTGATGGGGAGGTCACATGTCCACTTCCAGTTCCCTCCTTCCACCTCAGAAATTGTGGGTCTAGAGAAATTCTCTGTGAGTAGCATTATGCTGGTTTGGGGGAGGAGGTGGCACAGTCTAACGTGACTGTTGTTCCTCTTACTGGTTGTGGCTTTTCTCAGTTTTGTCATCCCAGGAAGTTTCCTTGCTTCTCCCCCAAGTTCTAGTGAAACCAGGGTGGTATTCTTGCCTTTGATTAATTTGTAGTTGTACTTTTGTGGGGAGAGTGGTACTGTGGGATCATCTGTTCAGCCTTCTTGCTGACGTCGCTCCTCCTATTTACCCCAGCGCTCAAATGCAGAAAGCGAGGCTAAGAAAAGGTGCAGGGATTTGTCCCTAGATTCTAATCCAAGATCCCGACCTATGTGTGCCTAACTGGAAAGCTATGCAGTGACGTGGGCCCATGGCAGGCTATAGGCCAACATTAAAGCCCCATTCATACTGGCCTCCTCCTAGACACAGAGGGAACACAGCATGTAGCAGAAGAAGCCCTCTTTTGTCCTCAGAGGTGTGTGCCTACTTCAAAGCACACAAGACAAGGAATGGCAGAAGAAGGGGCATAATAATGGGCCTGCTGGACAGGACACTTGTAGTGAGGGTTGGGAGATCTGGGGGCCAGGACAAGACCCACCACTAACTGTGACTTTGTCTAAGCAACTGGCTCTCTCCTGGCCACTTCTCTAATAACCAGATAACAGTTCTGAGCCACCATTGCAAGTGTCGGAAAGGTGGGTTTTTTGACCCCAGCTGGGATAAAAGGAAAGGGGGTGAGACATACCTCCAGCAATCATTTCAGCAGCCCATAGCTCTTATCAATGCAACCTCTCAGGCTTAGCAGCTATTGCTAGTATCATCATGATTTGCATGTAAATGACTGCTGCTGGATGATGATCTGGGGACAAATGGCATCCAGAGCTTATCCCAAAGGGCCTGATCTCAAGGAACCTGATGGATGTTGCCTCTAGGCCTGGTACAACACCAGCTGCTCTGTGGAGGGGGCATCCCAAGTAATCTTCACAACCCCTCTGTGAGACGCTTTCTTTCCCGCTCCCACAAAGAGTAATAGCATCGGTCCTTCTCAACCACCCAGGACTGCTGTGAGGAGCAATGAGAAAGCTCCCAACAGCCCTGGAAGATATTAGAAAGTGAGATACACCTGCTATGTACCCACAACAACAGCAACAACAAAAAAACAAGAACATGAGGAACATGATGCAAGTCCAACAGATTACTCATCCAGGCAATTGCAGAAAACATACCAGAGCTGTGTATTATGAGACAAATGGTCACCGACATTACTACTAATCATTAAATGCCCACTGATGATACTATTCCCAGTGGAGTTACAAATGCCACCCAAAGAATCCATAGCTCCTGTCCTCTCGGTAGATATGGGAAGTCACTGTTACTGGGGACCAGGTTTTGCCTGGCATGCCCCCACACGTTTTACCCCATCTAGTTCTCACAGCAAGTAAATAAGACAAGTCTAGCTCCTACCTCTGGGAGGAGGCTGTTCACCCTCCCCTCACAATCCCCAGAGGACGCTGATGGATAAGTAAACCAAGACCAAAGCCTCCTAACCCATGCTCCATGGTGTGTGCCAATGGTTTATGATGTCTCTGCACTACAGGTCTTGTCCACCCTTAAGTGGCCAATTAGGGCCTGGGACAGCCTGCAAATATTACCCAACATGGTTGAGCACCACCAGTTTTGAGCCTCACCTTTACACCATACACCAAAACATACATGTGTTATCGTGTATGTAAACAAACTCCAAACCAAGCCGAAACAAGAACAGGATGTGTATAAATTTCCTGAATGGGGTAGAATTCTGGTTATTTCCTGTGTAATTGCCAAGTATGTTCAACGTAGCTTCTCAGCAACCCATCAGCTATATGAATCTTAGCAGAACCGAAGACTAGACCCGATTTCTTCAGCCTTTCACTGAATTCTCCTCCTCCGCCTGTGATCCCTATCTGGGTCAATGGTACCCCAGGGCCACAAGTCACTCAAGCCAGAAACCTGGGTGTCATCCTTGGCCCCTTGCCTCTGGACCTTGCCCCAGGCCCACCTCCAGCCTAACACAGCACCGTTCTATCTATCCTATGAAAAGCATCTCTCAAGTAATGCCACTTCCCTCCAAACCCTCCTCCACTAATTTTCCCCACAAACTTTAAAACCCACGAGTGAGTGAGTGCATTTTCTTTGGGCACAATTTCTCCCTATGCCCATCTATTTTCTGTGATTGAGACTAGAGGTGTCTAAAGATGGCCAGTGAATGAATAAAATTGACTGGCAGGGTCACAGAAACAAGCAAAGCCCACGTTGACCCTCACTGGCATGATCTCATTACACTTCCTCATGCTGGAGTCCCAGGAAAGCCAAGTCTCTCTTTGTAATCAGTGCAGTGAGGATGGGTCAGCCTTTTATGAGAGTGGTCTTGGAGCGTGTGCTCCCCCTTGGGATGGCTTAAAGGTTGAGCTGCCCACCCTGTGATGCTGCGGGCACCACTCTGGGGGTTCCAGCGAGATGCAGCTTTCCCCCTACAGGAAATAAACCAGATGAATGTGATTTGATATGACCAATGTGAGGTCCCATCACTCATTAGTATGTGTCTGGAAGGCCCACGGTTAGGCTCCATCTTCTGTAGGACACCAGCAGTCTTCCGACTGTTCTCAGGAGTACTCTGGCAGTCTGTAGAATTACCTCAGGTGACCATGGGGAGCACTGGAGGAGGGGCACGACAGATGCAGTTTTTTCCCCATTACGTCGCACCATCATTTTACCAGTCAAAACAAGTCCCCAGTGGGTGCAGTGTGGGAGGAGATTGGGCACTGTGTGGTGGGAACTGTCTCCAAGCACCCTGTTACCGGGGAACCCTGACTCCATGAATGTTTTAGCTTTGCTGCATGTGGGACTGCAAGTACAGTGTCTCCATCACCAAGAGCATGGGCTGTAACTCACAGTTCAATAGGACCCCCTAGATTTGTAGTTGGTGACAGTGGCTCTTAGACTGCATTGCTGTAATGGAAGGATCCTTGCCTCAGATCAACCAGGGACTGTATCTTGGCTCCCTCTTGTGCTGGCGATGCAACCTCAGAATGGTGATCACACCACTCACCTTGATCCGGATGGTGGAATAATAAAACAAAAACATGTGACGCTCCTGTAACACAGCAGGCTGTGTAACATTTCATGGAGCTAAGTACAAATGTTGCTGCCTCTGTAAGGCTGCCCAGGATTCACGGGAACATAGCACCAGAGAGATTGAGGACAGGTGGGGCAGAAAAACAAGCTTAATCTCTTGCTCACTCGCACAGTCCAATGGTCTTCTGTTCACCAGAAGTGCTGGGTGAGCCTGGAGCCGTGGAATTTCTGACCCCACACCTTCTTCTGAGGCACTGTCGACTTTACTTTACTGACCTACCTGAGACGTCTCTCAGGCACGGGGATTGTGAGGTGATGTAAACGCGGGTCGGGGGGAGGTGTAAGCAAAGGAGAAGAACTCATAACTCGGTCACGGTCATATTTCAGAAACGAAGGTGTAAAGCTGACGACCCATGCCTTCCCCTATTGCTGACCTGTCTTTCCCCATTCCTGCATGTGATTGCCCTGCATGCTCAAATGGTTCATCATGCAATGGGTAATGGGCCTGCTCTTGAGATGCATGAGCATCTGTTTTGTGTCGCTGTAACAGAATACATGAGACTGCGTGATTTATAAATAAAAAAATATTTATTTAGCTCATGGTTCTGCAGGCTGGGAAGTTGAAGGGCATGGCCCTAGCTTCAGGCGAGGGCTTGTGTGCTGTGTCATAATGTGGTGAGGAAGGTCAAGGGGGAAGTGGACACATGCAATGAGA
Source organism: Homo sapiens (assembly GCF_000001405.40). Classification (NCBI taxonomy): domain Eukaryota; kingdom Metazoa; phylum Chordata; class Mammalia; order Primates; family Hominidae; genus Homo; species Homo sapiens. Next base: position 72,915,484 of record NC_000023.11, on the reverse strand, counting down.
GAAAACCTGAGGGGCATCCTGGCTGTATAGCAACCTACTATCTTGGGCACTTTGTCCATTCCTGCGAGCACTAATCCAGTCTCGCCAGAGCAAGAACTCACTCACTACTGTGAGGAGAGCACCAAGACACCTACAAGGACAAAGGTGGAGCCCTCGTGACCCAAACAACCGTGCACTAAGCCTCACCTCCCAGCACCACCACCTTGGGGACCAAATTTCAACATGAGTGGAATCTCCTGTGTATACGGGGCTGGCAGAGGAAAGCATTTTCTGCTGTGAGGCTGCAGAGTCCACTGGCCTGCGCAATGGGGAAGGCAGGGAAGTCCTCATGGTCCATCCAACCCAAGAGGGCCTGAGGTGGACGATGGCAACTGGAGGTCGAATCAGCAGTGGAGGTGTTCCTTTCAGGAGATGATGCGTAGTGCTGTGGCTGTGTGTGGGAGTCAGTCAGCATCTGGTGGGTAGTGGGCATATGGTTCTGGGCAAAGCAGACTTGGACAATGTTAGGATCAGATTGGAGAGCCCTGGAGAGAGTGTGGTGCTGGGGAGAAGGGCTCCTTGTTGCTGAGTCTGGCTACCTTTAAATCCCATCTCTGCCACTTGGGTTTCAAGAGTGACTGCCAAGTTGTGCCCTATCCACCAGATTTCCCCACATCATTTCTTGTTTCAACAAGTATTTGCATCCTAAATACACACATACAAGCACAAGCATGCCCATGCACATGTATGCACAGACTCTCCCTGACACTCCCTTACCAGTGCAATGACTGAGCTCATGGTTATGACAGCAGCTATGAAGGAACGAACACCCAACAAGCCCCCAGCCCTAGGGAGTTGGAACGCTGCTCCTCTTTTGGACTAAACATGGGGTTTAGGGCTAAACCCCATGATGTCAAGTCCTAGCCCCTTTTGGAGAAGCAGCAACATGGAGCTGAACTTCCCCCACTGAGTTAGGGCCCAGCTCAGGAGGACAGAGCCATTGTGGGGAGATAGGTGGTACCTGTGCCATCGAAAAAGCTGCAGAGACATGGGATCTAAAGAACTCCATCACTCCATAATTAACAGCTCTGTCTGTTCAGTACCTATGGGTCTCACCGTGGCTGTTCCCCAGGAATATAGGAAAAGGGCTGTGGGACTTCCAAATGCTGTCGCCTACCTGAACCTTACCCCATCTGGATTTCATTTGAGCTTAAAGGCCCTGGACCTCTGAAGAACCAGAGGGTGAGTAATTCACCCAGCAGGCCCTAAGAAAGCATTTTTTTTTTTTCCTCCCCTGGCTTTGCACAGGGGACTGCATGAGACGGGGGAGGGGGAGAGAGAATTTTGGTGTTCCTGTGTCCTAGTTAGGCTTCTTGATGCTAAAGAGCACATCCAATATCCTTGTCCATTTACTTTGGTGACTCCTGGTGCTGCAGTTTCTAACAGGGCCTCCTCCATGGTTGTTAGTTAACAGGGACAATTATGCTCCAACCGCCCCCCTTTCAGAATTCTCCTGCTGATACTGTGTTGCAACACATATCAAGGTCACCTTAGGAAGGCAAAAGAAAAAAAATAAAGTCCTCATCTTATGGAAAGGAACAATGCATAGTTGGAGACAAGGCCGTCTGTTGGAAGGGGTCTCTGTCTTGTGGTGGAGTAGGCGGGGCTTGGGAGCTCTTTGTCAGTACAGGGGTTAACGCCTTTTCTGAGGTCCACAGATTCTTCCTCCACATGACCCTCTCGCCTCCGCATATAAACACCGCCCAGTTTTCCTCAGATATGAAGACTGTGTGCATTGCTGGGGGTAAGAGAGATGTTATTCCGTCCTCATTCCTGCATGTGAGATGTTATTCCGTCCTCATTCCTGCATGTAAGTGCCCCGCCAGGGTCAGAGCTGAGAGCCGTGGAAAACTCACCGTTGATTGGCTACAGCCCATCGCCACCAGGACCTAGTAACAAGCAGCGCTGCCTCGAGGAGGGCAGACAGCCTAACAGGGCTAAGGAAGATGCTAGCTCTCTCCCTTCACAACCCCACCACCACCAAAGCTGACCACCCCCAGTTCAGCCGACGTGTTGAAAGTTACATCAAATGCCACAAAGCAAAAACAGTCAAGCGTGCCAGCATTTATTTCAGGCCCGGTGACCGGGACACTGGGGCGAGCAGGGGCATGGAGCATCAGAGGGGGCTCGGTCACCGTTCACGCCTGTGTCTGTGGCTCCGGTGGTCTCAGATTCCGAGTGCCCGGTATCCTCCCCTAGGGAGGAAAGCAGAGTGACAAGTGGACCCTCGGGAGCCCTGGGGATTTCTGGCTTGGCCTGAGGTTCTCTTGGTGGAACAGGAAGGGGAGGCGGATGGGCTTGGTGGCGAGCCAGTGAGACAGGCAGAGGCTGGCTCCGAAGGAGCTCTCGCCTGAAGCACTTGATGAAACATGCCAGGGCCCTCTGGAACCGGCTCCTCCAAGACCCTCGCAGAAGAGCAGGTTCCCTGGGCAAGCCTGTGCCACTGGATGGGTCCTCCGCGGTGTCAGATACAGCAACCAATTCCTCAGGGTCTTTTTGCGGCCCTTTCACATTCTGAAAGACAGACTAAATAACTGGATCCTAATGCTCCCTCCCATCCCTGGCTTCCGTTACGCAACTGTTGTGTGCATCTCCGGCCCTCTTCCATGGGTGAGGGATGCAGCAGTGACCTGCGCAGACCAAAGCCCAGCCTCCTAGGGGACATTCCAGGACAACGGAGGGAAGCCAGACTCACCAGGTCAGCAGGTGGAAGGAAGGGAGTGAAGATCATGCTTCCAGGAGTGTGTGATGTGCCGGTAGGGACCAACAGGACTTCAATGAAGACACCGGCGAAGCTCGTCACTCTGCCCGGTGCAAAGAGGCCGAGGGCCTGCCCCCTCCACGCCCCATTCAGCCCCTCTGCCCCTGCCCCATCGTCCCTCCCCCCCTACAGCCTGGTGCTCCAGCAGGGGATACATTTCTGGCATGTCGCATTCCATTTGTTTCTGTATCTCTTACTCCCAGTCCTCCAATCTTTCTTTCCTTTGCTGCTGCTTCCTGGCCCTCTCAGCAGGCTCGAGCCACGTTTCTCCTTGCCGAGCAGAAAAAGCAGAGGTCTTCAAGCTGGTGATGAGTCATCATTTGGTGGGGATGCCACAGACCCGAGTGTCCATGTGGGTGCTCTCCTGCCTTTGATTCACAGGATTATGTACATGGATGCCCTGGGCAGGTGTATGAGTCCAAATGAGTCGTCACAGCAAGGAGCGTGAGCTGGGTAATGGTATCCAGAGTCCAAATCAACAGCAGTTTTCTTTTCAGAGGTTTACGTGAGACTCCACGTCTATGTACCAGTCAGTATCAGGTGGTTTAGGGCCTGGAGGGCTTGGAAAATGTGAGAGAGAGGGAGAGGTGAAGGGCCTGGGCTGGGGTGAGTTGAAAGTAGAACAGCCGACCAGCCTGGGCAGCATAGGGAGACCCCACCCCCACAGAAAATTTCAAAAGTAGCCTGGCATGGTGGCACACACCTCTAGCCCCACCTACTCAGGAGGCTGAGGGGGGAGGATTGCTTGAGCCTGGGAGGCGGAGGCTGCAATGAGCCGTGATGGCACCACTCCACTGCACTCCAGGCTGGGAGACAGAAGGAGACTCTGTCTCAAAAACAAACTGACAAATCAAACAAACAAACAAAAGAAAGTAGAAGAGCAGAGGTGAAAGCTCCTTGTTGCCTAGTCTTGCTATGTCAAAATCAGGCTTTGACATTTGAGTTACAAGCAATGCTGCCAAGTTATGCCCCCCGTTTGCTAACCAGGTCTGTGCGGTCCGCACCGCTGACTTCACAGGAGCTCCCTGCAAACAGTACCCTGAAGGGAAAGTGGAAGTAGGTGGCCTCAGAGTCTTTCTTTGGCTTTTGAAACAATAGTGCTGTTTAGGAAAGCATCTCTTACATAATCCTGAGGCTACAGAGTTGATCTCTGTGAGCCTATCATGGGCCGTGCCCTGAATGAGGCTCTGCTTCAAGCTCTTCTGTGAGGGAGAAACCGAGAGAGGCATGAATGTAACAGAGAGTGATGGAGGGACGTTTATGGGGCTACGGGAGGACTGAGGAGGCGGGCAGTCACTCAGCCTTGGGAATTGGAACGGAGTCAGTGAAGAGTTCCCAGAGGAGGCGTGCCTGAAAGGAGGGACAAAAGAAATTGGCCAAGAAATAGAGAAAAGGGAGAGCATCACAAGTAGAAGCCCAAGACAATACCGTGAGGTTTTGCAACTGAAAATATGTAGGCCTGGTTTTCTGTTCTAGGGTTTAATAGAAGTCAAAGTCAGTCACGAGGTTCCAGTACAGGAACCTGAAAAGCTGTGCCTCACAGAGACACTGAACCCTGGTTTTTGAGAACCCAAAGGGTATATTTTTAATAGAATTTTGATATATATTGATTTAATAGAATTTGATAATAGAATTTTGATCAATAGCAGTCCATTGATCATTTTTCCAGTGTGATTCATGCTTTCATGTGTCCTACCCTAAGATATCGTTGCCTAGCCTCACAACAGAGATTTTCTCTTCTGATGTTTGTAGGTTTTAATATTTTGCAATTTACACTTAGATCTAGGATTTATTTTGAATTAATGCCTGCATGAAGTGTGAATAATGTCGGGATGAATGGTGAGATATTGAAGTTGTTTGGGTCTTCCGTAAAGAGATCTACTTTTTCCAGCACTATTAGTTAATTGTCAGCTAATTTAATTATCTTTGAGCCTTTATTAGAAATCAACTTACTATATATATGTAAGTCTATTTCTAGCCCTTCTTCTATTTCATCCAATGATCCCTATGTGAATTCTTAAGGTCATACCAGGCTGTCATGATTACCATGTCTTTATATTAAGTCAGAGACTTTGGTGATGTGAGTCCTTCATGCTTGTTCTTTTCCAAATGGCTTTGGATCTTCTATGTCATTTGCATTTATATATAACTTTTGAGAAACAGTTCTTCACTTTAATTATGATTATGGTGAGCCTATAGATCCATTACTTGAGAATTGGCATCTTAACCTGAGTCTTCTGATCAACGAACATTATATATCTCTGTTTATTTAGGTCTCCACTTTCTCTCGCCAGTATTTTATAGTGGTCTGCATACAGGTCTTTCACATATTACATTAAAATTCTCAATAGATACCTCATTTATTTTGCTGTAATTATAAATGACATTTTAAATAATGTCATCTCCAATTATTTGTTCCCAGTATGTTGAAACACAGTGGGTTTTTGTATGTTGAGTTTCTGTCTTGTAACTTTGTTATGTGACTTGTTAGGTCTAGGAGATGTTTATCCCCACATTCCTTAGTATTTTGTATGTAGACTATCATGCTATTTGTAAATGGAGAGGTTTTTTTTATTCCTTCCTATTCAATCTGTATGCCTTTTACTTATTTTCCTTGGCTCATTGCACTAGCTGGGACCTCAAGGATAATTGTATACGCATAGTAAGAGTCTGCCTTATTTTTAATCTTATGGGAGAAGCATTCAGTATTTCACCATTAGGCATGGTGCCAGCTGCAGGTTTTTTGTAGGAGTACTTTATTAGGTTGAGGACGTTGCTTTATGTACTTATCAAGTGGTTTGGGTTTTTTGGTCATGAATGGGTGTTTTATGTTATCAAATTACTTTTCTGTTATATATCTGGATAATAAATGCTCTTTTCTTTTATTCCATTAATATGGTGAAATATAGTCACGGATTTTTAATGGTAAAATGACCTTACATTCCCAGGACAGACTGTGCTTGGTAATAGATTATTTTTTTTTCATATATTATTGGATTCAAGTTGCTAAAATTTTATCAAGGAGTTTTGTAACTATGTTCATTAGGAACACTGGTTTGTAGTTCCTTTTTTTCTTCTGGTATCTTTTTTCTATTTTTTTTTTTTAAATAAAAGTAATGCTGCCATCATAAAATGAACTGGAAAGTGTTCCCTCCTGTATTTTCTAAAAGTGTTCTTTTGGGACTACTACTATGTTTTCTTTAAATGTATGACACTGCTAACCAGTAAATCTATTGAAGACTGAAGTTTTCTTTATGATTTACAAATACGGTTTTAAAAAGTCTCCACATAACCATTCTTTTAACCTTAACAAGGTCTTTAGGGATGATTACCAATTAATTATATGTAGTTATTAGAAGAGTGTGCTTAAAAAATTTTCCTCAGCTTTTAAATGTCTTATTTTCTTTCTTCTTTTCTTTAATTTTTATTTTTCTTTATTTCTTCTAAAACAATTAACGGGATACATGTGCAGAACGTGCGGGTTTGTTACATAAGTATACGTGTGCCATGGTGGTTTGCTGCACCTATTGACCCATCCTCTAAGTTGCCTCCCCTCATCCCCTACCCCCCAACAGCTCCTGGTGTGTGTCCTTCCCCTCTCTGTGTCCATGTATTCTCATTGTTCAACTCCCACTTCTGAGTGAGAACGTGCGGTGTTTGGTTTTCTGTTCCTGTGTTAGTTTGCTGAGAATGATGGTTTCCAGCTTCATCCATGTCCCTGCAAAGGACATGATCCCATTCCTTTTTATGGCTACGTAGTATTCCATGGTGTATATGTACCACATTTTCTTTATCCAGTTTATCATTGATGGACATTTGGGTTGGTTCCAAGTCTTTGCTATTGTAAATAGTGCCTGCAATAAACGTACATGTGCATGTATCTTTATAGTAGAATGATTTATATTCCTTTGGGTATATACCCATTAATGGGATTGCTGGGTCAAATGGTATTTCTGGTTCTAGATCCTTGAGGAATCACCACACTGGCTTCCACGATGGTTGAACTAATTTACGTTCCCACCGACAGCGTAAAAGCGTTCCCATTTCTCCACAGCCTTGCCAGCATCTATCGTTTCTTGACATTTTTAATAATCGCCATTCTGACTGGCATAAGTTGGTATCTCATTGTGGTTTTGATTTGCATTTCTCTGATGATGAGTGATGTTGAGCTTTTTTTCATATGTTTGTTGGCCATGTAAATGTCTTCTTTTGAGAAGTGTCTGTTCATATCCTTTGTCCACTTTTTGATGGGATTGTTTGTTTTTTTTTTTCTTGTAAATTTGTTTAAGTGTCCTGTAAATTCTGGATATTAGCCCTTTGTTAGATGGGTAGATTGCAATGATTTTCTCCCGTTCTGTAGGTTGCCTGTTCATTCTGATGCTTGTTTCTTTTGCTGTGCAGAAGCTCTTTAGTTTAATTAGATTCCATTTGTCAATTTTGGTTTTTGTTGCAATTGCTTTTGGCGTTTTCGTCATGAAGTCTTTGCCCATTCCTATGTCCCGAATAGTATTGCCTAGGTTTTCTTCTAGGGTTTTTATGGTTTTGGGTTTTACATTTAAGTCTTTAATCCACCTTGAGTTAATTTTTGTATAAGGTCTGAGGAAGGGGTCCAGTTTCTGTTTTCTGCGTATGGCTAGCCAGTTTTCCCAGCACCATTTATTTAATAGGAGATCCTTTCCCCTTGTTTTTGTCAGGTTTTTCGAAGATCAGATGGTTGTAGATGTGTGGTGTTATTTCTGCGGTCTCTATTCTGTTCCATTGGTCCATATGTCTGTTTTGGTACCAGTACCATGCTGTTTTGGTTACTGTAGACTTGTAGTATAGTTTGAAGTCAGGTAGCGTGATGCCCCCAGTTTTGTTCTTCTTGCTTAGGATTGTCTTCGCTATATGGGGTCTTCTTTGATTCCATATGAAACTTAAAGTAGTTTTTCTTCTAGTTCTGTGAAGAAAGTCAATGGTCTTGATGGGAATAGCATTGAATCTATAAATTACTTTGGGCAGTATGGCCATTTTCACGATATTGATTCTTCCTATTCATGAGCATGGAATGTTCTTCCATTTGTGTCCTCTCTTATTTCCTTGAGCAGTGGTTTGTAGTTCTCCTTGAAGAGGTCCTTCACATCCCTTGTGAGTTGTATTCCTAGGTATTTTATTTTCTTTGTAGCAAAGAAGAAATCATGGGAATTCACTCATGATTTGGCTCTCTGCTTGTCTATTATTGGTGTATAGGAATGCTTGCGATTTTTGCACATTGATCTTTGTATCCTGAGACTTTGCTGAAGTTGCTTACCAGCTGAAGGAGATTTTGGGCTGAGACGATGGAGTTGTCTATATATACTGTCATGACATCTGCAAACAGAGACAATTTGAGTTACTCTCTTCTTATTTGAATACGCTTTATTTCTTTCCCTTGCCTGATTGTCCCGGCCAGAACTTCCAATTCTATGTTGAATAGGAGTGATGAGAGAGGGCATCCTTGTCTTGTGCCGGTTTTCAAAGGGAATGTTTCCGTGTTTGTCATAAATAGCTCTTATTATTTTGAGATATGTTCCATCAATACCTAGTTTATCGAGGGTTTTTAGCATGAAGGGGTGTTGAATTTTATTGGAGGTCTTTTCTGCGACTATTGAGATAATCATGTGGTTTTTGTCATTGGTTCTGTCTATGTGATGGATTACGGTTACTGATTTGCGTATGTTGAAGTAGCCTTGCATCCCAGGGATGAGGCCGACTTGATCGTGGTGGATGAGCTTTCTGATGTGCTGCGGGATTCGGTTTGGCAGTATTTTATTGAGGGCTTTTGTGTGGACGTTCATCAGGGATATTGGCCTGAAATTTTCTTTATTTGTTGTGTCTCTTCCAAGTTTTGGAATCAGGATGATGCTGGCCTCATAAAATGAGTTAGGGAGGAGTCCCTCTTTTTCTATCGTTTGAAATACTTTCAGAAGGAATGGTACCAGCTCCTCTTTGTACCTCTGGTAGAATTTGGCTGTGAATCCGTCTGGTCCTGGGCTTTTGTTGGTCAGTAGGCTATTAGTTACTGCCTCAATTGTAATTTTCCTTTTAATGTGGTGCATCACATTAATTAATTTGCACGTGTTGAACCATCCTTGCTTGCTTCCCAGAAATAGATCCTGCTTAGTCATGGTGAACGATCCTTTTAATGTGCTCCTGAGTTTGGTTTGCTCGTATTTTGTTGAGAATTTCTGCCTCTATGTTCATCAGAGATATTGTCCTCCTGCTTCCTTTTCTTGAAGTGTTTTCATCAGGCTTTGGTATCAGGGTGACCCTGGCCTCATAGAACGAACTTGACAGCATTCTCTCTTCTTCAAGCTTTGGGAAGCGTTTGAGAAGGTTTGGGGTTAATTTTCTTTAAATGCTTGGTAGAACTCACCAGGGAAGCCATCTGGTCCTTAGCTTTTCTTTAATGGGAAGTTTTTGATTACTGATCCAATCTCCTTACTCCTTATTGTTCTGTACAGATTTTCTGTTTTTTTTAATGATGCAGGCTTGGTTGGTTGTATGCATCTATGAATTTATCCACTTCTGGGCTGACCCATTTATTGCTGCGTAATTGTTCACAGTTGTCTCTTATGGTTCTTTTTATATTTCTGGCATCAATTGTAAAGTCTCTTCTTTCATTTCTGATTTTATTTCCCTGATTCTTCTCTCTTTTCTTCTCATTTAGTCTGGCTAAAGGTTTGTTAATTTTGTTTATCTTTTCAAAAAACCAACTCTTATTTTCACTGATTATTTTCCTGTGGTCTTCTATTCCCTATTTTTTTTTTATTTCTGCTCTAATTTTTTATTATTTCATTCTTTCTGCTAACTTTGGAGTTAGTTTGTTCTTCTTTTCCTAGTTCCTGGAGATAAAAAGTAAATTTAGTCCAGGCGCCGTGACTCACGCCTGTAATTCCAGCACTCTGGGAGGCCGAGGCGGGTGGATCACGAGGTGAGGAGATTGAGACCATCCTGGCCAGCATGGTGAAACCCCGTCTCTACTAAAATACAAAAAATTAGCCGGGCGTGGGCGCCTGCAGTCCCAGCTACTCGGGAGGCTGAGGCAGGAGAATGGCTTGAACCCAGGAGGCAGAGGTTGCAGTAAGCTGAGATTGCGCCACTGCACTCCAGCCTGGAAACAGAGCGAGACTCCGTCTCAGAATAAAATAATAAATAAATAAATAAAATAAAAATTAAAATAAAAAATAAATTTAATGGACATCAATATATTTTGTTTAAATCTATGTACTTGCTGTTTGTTTTCTATTTTCCCATTTGTTCTTTACTCCTCTCGTCCATTTTTTTTCATCTCATCACATTTTGGTTGGGCGTTTTAGGATTCCATTTGTCTTCACTACTGTCTTATTAGCTGTATCTATTTCAATTTATTTAAATGGTTGCTCAACTTACCACACTCTATCTTCAAGTAATACTATAGCATTTCACATACAGTGCTTCAATCTCAGTGGAGTATACCTTATTTTTCTCCTCTTTTTTTTTTTTTTGCAGTGCTATTGTTACGCATTTTATTTCTACATATGCTATAACATATGTATGTTATAAACATCATTCCGCTTTCAAGTTAGTTATAAACTGTCAGTTGTCATTTATATATATATTTTTTTAAATGAGGAAAAAAGCTATCTTTCATATATAGCCATAGGTTTCATTCATTCCTCTTGGTCAATCCTAGTTTCCACGTGGTATCATTTTACTTCTGCCTATATTTACTTCTGCCTGTATTTTTTTGGGGGGAGAAATGGCTGTTCACATCTTTTGCCCATTTCTCAATGAGGTTATATGTTTTATTATTAATTTCTAAAACTAATTTCTGTAATCTAGATACAAGTCACTTATAAGTTATATGATTTGCAAATACTTTCTCCCATTCTGGGGCTTCTTTTTTCACATTCTTGATGGTATTATTAATTGCAGCAAAAAGTTTTTAATTTTAATGAAAGTCCTGTTTATCCTATCCCATTGTAGTTTTGGTTTGCATTTCTCTGATGATCAATGATGTTGAGTACCTTTCCGTATGTCTGTTTGCCATATATGTGTCTTCTTTTGAGACGTGTCTATTCAGATCCTTTGCCTATTTTTTAATCGGATTATTACATTTTTTCCCTATAGAGTTGTTTGAGCTCCTTATGTATTGTGGTTATTAATCTCTTGTCAGACAGGTAGTTTGCAAATATTTTCTCCCATTCTGTGGGTTTGCCTCTTTACTTTGTTGATGAACAAAGGATTCCACTTGAGACTCCTAGTTTCATTGATTTTGCCCCCATGGTTTTCTATTCTCTATTTTGTTTTCAATGTTGACGGTTTCCTTTGCTGTGGCAGAAGCTTTTCAACTTGATGTGATCCCATTGGTCTATTTTTTTTTCTTGCTTTGGTTGCCTGTGTGTGCGGGGTATTACTCAAGAAATCTTTGCCCAGTGCAATATACTGGAGAGTTTCCCCTAATGTTTTCTTTTAGTAGTTTCATAGTTTGAAGTCTTAGATTTAAGTCTGTAATCTATTTTAATTTGATTTTTGTGTAAGTTGAAAGATAGAGGTCCAGTTTCATGCTTCTGCATGTGAATATCCAGTTTTCCCAGCACCATTTATTGAAGAGACTCTTTTCTCTAGTGCATGTTTTTGGCACCTTTGTGGAAAATGAGTTCACTGCAGGTGTGTGGATTTGTTTCTGGGCTCTCTATTCTGTTCCATTGATCTATGTGTCTGTTTCTATGCCAGTACCGTGCCTTTTTGGTTACTATAGCTCTGTAGTATAATTTGAAGTCAGGTAATATGATTCCTCCAGTTTTGTTCTTTTTGCTCAGGATAGCCTTTGCTCTTCTTTTGGCAATCTGTAGATTGTTTTGGATAGTATGAATATTTTAACAATAATAATTCTTCCAATCAATGAACATGGAATAGCTTTTCATATTTTTGCAATCCCCTTCAATTTCTTTCATCAGTGTTTTACAGCGTTCCTTGTAGAGATTTTCACTTCCTTTGTTAATTCCTAGGTATTTTATTTTATTGATAGCTATTGTAAATGGGATTACTTTATTGATTTCTTTTCCAGATTGTTCACAGTTGGTAGTGATTTTCGTATGTTGATTTTGTATCCTGGGACTTTACTGAATTCGTTTATCAGTGCTAATAGTTTTTTGGTGGGGTCTTTAGGTTTTTCCAAACATAAGATTATGTCATATGCAAACAAGGATAATTTGGCTTTTTCCTCTGTAATTTTGACACCCTTTATTTCTTTCTCTTGTCTGACTGCTCTAGCTAGAACTTCCTGTACTATGTTGAATAACAGTGGTGAAAGTGGGCATCCTTGTCATGTTCCAGATCTTAGAGGAAAGGCTTTCAGTTTTTGCCCATTCAGTATGATACTAGCTGTGGGTGTGTCATATATGACTTTTATTATGCTGAGGTTTGTTCCTTCTATACTCAGTTTCTGCAGAGTTTTTATAATGAAGGGATGTTGAATTTTATCAAATGCTTTCTCAGCATCCTTTGAAATTATCATATGTTTTTGTCCCTCATTCTGTTAATATGATACATCACATTGACTGATTTGCATATGTCGAATCATCCTTCCATCTCTGGGATAAATCCCATTTGGTCATGATGAATTATCTTTTTAATGTGTTGGTGAATTCGGTTTGTGAGTGAGTATTTTGTTGAGGATTTTTGCATCAATGTTCATCAGGGATATTGGCCTATAGTTTTCTGCGTGTGTGTATGTGTGTGTGTGTGTGTGTGTGTGTGTGTGTGTGTGTGTCTTTGTCTGGTTTTGGTATCAGGAAAACACTCATAGAATGAGTTCAGAAGTATTCCCTCCTCCTCTACCTTTTGAAGTACTTTGAGTAGGATTGGTATTTGTTCTTCTTTAAATGTTTGGCGCAATTCAGCAGTGAAGCCATTGGGTACCAGGCTTTACTTTGCTGGGAGACTTTAATTATGGCTTCCATCTCATTACTTGTTATTGTTCTGTTCAGGTTTTAAATTTCCTCATGGTTCCATCTTTGTAGGTTGTATGTGTGTATGAACTTATCCATTTCTTCAAGGTTTTCAAATCTACAGGCATATAGTTGCTCACAGTAGCCTCTAACGATCCTTTGAATTTCTGCACTATCAGTTGTAATGTCTCCCTTATCATCCCTGATTTTATTTATTTGGTTCTTTTCTTTTATTTCTCATTTATTCTGGCTAAAAGTGGGTCCATTTGGTTTCTCTTTTGAAAAAACCAACTTTTCATTTCATTGATCTTGTGCATTGTTTTCTTCGTTTAGATTTTATGTATTTCTGCTCTGATCTTTATTATTTCTTTTCTTCTATTAATTTTGAGATTGGTTTGCTCTTGCTTTTCTAGTTTCTTAAGATGCACTGTTAGGTTGTTAGGTTGTTTACCTGAAGTTTTTCTACTTTTTTGATATAGGGGCTTATAACTGTTAAGCTTCCCGCTTAGTATTGCTTTTGCTGCAACCCACAGGTTTTGGCAGTTTGTGTTTCCACTATCATTTGTTTTAAGACATTTTTCAATTTCCTTCTTAATTTTTTCATTGACCCACTGCTCATTCAGGAACACATTCTTTAAATTGCACATTTTTGTATAGTTCCCAAAATTTCCCTTGTTATTGGTTTCAAGTTTTATTCCATTTTGGTCACAGAAGATACTTGATATTATTTCAATTTTTTGAATGTTTTAAGATTTGTCTTGTGGCCTAACATGCGGCATATCCTTGAGAACTTATCCACGTGCTGAGGAGAATGATGTGTATTCTACAGCTGTTGGAGGAAATGTTCTGTAAATACCTGTTAGGTCCATTTGGTGTATCGTGCAGAGCAAGTCCGATATTTCTTTGTTGAGTTTCTGTCTGGATGATCTGTTCAACGCTCAAAATGGGGTGTTGACGTCTCCAACTATTGTTTGTCTTTCAACACTGTAAGTCTTTTAGTTTGTTTCCACGATGCTTCGTGGTTTTGCAGAGTATAAGTTTTGCACTTTCTGTTAGGTTTATTCCCATGTATTTTATTATTTCTGCTGCTATTGCAAATGGAATTGTTTTCTTAATTTTGTATTCAATGTCCTTTTTGCTACTCTATAGGAATAGAAATTATTTTCGTGTATTGACGTTGTATTCCTTCACTTTGCCAAATTCAGTATTTGTCTTTAAAGTCTTTTAGTGGATTCCTTAAGATTCTATAATTACAAGATGATGCCGTATGCTAATAGAGGTAGTTTTATGTCTTCATTTCCCATCTTTTTGAAAACCAGGTACCATGGCCACAACCCTCAATACATTGTTGAGTAGTAGTGGCTACATCAGGCATCCTTGTGCTGTTTCAGACATTAAGGGTAAAAGATTCGGTCTTCTGCCATTAAATATGATGTTACCTGTGGGTGTTCTTTATCATAGGTGCTCTTTATCAGTTTGAGGAAAATTCCCTTCTATTCCCAGTTTTTTTTTTCTTGAGTGTATTTCTTATGACAGGCTGTTGAACTTTTTCAAATGCTTCTTCTGCATAAATTGAGATGAATACGTGTTTTTTGAATGATTATCTGTTCATATGATAAAATCCATTTATTGATGTGTAGCTGTTAAAGCAACCTTATGTGCCTGAGATAAATGCCACTTGGTCACCGAGTATAAATATTTTTGTATGTTGCTGGATTTGGTTTGCTAATATTTTGTTGGGGATTTTTTCTGTCCTATTCATAGTTTTGCTTTTGAGTCTATATATGATTTTGTTGCCAGGCTTATGAGTTATGAAGTTTTCCCTCCTCTTCTATTTTTTTGGAAGAACTGTTGAAGAATTGCTATTAATTCTTATTTACATATTTAGTAGAATTAACCATTGAAGCCATCTGAGCCTGATCTTTTTTTCTGGGTAGTTTTTTTGCTTTTTGTTTTTTGTTTTTAATTACTATTTCATTCTGTTTCATTTTCATAGATCTATTTAACTTGTGTATTTCTCCTCCAGCCAGTTTGCATGGTATATGTATACCTAGAAATTCATCCATTTCATCTAAGCCATCAAATCTATTGGCATACAATTGTTCATATTATTTCTTTATAATTCTTTATTTTTCCATAATGTAGATAGCAGTGTCTCCTCTTTCTTTCTTGATTTCAGCGAATAGAACCTCCTCACTTTTCTCTTGATCAATCTGGCTTACAGTTTGTCAATTTTGTTGACTTCTTCAAGGAATCAGATTTTTGTTTCATTGGTTTATCTCTGTTATTTTTCCACTCTTCATTTCATTAATTCATGCTCTAATCAGTGTCCACTTTTCTCTTCGATTTGCTTAGGTTTAGTTTGCTCTTTTTCCCAGGGTCTCAATGCGGAGGGTAAGGTTATTGACCCGAGATATTTCTTTTTTTTTTTTTGAGACGGAGTCTCGCTGTCGCCCAGGCTGGAGTGCAGTGGCGCAATCTCGGCCCACTGCAGGCTCCGCCCCCTGGGGTTCACGCCATTCTCCTGCCTCAGCCTCCCGAGTAGCTGGGACTACAGGCGCCCGCCACCTCGCCCGGCTAATTTTTTGTATTTTTAGTAGAGACGGGGTTTCACCGTGTTAGCCAGGATGGTCTCGATCTCCTGACCTCGTGATCCACCCGCCTCGGCCTCCCAACCGAGATGTTTCTTATTTTTTTTTAGTATCAGCATTTAGAGCTATACATTTTCTTCTAAGCACTGCTTAACTGCATCCCAAAAGTTTGACATGCTGAGTCTTCATTTTCATATATCTCAAAAAGTATTTTCTAGTTTCCCTTTTGATTTCTTCTCTGACCCTTGATTATTTAGGAGTTTGTTGATTTCTTTATGCTCATGTATTTCCCACTAATGTATGTTTTATTGATGTATAACTTCATTCCATTGTGGTTTGGGGGCCTACTTTATATTATTTCTGTCCTTTTACATTTATTAAGGTGTTTTATAGCCCACCGTATGGTCTATCCTGGAGAACATTTCAGGTGTACTTGAGAAGAACATATATTCTGATGTTGTTGGGTGTAGTGTTCTATAAATGTCTGTTAGGACCATTTGATTTATTGCTTTTTCAAATCTAGTATATCCTTGTTGGTATTCTGACTAGCTTTTCTATTCATTATTGAAAGCAAGGTATTGAAGTCTCAAACAATGATTGCTGAATTATCTATTCCCCTTTTCATTTCTGTCAGCATTTACTTCAGGTATTTTGGTGTTCTGTTGTGCAGTGCAAATATATTTATAATTTATATATCTTCCTCTTCACACTTTTATAATTGTAGAATGTTCATGTTTTATCTCTAGTCATAGTTTGTGTTTTAAACTCTATTTTTTCTGGGGTTGACAAAACTACTCCAGCTCTCTTGCGGTTGCTGTTTTCAGTGTATTTATTTTCTCAACCTTTTACATTCTAACTATTTGTGCCTTTGAATCCGAAGTGTGTGTCTTGTAGACAGCATCTAGTTCAACCATGTTTTTATTACATCCTGCCAATATCTGCTTTAAAATACATTTGTATTGTTCAGTCTATTCACACTGAACTTAATGTAATTACTTAATGTAATTACTGTTGGGGTAGAATTTATGCCTGCCGTTTTTTGTATTTTCTTTCTCATGTCTTACTGTTCCTCTGTCCCTGCACTGACGTATTCTTTTCTGCTAAACAGATATTTTCTCATATACTCTATTCATTTACCTGTTGTTTCTTTATTGTATTTTTGGGTTGTTTTCTTAGTGGTTGCCCCACAGATTACAGATCACATTTTAACTCAAAAGAATCTAGTTCAGATTGATACCACCTTAATTTCAATATTACACAAAACTGTGACCCTATAAAGCTCAAGAGTCTCTTCTCCTTTGTGCTACTATTGTCATAAAATTACTTCTTTATACCTGTGATGCCCATCTAGATAGTTCTATAATGATTGCTTTATGCAACAATTGTCCTTTAAATCAGGTAAAAGAAGGGAAGAGTTACAAACAACAATACATTCGTACAGTCTTTTATCAATGCTGTTGTAGTTAGTTACCTTTAATGGTGTTCTTATTTATTCATCGGGATTTGAGTTACTGTCTACTGTCTTTTCCAGATTTCCCTTTAATATTTTTTTGTAAGGGAAGTCTGCTGATGATACATTGACTCAGCTTTTCTTTATCAGGGGATAGCTTTACTTCATCATCATTTTTGAGGGAGAGTATTTCTGGATGGAACATTCTTGGTTAACTGTTTGTTGTTGTTGTTGTTGTTTTCATTAACCCCTTTGACTGTGACTTCTCACTACCTTTTGGTCCCCTTGGTTTCTGATAAGAACTCGGTTGTTAATCTTACTGGGGATCCCTTGTGTGTGGTGAGCTGTTTTTCTTTGCTGCTTTCCACATTCTCTCATTGTCTTTGATTTTCAACAGTTTGGCTAAGATGTGCCTCGGTGAAGATTTTCTTGAATTCATCCTCTTTGGAGTTTCTGTGGTTCTCATTTGTGTCCATTAATAATTTGAATCAAACTTGGGGAGTTTGGGCCATTATTGTTTCAAATGTTCTCTCTTTCTCGAGTTCCCATTTCTGTTGAGCCCCTCTAGTGAGTTTTTCGCTGTAGTTATTGTACATTTCCACTTCAGAATTTCTGCTTGGGTGTTTTAAAAACACTAATTTATATTCTGTGATGATTTCTCTATTTGTTGAGACATCATTCTCATACTTCTCTTTAATTCTTTTCACATGGTTTCCTTTAGTTGTTTGAACATATTCACAATAGCTGATTTGAAGTCTTTTTCTAGTAAGTCCAATGTCTGAGCTTCTCTCTGCGTGTTCCATACTCTCCTGTTTCTTTGCACGTCTCGTAAGTTTTTTGTTGAAAACTGGACACTTTAACTAATAGAACGTGGCAACGCTGAAATTCAGACTCTCCCTTCTTTCAAGGTATTGTTGTTGTTGTTTGGTGCTATTAATCCTGCTGTCACTTGTTTGTTTAGTGACTTTTCTGAACTACTTCTGTAAAGTCTGTATCCTCTGTTATGTGTGGCTACTGAATGCCCTGCTTGGTTGGCTTAGTGGTGACCTGGTGATTGGACAGAGATGTCTTTATATGCCTGGAAAAGGTAAGTTTCCCAGTCATTGCCATGGGGCTCTGTGGATATGTTGGACATGCCTTCAACTCGCAGCCAGGCAATTGACAACTCTTTCACAGAGCCTCAAAATAAACCAGAGTTGGCCGTTTAGGCACCTTTTGGGTCTTTGCAGACCATGTCATAGTCCTAGGTGAGTGTCTGGCCTTCTAGATTCCCAGGAATAGGTAATCGCTTTTAAAAGTCCCAATGGACACCTCGTTACCTAGATTTCCTTTTAAGGTATCGGTTAGCCTATTGTGTGCCCCAAGTGTTATCCATTGCCTGAGGCAGCTGCAATATTGAGCAATTGCCTCCAAATATTTTTCACAAATGCATCCAGGGAAAAAGGCGTTTCAAACTGGGCACACTCTGAGTCAGTCCAAATAAAGACAGCCATGTAAGTAGGGCCTTCCCGGGAACTACCAGACAGATCAAATAATGACAATTCTCGGGAATGCGGCTTTGCAGGAGCTCCAACCCTGTTCTGTTCCCTCTGGTGGCTGCCAGGCTGCTGGTTTTCACCATGATTGCAGGCTGTTGGTATTCAAGGCTACCATGGAGCTGCATAAAGGGCCATGAGGATAGGGCTAGTTGAAATGTCACATAGTTCACTGTTCCTAAAAAGATTCTGCTGTTTTTCTTGAATAAACACGCCCAAGGTTGCCCCTCAGCTTTAGGTGAATTTGCAGGTTTCCGAAAACATTCATTTTGACAATTTTTGCCAGTTTTCTCATTGCATTTACGAAGGGGAGAATTTTTAGAGGTCCTTACGTTGCTGATGTTGCTGACTCTCTGCACGAGTTTTCATTATACCTATCCATGAGGGTGTCTGTTGTTAGGTGGTCCCTCTGTGCTCGGAACTTACGTATCTCTCAATAATCACTTTACGGGTTACCGACCATGTGAAAGGGACCACAACCGGAGCTCTAGAAGCAAAGATGTATAGCTCACCACCTTTGATCTCAAAGTTGTCATTCTCAAGTAGATTCCATTTAACCAAAACATTTAAAGCCTTATGATCACCAAGCCTGCATCTGGTCACCAAATTATTTCTTAATTCAGTAAGATGGGGGCAGGGATGGAGGATCAAGGATGTGGGCTGTTTTTGGCCACCGTGTCTTAAATATAACCAGGCTTTTACCTGCATATTTGGCAGCAGCCTGGCTAGTATCTCTTGTCACAACAGGTTTTATTCCTAGCCACTTCAGAAGTGGCTGGGAGCCTCAGGGAGTAAGAGTGCAGATGAGGTGCTGCAGAGATGTCCCATATGAAGAGCTAGAAACTGAAATTTATTTCAACAACTGGGCTTGGTTTTGAATAACTCCTTAGCACCAATCTAGGATTTCCCACTGAAATGGCTTGATTTATATCGATGCAGCCCACCACCTGGGCAGTTATTAATAGGCCTTTAGGTAGAAAGCAGCAGGGACCCAAGAGACTGCTCTTTACACCACAGCGTGGAAACATAACTCCATCCCTCTCCTTTTGAATCAACCTCTGCATATCAACAAACATCACATGGTCATTGATCGAGGATCCCGTTAGTAACCTAAGACTTGAGTTTACATAGAATAACCTGTCTCTGAAACCCTTTGAACTGAAGCTGCTAACTTACTCACAACCTGTTTGTTGAGGGCGTGACTTCTCAAAGTATTCTGGTGCCTTGGATAAATATGTCTGTAAAGTTGCCAAGAGCCTTCAAATGACAGTATAATGTTTAAGAGTCAGACAAATTTTACTCTGAATCCAGGCTCTGCCACTTTCTTTCCCGTGACCATGGATAAATGACTTAGCTTCCCTCAACCTCAGATTCCTAACTTGCAAAACTGAGGATAAGACTAAAGGGATTGTAGGAATTAAAGATGACAATACGTGTAAAGCATGTGGTGCACTATCCGGCAGCCAGCTAATGCTTCAAAAAATATTAGGTTTAGTTACTATTGAGCAACGTCTTTTTTTATTTTCATTTTTATTTTTATTTTTATTTTTATTATACTTTAAGTTCTGGGGTACATGTACAGAACGTGCAGGTTTGTTACATAGGTATACATGTGCCATGGTGGTTTTATGCACCCATCAACCCGTCATCTACATTAGGTATTTCTCCTAATGCTATCCCTCCCCCAGCCCCCCACCCCCGGACAGGACCCGGTGTGTTATGTTCCCCTCCCTGTGTCCATGTGTTCTCATTGTTCAACTCCCACTTATCAGTGAGAACATGTGGTGTTTGATTCTCCGCTCTTGTGTTAGTTTGCTGAGAATGATGGCTTCCAGCTTCATCCATGTCCCTGCAAAGGACATTAACTCACCCTTTTTTACGGCTGCATAGTATTCCACGGTGTACGTGTGCCACATTTTCTTCTTTATCCAGTCTATCATTGATGGGCATTTGGGTTGGTTCCAAGTCTTTGCTATTGTGAACAGTGCCGCAATAAACATACGTGTACATGTGTCTTTATAGTGGAATGACTTATAATCCTTCGGGTGTACACCCAGTAATGGCATTGCTGGGCCAAATGGTATTTCTAGTTCTAAATCCTTGAGGCATCACCACACTTTCTTCCGTTTGAACTAATTCACACTCCCACCAACAGTGTAAAAGCGTTCCTGTTTCTCCACATCCTCTCCAGCATCTGACGTTTCCTGACTTTTTAATGACTGCCGTTCTAACTGGTGTCAGATGGTATCTCACTGTGGTTTTGATTTGCATTTCTCTAATGATCGGTGATGATGAGCATTTTTTTCATATGTTTGTTGGCTGCATAAATGTTTTCTTTTGAGAAGTGTCTGTTCATATCCTTTGCCCACTTTTTGATGGGGAAGTTTGTTTTTTTCCTTGTGAATTTGTTTAACTTATTTGTAGATCCTGGATATTAGCCCTTTGTCAGATGGATAGAGTGCAAAAATTTTCTCCCTTTCTGTAGGTTGCCTGTTCCCTCTGATGATAGTTCCTTTTGCTGTGCAGAAGCTCTTTCATTTAATTAGATCCCATTTGTCAATTTTGGCTTTTGTTGCCATTGCTTTTGCTGTTTTAGTCGTGAGATCTTTGCCCATGCCTATGTCCTGAATGGTATTGCCTAGGTTTTCTTCTAGGATTTTTATGGTTTTAGGTCTTATGTTTAACTTTTTAATCCATCTTGAGTTAATTTTTGTATAAGGTGTAAGGAAGGGATCCAGTTTCAGCTTTCTGCATATGGCTAGCCAATTTTCCCAACACCATTTATTAAATAGGGAATCTTTTCTCCATTGCTTGTTTTTGTCAGGGTTGTCAGAGATCAGGTGGTTGTAGATGCGTGGTGTTATTTTGGAGGCCTCTGTTCTGTTCCATTGTTCTATATATCTGTTTTGCTACCAGTACCTCGCTGTTTTGGTTACTGTAGCCTTGTAATGTAGTTTGAAGTCAGGTAGCCTGATGCCTCCAGCTTTGTTCTTTTGGCTTAGGATTGTCTTGGCTATGTGGCCTCTTTTTTGGTTCCACATGAGCTTTAAAGTAGTTTTTTCCAATTCTGTGAAGAAAGTCAATGGGGATAGCATTGAATCTATAAATTACTTTGGGCAGTATGGCCATTTTCACAATATTGATTCTTCCTATCCATGAACATGGAATGCTCTTCCATGTGTTTGTGTCCTCTTTTAATGCCTTGAGCAGTGGTTTGTAGTTCTCCTTGAAGAGGTCCTTCGTATCCCTTGTCAGTTGTATTCCTGGGTATTTTATTCTCTTAGTAGCAGTTGTGAATGGGAGTTCACTCATGATTTGGCTCTCTGTTTGTCTGTTACGGGTGTGTAGGAATGCTTGTGATTTTTTGACCTTGATTTCGTATCCTGAGATTTTGCTGAAGTTGCTTATCAGCTGAAGGAGATTTTGGGCTGAGACGATGGGGTTTTCTAAATATACAGTCATGTCATCTGCAAGCAGAGACAATTTGACTTCCTCTTTTCCTAATTGAATACCCTTTATTTCTTTCTCTTGCCTGATTTCCCTGGCCAGATCTTCCAATACTATGTTGAATAGGAGTGGTGAGAGAGGGCATCCTTGTCATTCAAAGGGAATGCTTCCAGTTTTTGCCCATTCAGTATGATATTGGCTGTGGGTTTCTCATAAATAACTCTTATTATTTTGAGATACGTTCCATGAATACCTAGTTTATTGAGAGTTTTTAGCATGAAGGGCTGTTGAATTTTGTTGAAGACCTTTTCTGCATCTGTTGAGATAATCATGTGGTTTTTGTCATTGGTTCTGCTTATGTGACGGATTACGTTTATTGATTTGTGTATGTTGAAGCAGCCTTCCATCCCAGGGATGGAGCCGACTTGATCGTGATGGATAAGCTTTTTGATGTGCTGCTGTATTTGGTTTAGCCAGTATTTTGTTGAGGATTTTCGCATCGATTTTCGTCAGGGATATTGGCCTGAAATTTCCTTTTTTTGTTGTGTCTCTGCCAGGTTTTGGTATCAGGATGATGCTGGCCTCATAAAATGAGTTCAGGAGGTTTCCCTCTTTTTCTATTGTTTGGATTCGTTTCAGAAGGAATGGTACCAGCTCCTCTTTGTACCTCTGGTAGAATTCGGCTGTGAATCCGTCTGGTCCTGGACATGTTTTGGTTGGTAGGCTATTAATTACTGCCTCAATTTCAGAACTTGTTATTGGTCTATTCAGGGATTTGACTTCTTCCTGATTTAGTCTTGGGAGGGTGTATGTGTCCAGGAATTTATCGATTTCTTCGAGATTTTCTAGTTTATTTGCATAGAGGTGTCTATAGTATTCTCTGGTGGTAGTTTGTATTTCTGTGGGATCGGTGGTGACGTCCCCTTTATCATTTTTTATTGCGTCTGTTTGATTCTTCTCTCTTTTCTTCTTTATTAGTCTGGCTAGCGGTCTACCTATTTTGTTGATCTTTTCAAAAAACCAGCTCCTGGATTCATTGATTTTTTGAAGGGTTTTTTGTGTCTCTCTCTCTCCTTCAGTTCTGCTTTGATCTTAGTTATTTCTTATCTTCTGCTAGCTTTTGAATTTGTTTGCTCTTGCTTCTCTAGTTCTTTTAATTGTGACGTTACAGTGTCGATTTTAGATCTTTCCTGCTTTCTCTTGTGGGCATTTAGTGCTATGAATTTCCCTCTACACACTGCTTTGAATGCGTCCCAGAGATTCTGGTACGTGGTGTCTTTGTTCTCATCGGTTTCAAAGAACATCTTTATTTCTGCCTTCATTTCGTTATTTAGCCAGTAGTCATTCGGGAACAGGTTGTTCAGTTTCCATGTAGTTGTGCGGTTTTGAGTGAGTTTCTTAATTCTGAGTTCAATTTCATTGCACTGCGGTCTGAGAGACAGTTTGTTATGATTTCCATTTTTTCGTTTGCATTTGCTGAGGAGTGTTTTACTTCCAATTGTGTGGTCAGTTTTAGAATAAGTGCGATGGGGTGCTGAGAGGAATGTATATTCCGTTGACTTGGGGTGGAGAGTTCTGTAGATGTCCGTTAGGTCTGCTTCACCCACTATTATTGTGTGCGAGTCTAAGTCTCTTTGTAGGTCTCTAAGGACTTGCCTTATGAGGCTGGGTGCTCCGGTATTGGGTGCATATGCATTTAGGATAGTTAGCTCTTCCTGTTGCATTGATCCCTTTACCATTATGTAATGCCCTTCTTTGTCTCTTTTGATCCTCGTTGATTTAAAGTCTGCTTCATCAGAGACTAGGATTGCAACCCCTGCTTTTCTTTGCTTTCCATTTGCTTGGTAAATCTTCCTCCATCCCTTTGTTTTGAGCCTATGTGTGTCTTTGCCCGTGAGATGGGTCTCCTGAATACAGCACACCGATGGGTCCTGACTCTTTATCCAATTTGCCAGTCTGTGTCTTTTAAGTGGGGCACTTAGCCCGTTTACATTTAAGGTTAATGTTGTTATGTGTGAATTCGTTCCTGTCAATATGATGCTAGCTGGTTATTTTGCCTGTTACTTGATGCAGTTTCTTCATAGCGTCGATGGTCTTTACAATTTGGCATGTTTTTGCAGTGGCTGATACCGGTTGTTCCTTTCCGTATTGAGTGCTTCCCTCAGGAGCTCTTGTAAGGCAGGCCTGGTGGTGACCAAATCTCTCAGCATTTGCTTGTCTGTAAAGGATTTTATTTCTCCTTCACTTATGAAGCTTAGTTTGGCTGGATATGAAATTCTGGGTTGAAAATCCTTTTCTGTAAGAATGTTGAATATTGAGCCCCACTCTCTTCTGGCTTGTAGGATTTCTTCAGAGAGATCCGCTGTTAGTCTGATGGGATTCCCTTTGTGGGTAACCCGGCCTTTCTCTCTGGCTGTGCTTTAACATTTTTTTCCTTCATTTCAACCTTGGTGAATCTGACGATTATGTGTCTTGGGTTTGCTCTTCTTGAGGAATATCTTTGTGGTGTTCTCTGTATTTCCCGAATTTGAATGTTGGCCTGTCTTGCTAGGTTGGGGAAGTTCTCTTGGATAATATCCTGAAGAGTGTCTTCCAACTTGGTTCCATTCTCCCCGTCACCTTCAGGTACACCAATCAAACGTAGGTTTGGTCTTTTCACATAGTCCCATATTTCTTGGAGACTTTGTTCGTTTCTTTTCACCCTTTTTTCTCTAATCTTGTCTTCTCGCTTTATTTCATTGAGTTGATCTTCAATCTCTGATATCCTTTCTTCCACTTGATTGATTCGGCTATTGATACTTGTGTATGCTTCACGAAGTTCTCGTGCTGTTTTTTTCAGCTCCATCAGGTCATCCATGTTCTTCTCTAAACTGGTTATCCTAGTTAGCAATTCATCGAACCCTTTTTCAAGGTCCTTAGCTTCCTTGCGTTGGGTTAGAACGTGCTCCTTTAGCTTGGAGGAGTTTGTTATTACCCACCTTCTGAAGCCTACTTCGGTCAATTAGTCAAACTCATTCTCCGTCCAGTTTTGTTCCCTTGATGGTGAGGAGTTGTGATCCTTTGGAGGAGAAGAGGTGTTCTGGTTTTTGGAATTTTCAGCCTTTTTGCGCTGGTTTCTCCACATCTTCGTGGATTTATCTACCTTTGGTCTTTGATGTTGGTGACCTTCGGATGGGGTCTCTGAGTGGACGTCCTTTTTGTTGATGTTGATACCGTTCCTTTCTGTTTGTTAGTTTTCCTTCTAACAGTCAGGCCTCTCTGCTGCAGGTCTGCTGGAGTTTGCTGGAGGTCCACTACAGACCCTGTTTGCCTGGGTATCACCAACGGAAGCTGCAGAACAGCAAAGATTGCTGCCTGGTCCTTCCTCTGGAAGCTTCGTCCCAGAGGGGCACCCCCCACATGCCAGCCAGAGCTCTCCTGTATGAGGTGTCTGTTGGACCCTACTGGGAGGTGTCTCCCAGTCAGGATACATGGGGGTCAGGGACCCACTTGAGGAGGCAGTCCTTCCCTTATCACAGCCTGAACACTGTGCTGGAAGAACTGCTGCTCTCTTCAAAGCTGTCAGGCAGGGACGTTTAAGTCTGCTGAAGCTGTGCCCACAGCCGCCCCTTCCCCCAGGTGCTCTGTCCCAGGGAGATGGGGGTTTTATCTGAAAGTCCCTGCCTGGGGATGCTGCCTTTTTTTCAGAGATGCCCTGCTTAGAGAGGAGGAATCTAGAGAGGCAGTCATCCTTGCTGAGCTGCGGTGGACTCCGCCCAGTTCAAACTTCCCAGAGGCTTTGTTTACACAGTGAGGGTAAAACCGCCTACTCAAGCCTCGGCAGTGGCGGATGCTCCTCCCCCCACCAAGCTCGAGCATCCCAGGTCGACCTCAGACTGCTGTGCTAGCAGCGAGAATTTCAAGCCAGTGGATCTTAGCTTGCGGGGCTCCGTGGGGGTGGGACCCGCTGAGCCAGGCGCTGGAGAGAATCTCCTGGTCTGCCGGTTGTGAAGACCATGCGAAAAGTGCAGTATCTGGGCTGGAATGTACTGTTCCTCCCGGTACAGTCTATCACAGCTTCCCTTGGCTAGGAAAGGGAAATCCCCTGACCCCTTGTGCTTCCTGGGTGAGGCGACACCCCACCCTGCTCTGGCTTGCCCTCCGTGGGCTGCACGCACTGTCCATCCAGTACCAACGAGATGAACTGGATACTTCAGTTAGAAATGCAGAAATCGCCCGCCTTCTGCGTCGATCTCACTGGGAGCTGCAGACCGGAGCTGTTCCTATTTGGCCATTTTGCCAGCTCTACCTGTGAGCAACCTCTTAATGCCATAAACACCCAGTCTGTTTTAGTGACCCAAATTAAGAGATTTGGAATCCAGTTGCCTCACCTGACCAACAGTGAGCTGCTTTTCCCCTGTGTTTCCACGGACGTAAAGTGGCCAGGGAGAGAGATCCTTCATGTTCATGACTCTCCCTGATATGCTTAGTGATGCTAGGTGACAACACAATCAATTCTCCTCAAATTAATGCACTTACATAATGGCCAATTTGCCACATTTACTGAATTTCCTGATTGTCATTTTAACAGCTTTCACAGGAGTACTAATTTTTGGTTATTAAAGATGAAATATACCTTTCTGAATATTAACTCAGTGGAGGTGGACATACCTTAGGAACTGGGGAAAAATCCAGAATTAAAGACTGAAAATTTTCTGAATTATTATTTTTTCAATCCAAAATCTGGCAGTTTGCATATGATAGAGTTCCTTAAATATTCTTGATATACGTGGGAGTCTTTCAAATACCATTAAAAAAAATCTATTCAACATACGTGCTTTTTTTTTTTCTTAGTGTTCTCTTGCATTTTTTTCAATGGCTTTATCAGACAGAATTGCTTATTTTGATTGGGAATAAAGATGGTTGACCAAATGCAGCTGGGATGTGCCTCTTCCCCAGAGAGGAAGCAAAATATTAAGTAAATCTGCACACTTCAAACACATCTTTTGAGAGAAAACATGGGAATTCAATAAAGGGGCAATGGAAGACACTGTGGTGGAAGAGGGAGGAAGCAGGACTGCCTGTTTGGTATTGCTGGGTGCCACGACTGGCCCCTGGACACAGACTGGACCCGAGGAAGTGGTGAGTGAAGGAACCCTAAGGCACCACATTCCTGCTGTGGACCTCTGAGATCCTAGACACAGGAGTTCCCTTTGGGCTGGCAGGCAGAGCTACAGGGAGAAGATGCAGAGGCACTGCTTGAACCTGTGTGGAGCCCAAAAGGCTTCAGTGTGCTGGGCAGCTGCAGCAAAACATGGCTCTAGGTGCCCACCCCCAAGGCTCCGTGTCCTGCCCTAAGCAGCTGCAGCTCCTACTGTCTGCTGGGCCGGGAGATAGCGGAGTCCAGGCGTGCTCATGTGCCCAACACAGGCCCCGCTGCCATTGCCCTGGGACCAAGGTGCATCTGAGCCACATGCCCCCGTGTTTGCCCCTCCTTCCCAAGACTGCCTGCCTGGCTATTTCTGTGGTGGTGGGGGTTGGGGAGGGCTGGAGGGGAGGGGGAGGGGGAGGGGGTGGGGGAAGAGGAGGAAATTCTTCCTAATTCATTCTATAAGGCCAGCATTACCCTGATGCCCAGACCAGACAAAGACACAGTGAAAAAGAGGAAGCTGCCGGCCAGTGTCCCTGATGAACACAGGTGCAAAAATCTTCAACAAAATACTAACAAACTGAATCCAACAGCACATCAAAAAGATAATACACCACGATCAATTGGGATCTATCCCAGAAATGCAAGGATGGTTCAACACACACGAATCAATAATCTGTCTCATCAACAGAACAAAGATTGAAAATGATATGATCAGCTCAGTAGATGCAGAAAAAGTGTTGGACAAAATGCAGCGTCACTTCATGATAAAAGCTCTCAACAAATTAGGTACAAATGGAATATACCTCAACATAATAAAAGGCTGTATATATAACTAACCCACATCATACTGAATGGAGAAAAGCTGAAAGCCTTTTCTCTAAGAACAGGAACAAGAGAAGGAGGCCCACTCTCACCACTCTTATTTAACATAGTACTGAACGTCCTACCAGAGCAATTAGGCACCAGAAGGAAATAAATGACATACAAATGGAAAGAAAGGACGTCAAATTGCACCCCTTCACAGATGACATGATCGGATAGATGGAAAAACCTAAAGACTCCCCGAAAACTCTTAGAACTGATAAACAAATTCAATAGAGTTGCAGGATACAAAATCTACGTACGAAAATCAGTAGTGCTTCTATGCACCAATAATGAACTAGCAGAAAAGGAAATCAAGAGAGTAACCCCTGCAGCCATAAGAAAGAATGAGTTCATGTCCTTTGCGGGGACATGGATGAAGCTGGAAGCCATCATTCTCAGCAAACTAACACAGGAACAGAAAACCAAACGCCGCATGTTCTCACTCATAGGTGGGAGCTGAACGATGAGAACACATGGACGCAGGGAGGGGAACATCACACACTGGGGCCTGTTGGGGGTGGGGGGCAAGGGGAAGGAGGGCATTAGGACAAATACCTAATGCATGCGGGGCTTAAAACCTAGATGACGGGTTGATAGGTGCAGCAAACCACCATGGCACATGTATACTTATGTAACAAACCTGCACGTTCTGCACATGTATCTCTGAACTTAAAGTAAAATTAAAAAAAAAAAAAAAAGGGCAACCCCATTTACAGTAGCTACAAAAAAAAAAAAGTATCTAGGAATAAATGTGACCAAGGATGTGATAGATCTCCACAATGAAAACTTCAAGACACTGATAAAAAAAATTGAAGACCACACAAAATAATGGCAAGGCATTCCATGCCTATGGATTAGAAGAATGAAAATTGCTTAAATGACCATATTACCCAAAACAATCTACAGATTCAATGCAATCCCACCCAAAATACCAACGATATTTTTTACGGAAATAGAAAAAAATATCCTAAAATTCATATGGGACCCCAAGAGACCTCAAATAAACGAAGAAATCCTGAGGGGTTGGGGGAAGCAAACAAACAAAGCTGGAGGCATCACTCTGCCTGACTTCAAAATATACTATAAGGCTATAGTAACCAAGACACCGTGATATTGTTATAGAAACTTAAAGGCTTAAATGGAAGACTTGAAACTATAAAAATAACAAAGGAGAAAAGCTTCAGGGCATTGTTCTAGTAGGGCAAATATTTTATGGGTAAGACTACAAAAGCACAGGCAGCAAAAGCAAAAATACGCAAATGGGACCATATAAAACTAAAAAGCTTCTGTACAGCAAAGGAAACAATCAATAGAGTGAGGAGACAACCTGTAGAATGGGAGAAAATACTTACAAACTAATCGTCCGATAAGAGACTGATATCCAGAATACACTAGACGTTCAAAGAACTCAACAGCAAAACTCCCCCAAATAACACTATTAAAAATGAGCGAAGGATCGGAATAGACATTTCTCAAAAGAAGACATACAAGTCGCCAAGAAGTTTATGGAAGATTGCTCAACCTCACTAATCATCAGGGAAATGCAAGTCCAAACTACCGTGAGATATCCTCTCACCCCAGTTAGAATGGCCATTATGAAAAGGACAAAAAGATAAGTTTTGGCGAGGATGTGAAGAAAGGGGAGTTCTTACACATTGTTGGTCTGAGTGTAAATTAGTGCAGACATCATGGAAAACAGTACGGAGGTTTCTCAAAAAACTAAAAACAGAGCTACCATATGATCCAACAGTCCCTCAACTGAGTATTTATCCAAAAGAAAGGAAGTCGGTATATCAAAGAAAGATTTGCTTCCCCACGTTTATTGCAGCACTATTCACAATAGCTAAGATACGGAATCAACCTAAGTGTCCGTCGACATGAATGGATAAAGAAAATGTGGTATCTATGCACAATAGAACATTATTCGGCTACCAGAAAGAATGAAGTCCTGTCATTCGAGGCAACATGAATGAACCTGGAGGATTTTATGTTAAGTGACACAAGGTAGGCACAGAAAGACACAAATACCACACGTTCTCACTCATATGTGGAAGCTGAAGGAAACTGGGCTCATAGAAGTAGAGAGTAGAATTGTGGTTACTAGAGGCTGGGAAGTATAGAGGGGAGGGGAGGATAGAGAGAGGTTGGCTAATGGATACAATATTACAGATCGATAGGAGGAATAAGTTCTAGTGTTCTATAGCACTGTAGGTTGAATACAGTTAACAGTATCGTATAGTATATGCTAAGAAAAAGCTGGAAGAGGGGATTTTGAATGTTTCCAGCACAAAGGAATGATAAATGTTTGAGGTGATGGATACCCTAATTACTCTGGTATAGTCATTACACATTGAATGGATGTATCAAAATATCACTCTGTACCTCGTAAATATGCACAACTACTATGTGTCAACTAAAAAATAAAAGAAAAAAAAGGAAGACAAATACCACATGATCTCACTCATGTGGAATCTTAAAAAGTTGATCTAATAGAAGCAGAGAGTAGAATGATGGTTGCCAGAGGCTGGGGGTGACGGGGCTTGGGGGGGATACGGCAAGGGAAGATGTTGGTCAAAGAGTACAAAGTTCCAGTTAGACAGGAGCAAGAAGCTTTAGTGATCTATTGCACAGCATTTCTAGTTAAAAATAATGTATTACGTATTTTGAAACTGCTAAAAGAGTAGATTGTAAATGTTCTCGCCACAAAAGAATGATAGGTAGGTGAGGAGATGGATATGCTAATTAGCTTAGTTTAATCATTCCGCATTGTATACATATATCAAAACATCGTATTGTACCCCACAAATATATATAATTATTTTTTGCTTTTTTAAATAAAATAAATTTATAGAGACCGCTGCTTCTGGAAAGATGGAAAGATGGTGTAGTTGTACATTTCCCTATTCTTCCCACTAAGTACAACTTAAAATTCTAGACACTATATATAAAACAAACATAAGGCTGGAAGTGGAGAGAAGAAAGTAGACCAACTGGGGACCTCAGAACGACATGGTGGTGAGTTCCTTGGGTTTTGTTTTTGCCTGATATATCCCAAACTTGGAGCTGAAGAAACCAGCTACTAGGGAATGCCAAAATGCACAGGCAAAACGAAACAAAACTAAACAAAACAGGTGAAGAAACAAAGAAATAAACCTACAAAAGCCTGTTCTGCCTAGCCTAAGGATCAGAAAAGAGGCAGCCAAACAAGACAGAAAATATTTTTCACAATAACTGCTCTACTCCAGTCGAACACCTCAGAAAACTCTGTGGCCCCTTCCCCACTCATGCCAGCAAAGATCTAGTGGGGAGCGTAGACTTCCACATTCATTTCCATGGGCAGAGACGAGGGCCCCTTTGCGCTATCATATCACCAGGATTATGTGGAGATCTCCAACATATACTCCCACCAGGCCATAAGGAGACACCCCTCTTTGTCCCTGCTGGGATGATGTCAGGATTTTCACCACCACTCAGTGTTAAGGATGCCACTCAATCCATGGGCTAAAGAGAAAATCTTCCAGATGTAAACTAGGAGAGCCATTATGGAAAACAGTGTGAAGGTTCCTCATAAAGTTAAAATAGAACTACCATATGACCTAGCCTCCCCACTTCTGGGACTATATTCAAAAGCTATGAAATCAGCATGTCAGAGAGATATCTGCACTCCCATCTTCACTGCATCACTATTCACAATAGCCAAGACTTACAATGAACCTAAGTGTTCATCAGCGGATTAACGAATAAAGAAAAGTGTGGTCTATATACACAATGGAATACTGTTCTGCCATGTAAAAGAAGGAAATCATGGCGTTTCCAACAACACGTGGCATTTCCATGTGTGGAAGGTGAAAAAGTCGATCTTTTAGAGGTAGCGAGTGGAATGGTGGTTACCAGAGGCTGGAGTTTGGGGGAGTGGGGGAGATGTTGACCAAAGGGTACAAACTTTCAGCTAGACAGGAGGAATAATTTCAAAAGATCTATTCTACACCGTGGTGACTATGGTTAATAACAATATGCTGTATACTTGAAATTTGCTGAGAGTAGTTTTTAGGTGTTCTCACCACACACAAAAAATGGTAAGTATGTGAGGTAATGCATATGATAATTACCTTGATTTAGCCATTTCACAGTGTATACTTATTATCAAAACATCATGTTGTACACCACAAATATATACAATTTTTATTGGCCAATTTAAATAAAAAGAATACTGAAGACTAAATCTTCCAGGACTTCAGAAAGTGAATTGAACTGAATGGAAATGATTATAAAACATGTCAACATCTGTGGTGCAAAGCTAAAGCATTGTTGAAAGGAAAATTTATGCCATTAAGTGCTTCCATTAGACAAATGGAAAATTATCAAAGCAGTAATCTATGATGTCACTACACTAAACTAGAAAAAGAGGAGCAAAAGAAGCAGAAGGAAGGAAATGTGAAAGATAGGTAAAATAATCAATGAAATGGAAACCTGAAAAATAATAGAGAAAATCAATAAATAAAAACCGAGGTCTTTAAGAAGACCAACAAAACATACAAAACTCAACAAAGACTGACAAAATAAGCCTATGATGATTCACTGCCTCTGTGCATATTTACTGAATGACTTTAATAACTATAGTTATGAAACTTTTCATATAGTTGACTTTAGGAAGCTAAGCCCTTATGTTTTCAATATGAATCATACAATGGAAAGAAGAAATAAAAGAAACATCAGACTCTTGACTTAAATCACAACAAAATTTGATTTTTGAACTAACAGCCAGATCCCTGCCTTTCACCATAGAAACTAGTTTCTGCGATGTCTTTCACAATTAACTCGATTTCCTTTCTAAGAGGTAGACATGATACCCAAATAACTGCACTATGAGTTCAATTTTTCATGCTACGAGCGTGTCTTTGCAAATTGGAAAGTTCTTGGAGACAAAATTTCCCATGATTCATGTAATGCTAAAAGTAAGGTAGTTGAAATTTTTCAGACTTTGAATCAATTATTCTTCCATACTGTTAGAAAGGTCTTGTATTACATGGACATTTGAGTGGCGACTTAGGTGAAGGCCTTCTGCGTTCTGTAAAATATTATATATGTGGTCTCATAATTTTCTATTATGCGTTATGTAACTGAAATAACAATACCTTTTTATGAGGTCTCCACCAAAAATGTGTGTGTGTGTGTGTCTGTGTGTGTGTATTCTACAAGATCCGAGCCATTTTTTAGTTGGCCAAATTAATAACCTCAGATCCTCTTAATAATTATCATAAACTGCCTTTTTTGCTATTGCTGACCAATTAATTCTAATTTCAGGCAACGAATTTTGTCAATCTGATTAGACTGTTAGAGGGAAAATTCTTATCAAATTCATCATGTATTTGCTTACATTTCTCTTAATATTGTCCAGTTTATTCTCTTTACATTTCTTTCAACAAAACGAATAAACAGCTTGTGCTCTGTCTCTGCCACAGCAAATGCAACATCGACAACAACGAGGTGGGGGAGGGGGTGAGATGAGCTTTTTTACATCAAAATGCCCATCCATAAAAGCAGAAATGAATTATAGAATTAGAGAAATCACCACTTTTTAACCAACAAAGTAATAATCAAATCGGGCAGGAGCCCTGAATGAATACTAAGGCCAAGAGGTAAAATTCTGTTGGAGAGCAGAATATCCGCATGTCATCGAAATATCCTGACAGACTACTTATTAATCACAAAGGGAGAGAAGTACCTTCCCAGTGTAGTACTCTGTCTGAAAAATACCTTAGTTAAGTGATAAAACTGATGAATACAAACAGCATCACCGATAACTAGAGAAACTGGCGTTAGGAGCCTCCAGATGTGACATAATGTGAACTGCTCATCACCTTCTTAATATTCGTACCCAAAGTGTCAAACATAAATATAAACAAGAGGCAAATATCAGGCCAGCCCGTATTGTGGGACACTTTACGAGACAACAGGCCTCGGCTCTGGAAAAAATGTCATCGTCATGGAAGGTTTAAAAAATTGTTTGGGGGTACTGTTTGCAATTAGAGGACACTAAAGAGACATGACAACTGTGTGCAGTGTACCATGCTTGACTGGATTGTTGATCCCCCAAAAAGTCTTTCAAAAGGATATTATTGGGACATTTGGTGAAATTTAAATATGAACTGTATGTGAACTTGGATAGTATTACCCCTTCATTGTTACATTTCTTCAATGTGATAATGGCACTGCGGTTTCATAGGAGTACATTCTAGTGTTTAGGAGGTGCATGCTGAAGTAACTGGGTGAAGTGTTTGGAACTGCTACGTGGTTAGGCAAGAAAAAAATTACTGAGAGATAAAGCAATGAGACAACGTGAATCTAGGCATCAGATTGTTCACTGTATTACCCCCTCAGCTTTGTGTATTTTCAAAATAAAACGTTGAGGAAAATAGATTCCTCATATTTAGAGTTACGCACTGAAATGTTTACAAATCAAATAAGATACATTAAGATATCCACGTATGATTTTTGTACTTTTTTGATTTCTGATATTTGCTTGAAAATAATCTGGAGGAGGGGGAGAGGAGAGGATATGTATGAAATGTGATTGGCCATGAGTCGTTAATGGTTGCAGTTGGGAGATGGATATTTGGAGGTTCCTTATGTTATCCTCTCTTGTGCTGTCGTTCTCAAAATGTGGTCCCCTACCAGCAGTGTTAGCATCACCAGGGAACTTGTTTGCTAAGCAAACTCGGCCGAGCCTGGTGGCTCACGCCTGTAATCCCAGCACTTTGGGAGGCCCAGGCGGGTGGATCACCTGAGGTCAGGAGTTCGAGACCAGCCTGACCAACACGGAGAAACCCCGTCTCTACTGAAAATACAAAATTAACCGGGCGTGGTGGTGAATGCCTGTAATCCCAGCTACTCGGGAGGCTGAGGCAGGAGAATATCTTGAACCCGGGTGGCGGAGTTTGCGGTGAGCCGAGATCGCGCCATTGCACTGAAACCTGGGCAACAAGAGCGAAACTCCGTCAAAAAAAAAAAAAAAAAGAAAGAAAGAAAAGAGAAAAAGCAAAGCAAAGCAAAGAGAAAAAGCAAAGCAAAGCAAAGCAAAGCAAAGCAAAGCAAAGCAAAGCAAAGCAAAGCAAAGCAAAGCAAACTCTGGGTCCCACCCCAGATCTTGTCGTCTGAGAATACAGATACGGAGCTCAGAAATCTTTGTTTTATCAAGCCCTCTGGGTGATTCTGATGCAAGCTAGTGTTTTAGGACCACTGCTCTAATGTACCATACACAAAAAAATTAATACACCATAGCTAAGTTACATTTACTATGGGAGAGGAAAGCTGGTTTGACATTAGCAAAGCTGTAACTGGAAGGGGACCCGAGAGAGGTTTGTGTGTTGCTCATATATTTTGTTGCCTGTTCTAGATACTAATTGCATGCGTATATTTAATTTTTGAAAACTCATTAAGAGGCCTGGCTTGGTGGCTCACACCTGTAATCCCAGCACTTTTGTCGGGCGGACTGCTTGGGCCCAGGAGTTCACGATAGCCTGGGCAACATGGAGAAACCCCGTCTCTACAAAATATACGAAAATTAGCTGGGGATGGTCGTGTGCCTGTAGTCCCAGGAGTTCACGATAGCCTGGGCAACATGGAGAAACCCCGTCTCTACAAAATATACGAAAATTAGCTGGGGATGGTCGTGTGCCTGTAGTCCCAGGTACTTGAGAGGCTGAGGCAGGAGGATTGCTTGAGCCCAGGAGGTGGAGGTTGCAGTGAGCCAAGATCACGACACTGCACTTCAGCAGCCTGGGTGACAGAGTGAGGGGCTGCTTTTTTGTTTCTTCTTTGTTTACAAATCAAATAAAGAAAGCAGCCCAAGGAAGGAAGGAAGGAAGGAAGGAAGGAAGGGTGGGAGGGAGGGAAGGAGGGAGGGAGGAAGGAAGGAAGGAGAAAGAGAAAGAGAGAGAGAAAGGGAGAAAGAAAGGGTAAGAAAGAAAGAAAGAAAGGAAAAGAAAGAAAGAGATAGAAAACTGATTAAGATATACATTTATGATTTTTTAACCTTTTGGATTATAAGTTAAACTTGGCTGAAGGTTTTGGAAAAAACCTGGGAAGTTACCTAGGCTGGGTATTCTAGAGATAATGGATTCTCCCATAACTGATCCATAGATTCAGTGAAAATGCAGTCCAAATCTGTTACAACCGAGTTTTTGGGAAACTTGAAATTGCATGCTAATTTATGCAGAAGGACAAAAGGCCTAAGACATTCGGGGGTGGAGGTGGTGTGGTGTAGGGAGAGAGGAAGAAGAAAGGAAGGAAGGAAGGAGGAAAGGAAAGAACGGAAAGGAAAGGAAGGGAAGGGAAGGGAAGGGAAGGGAAGGGAAAGGAAAGCAAAGAAAAGGAAACGAAAAGTTAAGGAAAACACAAGGAAACAATATTAATATGGAAATGCTGGCAGCATTCCTTTTAAAATCCGGAACAACCCAAAGAAGCCCAATTTTGCTGTCGCTATTAGATCTGGTACTAAATTTCCTAGCCAGCGCTGTTAAAAAACAAACAGCCAACCAACCAAAAAAAAAAAAAAAAAAAAAAACAAACAAAAAACCCCCATAACTTCAATTCTATTTCTACTATGCATAAACTCACAGATAATCCCAGAACGCCTACTATAGAGTTTAGCATGTTGACAGACTTTAAGATCAAGTCACGTTTTTAAAAGTTAAAGGCATTTCTGTAAATTCGATCCAAATAGAAATTGTCCTTTTAAACAGACATCAAGTACAAGAACAGCAACAATCTACAGTATCTTGGAATAAATACAATAAATGATGTGCAAGATCTAAATATACAAAAGATGAAACTAAAAACTGAACTGAAAGATTAAAACATTAAGGACGCACATAAGTGGAGACATCCCAAGTTGGTGAACAGGAAGGCTGAGTATTCTACAGATAGTAGATTCTCCCCCTAACTGATCCATAGATTCAGTGAAAATGCAATCCAAAGCTGTTACGACTGAGTCTGGGGAGACTTGACATTGCATACTAATTCGTGCGGAAGGACAAGAAGGCAAAGAATGGCAAAGAATAGCAAAGATGTGTTTGGAGATGATGAACACCATGCAGGGACTTGCCCTAGCAGATGTCAAGATGTATTGCGAAGTGAAAAAATTTAAGACAATTTAGTAGTGGTACAGGAATAGACACATTTATCTGTGGAACATAACAGGGAGTTCATAAACAGAGACACACAAATATGGACGAAAGTGTCTCCAAGCATTGTTCCCTGGGGGTTGCAAAGTCACCACTGATTGGGAATCCGCGGCATGGAAATATGGATGGATCTTTAATCACATGCTGAATTTTTAAAAGGTAAATTACAAAATACCAAGTACATGAGTTATAAATGCATGCACACCAAATATTTCACACCCAAAGGGAGACTAATCTGGGAAACAAGCCCTGGGGAGCATAAAGCTCAACGATCACTTCACGATTTCTTGACTGACCTAGTACAGGGAGCGGGAGAAGCTACGGGGAGGTGATGGGGGCGTGGCCTCAGAACGTGAGCGTCAAGAGATCTCGAGGTTCATTGGTCGCCAGCCACAGCGGCGGGAGGTCGAAGGCAGCGCAAGAGCTCATTGGCCTTTGTGGCAAGAGCGGGAAGGGAAGCAGAAGCTGGATCTTCCCTCAGACCGTCTGACTGGTTCTGACTTGCCGGAGGCTGAGGCAACCACAGGCTGACATCAGAATTAGGTCCTCGTTCTCCACGCCTCTTATTTCCTCCCACCCTCCTGAGCCAGATTCCCAACCCCTTCCCCTCTCTGCTACCTCAGCAGGGAACCCCCAACTGCTCCTGATGTCCCATCGCGCCCTCAGCTCTCCCGGAATCCCTTTCGGGAGGACTCCTTGCTCCAGCCCCCTGAGCCCTGGCCTTTGGCCAATGAGGCAGGGCTCATGGGATTGCTTTTGATTCGGAGGTCCGGGAGGGAGTGGATGATTGGGCTTCCTGAGGAAGTGGTGCGCTCCAGGGTGGTGGGACTGCGTGTGTGGGGTGGGGTGGGGGTGGGGGGAAATGGTGTGCTCAAGCACAATTGTTGAAGTGTGGAGAGGATTATGGAAGATTTTGGGGAGGCTGTGGAGGGAATGTGTGGGTTTTCATGAAAGCAGAAAAGGTGTGTGAGTCCAAGAGAAACACTACTGCACTGAGGAGTTCCCTACTGGCTAGATCAGAACCTGACACTTCATAGGAGGCTCAACAGGTACCTGCTGAATGAAGAATCAAGGGAATCGGCCGGGCCCGGTGGCTCACGCCTGTAATCCCAGCACCTTGGGAGGCCGAGGCAGGTGGATCAGCCTGGCCAACATGTGAAACCCCGTCTCTATTAAAAAATACAAAAAATGGCGGGGCGCGGTGGCTCACGCCTGTAATCCCAGCACTTTGGGAGGCCGAGGCGGGCGGATCACGAGGTCAGGAGATCGAGACCATCCTGGCTAACACGGCGAAACCCCGTCTCTACTAAAAGTACAAAAAAATTAGCCGGGCGTGATGGCGGGCGCCTGTAGTCCCAGCTACGCGGGAGGCTGAGGCAGGAGAATGGCGTGAACCCGGGAGGCGGAGCTTGCAGTGAGCCGAGATTGCGCCACTGCACTCCCGCCTGGGCGACAGAGCGAGACTCCGTCTAAAAAAAAAAAAAATACAAAAAATTAGCCAGGCGTGGTGGCAGGCACCTGTAATCCCAGCTACTCGGGAGGATGAGGCAGGAGAATCACTTGAACCCGGGAGGCAGAGGTTGCAGTGAGCCGAGATCACACCATTGCCCTCCAGCCTGGGTAACGAGTGAAACTCCGTCTCAAAAAAAAAAAAAAAAAAAAAGGCCGGGGGGGATGCATGAAGGGATGAATGAAATTAGTAACTGAAAGAGGGCCAGGGATCCAGGAGAACAATATGATTTCATGGGATACAAGAGGGAAATCAGCTCAAAGGGGGAGCAAGGGAATAATTAAGTGTAAGGTGGAGTACAAGAAAAAAATCAGCATGAACCAGCATGAAATGTGAGGGGAAAATTGAATATAGGGCATAGAAGAGACTGACAATGGAATTGAGTGCTGGTGGCACAAAATCCTGTGCGGGGAGTGAATGAATGCAGGAGGTTCTGAAGAGAATTGGTGAAGTGGATGCCAGGAATAATACTTGGGTTTGGCAGAGTGCAGGATGATACACAAGAAGGGCGTGTAGTAATGGTGGAAGAGGGCAGGGGAGTGCATGTGCATGCCTGAAAGTGGGGTCTATGGTGAAGTGACGGTAAGCAAGGAGAATAATGACTGCATTGAATGGGTATGGGATCCATTCCAAGAGTTTCTTGGGAGGGGGCTATGTGTGAGTGGGGCTTCTGGGAAGGAGGCAACATCAGCAAGGGGGTTGCAGTGAAGGTTGGCGAAAACCATGGGAGAAGAAGGGGAGGGAAGGCAATCTGATTCCAGCGGTGAGAAGGATGGAGAAGGAGCATTGAGCCACCTCAGATAGGGTTTTCCAAGGGCAGAGGAAGTACGTTGGGGGTAGGGGATCACGTGGCCATTCTGACCTCCGCTCCTGACCCTAGAAGCATGGATCCCGTGTGTCTGAACCTCCATTTCCCTATGGATGTACTGAGGACAAATAAATACCCGCTGCACCCTGCTGCCCCTCTGACTCTGAATGCACCACAGGGCGTCAGACTGGAGCCCCATGGGGGACTGAACTTGGCCCCAGAAGAGCTATAGGTTGCTGTGACCGCTGCCACAACCATTTGGGTATCACTGCCCAAATCAGGGGCCACAAGCATTTCTGCCTCTTCCAGGCCTGCGAGTGTCACAATTGTGCCCTCTTCTCATGAGTATGGTGTCTGAGATGCGGAGGGGCCAGACCTCCTCTAAATGGGACTAATCTTAGCCCTGCTATCCTTTGCTTCAGAGAACGCCTCAGGGTCTTGCCTGCTGTGAGTGCCTTGAAGAGGGAGCAGCGGGCACGATCAAAGAGACACCTGGCTCAAGGACCAATAAGGAGTATGGCTGCCCCTCCCAAAGCTCCCATCCGTGTCAGGAATTTGACCATCAGAGCAGGAGCCCTCAGTGAGTGTTTCTGGCAAGGGAGGGAGCCAGAGTTTGGGTGGAGGAAGCATGAGTGGTTCTGTCACCAGTCCTGTCACAGAATTGCAGTGCGACCTGGGGCAAATTGCTCCCTGGACCTTAGTGTGCCCAGGTGCAAAATGTCACCAATGTTGTCTACCAAGTGTTTGTAGGAAGGAGAGAGCTGGGGGACAGGGCAATCGAAGAGCTCCATGGTGAGATGAGACCTGCGACTGGAGGTGGGGTGAAGTGGGGTGGGGTTGGGGGAAAGACTCACCAAAGCTGTTCCTGGTCTTTCACAGCTGGGAAGGAGAACAACATGCTGCAGCCCGAGACCCACATCTTCACAGCCCCCGAGGAGGTAAGGAGAGTCGGTGACCAGTCGGGCAGGCTCCCACCCAGCCACTGTCCAGACATCTTTCACCGTGTCCCAAGGACATGGGTTTCATCTCCAATCCTATCACCAGCTCACCATGTGACCTTGGGAAATATCACTTCTCCTCCCTGGGCCTCAATTTCCCCAGTTGCAAAATGAAAGGCAAGACTGGCTGGTCTTCAAGGTCTTCGGAGCTCTGACATTCTAGGCTCCTATCCTCATCCTAAAACATGTCCACACCTCCTCTCTCCATGGCTGGCCTGGTACCTGACTGCAACCTGTGCTCTCTGCCCCTGCAGGGGAGCTCCCAAGGGGCTCTGCTGCTTGGCCAGGCCCCAGAACCTTTGTCTCTGCCCTGTACTCCAGTGACCTTGGAGCAGCAACTGGTTTCTCCTTCTGGGGATCCCCACAGGGCCCCTGCCCTGCCCAGCATGTGAGTAGCGTGAGGACCATGGAGCAGGTTGTGTCTTGTGTGCCTAACCTTGTCCTTGATGCCGTGGGAGATGGAGGAGGAAGAGGGGGAGGAGGAGGAGGAGGTGGTGGAGGGGGAGGAGGAGCAGGAGGAGGAGGAGGAGGAGGAGGAGGGAGAGGAGGAGGAGGAGAAGAAGGAGGAGGGCAAGGCAGCATCTAATACTAACGGGCGAGGACAGGGCTCTCCTAGCTTTGCTATTTTCTATTTGTGAGACTTTGGACAAGTGACTTTATGTGTCTGAACCTCCATTTCCCTATGGATGTACTGAGGACAATATTCTATACCCATAGCATTGAAAAGGGAACGGGCACAAGGCCTGCCACATAGTAGGGCTTCAACAAATGGGGGTTGTTATGCCACATGAAACAGGTGGATGGGATAGAAGGTCCTGCTGAAAGGTGGGGTCCGTGCTGGCGAGGGCCACAGAGGCCCAGGGCAAAGCCCAGAGGCCATTAGAGAAAGCTTCCTGGAGACCCTTCAAGACCCATGGGGACTGGGCAATATGGAAGTGAGAACCAGTCCCTGAAGAGGGACAGTAATCACATCTCTCCAGGTGTTTTGCAAATTAAAGCACGGACACCTGTAATTTCCCATGATTTTCACCATTGCCCTGGGAGGAAAGAGCTGGTAGGAATAAGCGTCCCTGTCAGGAAAAAGAGGTATGGAAAAGAAACCTGGCCAAGCAGGAGAAGGGACTTGCCCCAGCCACAATGACTAATGGTCCAGCAGGCATTGGGATTCTCACATCCAGATACTGCAAAATCCTGCCCCTCTTTCTGTCTACTGGTAGTATGTGTCCGCCAGCG
The DNA here is from genome assembly GCF_000001405.40 of Homo sapiens. Taxonomy (NCBI): domain Eukaryota; kingdom Metazoa; phylum Chordata; class Mammalia; order Primates; family Hominidae; genus Homo; species Homo sapiens. The sequence continues at coordinate 72,873,979 of NC_000023.11, read as the reverse complement.
GATTTAATCCCCTGGCCTCTCCTTTCCTTGTTTCTAGATGCTCAACTCTGATCCTCCAGCCCTGTGCCACCCTTGACCCTCTTCTACTGCAGCCACAGGTCCTGGGAAAGTAGTGGGGTCCAGAACCCTGGGAGGGGCGGAGTTTAGTGGATGGGAAGAGCAGAAGGCCTTGGTGGGGGTGGGGGAGGAGGTTGAGGGAACAGGGGGCTGAAGGGGCACTTGTCGTATTGGGAAGAGGTGTAGTTTCCCAGTGCCTATTCTCTCATGCACTTTCCTTTCCAGGTCCCCAAAGTCTCTGACCAGGCTTTGGTTTCTGCCCACTCAGAGTGGCAGCGGAAGCTGGAGGCCGCTGAGGCTCTGCTGACTCTGAGAAACTCTGCCCAGGCCCCTCCTGACTCCATCTCCCTGCACCAGCCTTGCAACCCACCAGGTAGCCTGCTCCCTGAAAGGAGAATACAGGGTGGGAATAGCTGGGGAATGGGGGTCGTTGTGGTAAGCAGGTTCTAACTGAAAAATCAGAGTCAGTAAGTTGAATCTCCTTGGGGCCAGGCACCCAAGCTCCTCAGTATGACTCCCGAGATGGTAGTTGAGGGCTGTTTATTGAATCTTCGGTTTATTGAGCTTTGTGTGCAACAGCAAGCGTTCAGTGCCCTGATGTCAAGAAAGAAGGAAGCTGAGGCCCTGAGAGTGGCAGGGACTTGCCCTCTCTGATATGCATGCAGCATATCAAGTGGAAGAACCGGCCCTCTTGACTTTCAGCCCAGGGTCTATGCTCAGCCGCCTGTGGCCTACTGTGGTCTGGGGAGGACATACAGAGGTGATAAAGGGCTTGGTCTGGAAGGAGGTCTGGTCTCTGCCTTCCGGGAGCTTCCAGTCTAGATGTGGAGCCTGGATGCCCTTGCAAGCTGTGTTTTGTGGCCAAATTTTAACGATGTGCCCAGAGAGGAGGGGCTGGAGGAGCTCCGAGGGGGGATAAACAACTGGGGAGGCTGGGAGGGAAGGCTAGGCATTCCCAGATCCAAATGGTGAATGGAGCATGGTGTGTCAGTGAAGAAACACCCCTGGAGGGACTGCTGGAACAGAAAGGGATGAGGCTGGAGAGGATACCAATCACAGAGGTCTGACAGGTCAGGCTTAGGAGGCTGGACCAGCAACTGTGGGTAGTGAGGAGCCAGGGAACGTTTTCTGAGCTAGGGAGAACAATTTCAGAGACCCTGAGCTTGACAAAAAGAGTTGTGGTGGCTTTGATGGAAGGATTGGGGGAGGCAAGATGGGAGATGGGGAAATCAGAGAGGAAGAGGTCTATGCAACAGTCCAGGTGACAAATCTTTGGTTGGGCGGGACGCATAAAAAGAGTAGATCTGGAAGGGGATGTGGATGTGACCTGGCTCTGGCCCCTTCCTTTCTGTCCACAGCTCCTGCTGGAGATAAAGGATTCCAGCCTCCCAGCCCCTCTCTCCGCCCCAGGCCAGCCAGCTCCATCTCGCTGCCTATTGGACATCTGGGATGCATCTCCCTCTTGAGCTAGGAACCCAGAGGAGGAGGCCTCAATAGAGCACTGCCTATTTGGTATCCAGTTTCTGAATGTGCAAAATGGTTAACGTCCAAAACGCTTAACGTCTTTTTTTAAAGCCTTCAGGTGTTTTATAAGCTTTTTATTATATGGGGCAACTCCTTGGCTGAGGGTGGATATTCTTGTACCTCTGTCCCTTACTCTTTTGGATGCTGGGGCCTTTTTCTGTCTCATAAAGACAGGATTGTGCAATCTAAGTTGATCAGTCTCTCAGTGGGGTTCTGTGTGAGTTCATATGCCAGAGTTTTTATTCGTCTTGTGATTGCTGACATACCTGTGCACTCATGTGTATACCCCTGCATGTGGAAACATGAAGATGTTTTCACTTTGTGTCTAGGTTTATGTACGTGAACAAATAATAAACCGTTGTTGTTATAAGGCACTGTGATATACGGGTTGTTTGTTACCACAGTATAACCCAGACTATCGCGACTCTAACCGATTTGTTCAATTCATGTTTCAAAGTGAGAATCACCTTATCCAATAACTGGGATTTCCTAACATGGCTAGATAAGAAAATGGTAGAGGAAAAAGAGTAGGGTATGTATTCATTGAGCAAGGAAGTACCTACCCTCTGCCTGGCATAGACTGTTTCCAGTTGCCCAGAGGGCCGTAAGTGGCAATGCCTGTAGGATCAAGCAGATCATGTAAATGAGTAGAGCAGGCCCGATGGCCTCTGGCCAAACTGACAGTGTATGCTCTGCGTAAGTGGGCAGCTGCTGCTTGGCTCCAGGCAATTGTTGCCATGCAGGGATAGCGACTCATGGTGGCCAAATTGACTGTTTTTTCAAGAGAAGATGGAATTCTAGATTTCTACATAAAATCACTCAACTTTAAACGTTGGCTCGGGTTTCTTCTTTAAGCCCTATATCTGGGCCAAACCAAACTTCCTTGAAGGACAGTTTTGGCCAAGGGAAATGCCAGTTTTGTTCTAGACCAATGTGAATTTTACAGTGGGGGAAACTGAGGCCAATCAGGACAAGAAGAATCAAACAGGAGAAATGAGTTAGACTCAGACCCTGTTTTTGAAGGACCCATGAAATATGAGGAAGCATCACTACCTTTTATTTATTCTGTGCACACCGCACTAAGCACATACAGCCTCACGGCAACTTTGCAAGCTGAGCATTATTATTGCCATTTTGCCTATGAGGAAACACACTCAAAGAATGAAAGTGACTTGCAGAAGTGGTTTGGGGGAAATTTTAAGCCAAAGATCAGCGAACACTCCCTTGTCTTTATCAGGCCCTAAATCAGCGAATAATTCGATTTTTAAATAAAGCATTGAATAAAAGGTTCAAAACTCAAAGCAACAAACATCAGTCAGAGGGTTTTTCCAAAATAGTCCCTTTATTTCTTACTCAAGGTAACAACAATATGTAGTAATCGATCAGATCTTTCTTACCTGCACTGGTTTCCCAGTCCTCTGCTGATATTCTAAACAAATGAAGACCTGGAGACCCCCCACCAGGCAGAAAGAAAGCTCAATTGGACATGCCTGGATATGGGCCCTTTTCCATGCTATTATCTCCCTCCTTTCTTCCCTCCCAGTACTTTACCCAAGACAATTGATTCGGATGACATCCAATTACAACTTGTCCTTTCTTTTTTGAGACCCCGAGAAGTCAGGATTCTTATATTCTTGATCTGATGGCAGAGAAACAAACGTGCAAAGTCACTCAGACTCGGAGCAAGACTAGACTGAAGTCCAGCTCACACCTTCCTTCTTCCCTGATTTGTTACTCGAACAAATGATCCCAAAGCCCCTCCTTTCCTAGTGATGGATGAACAAGTCCACATATTTCTGGAGGAATGAAGCGGTAGTACCTGGAAGAGGACTAAGATCCTGCTATGAAATCGTGTCCTAGGCACACCACAGTCCCACAGTTGACTTGGGTGAAAGAGGAGGCATATTTTGGTTAAAGGATGTGGCATGAGAAGAGGGAGGAAAAACAGAAATAAAGTGATGGGCATTGGGGGAAGCAGTGAGGCCCTTTTCCCTGTCCCCTTTTATTTTCCTGATGCCCCCCTCCCCCCATACACACACACACTTTTTCTAAAGTCTCATAATGGTGTATTTTTGGCATCTTAGGACATCTTTGTGAATGTTAAATATCAAACCTTTTTCGTGTACTTCCCTTAGCCGTGTACTACCCCTGTTCATAGATTTAAAACATGGCTGTGTAGAGCACTGTGAGTTATGTCTTGACTCGTGTATGTCACATAACAGCATTGGTTAGATCTGAGCATACCCATCACATCAGAGCTTCTGTAGAGTGGATCAATTTCAACCATTAGTGTGCAGGTACAGGTTTAGCAACTGGCTCTCAGGGGAAAGGAAGGTTGGGGGAAATGCCCTGGGTTGTTGCATTTGCCGAATGCAAGATATCAAAGTGATGTCAGTGAACGCAGAGTTGGGAAGAGATGTATTTTTACCATTCGGATACCATAAATGTAAATAACCACAAGAACACAGATAACAGTACAACGTAGAAAAATAATTAGGGATTGATATTTTTTAGCATATATTATGTTTGTTTTCAATATAATTGATGTGATTGTTAGTTTATATAATGTAGTTTTTAATAATGGCTGTATTTAACAACTGGCTCACAAAATTCTTGAAAATCTTATGGTTGGCTCTTATGTTCTGGTAAGAGCCAGCTCCAGCACTCCGCCACTTTCAACCCTTGCCCAGAAAGACAGCTTTTCCAAAGTAGGTTCCGCTAACACTGCAGGGCCATAAAGGGCTGCTACTGCTGGTTTCTGATCAAGAACAGCCTAAAATGTATGGGAAAGTATTATTTTTAAATTAAAAAATGGAAAGACCTGGGACAAATATTGAGCGGAATAAACAGTCAAAACCATTTATGTGGGAATGCGCATTCTTGGAGGGGGCCAAAGTCGGGTAGAGGTGAGTGGTAGGGATCTCAGAATTGGCAAAACCCATCCATACACGGTTATATTCAACAGATTTCTCTTTTCTTTTTTGTCAACAGATTTCTTAAAGGCTAGAGAAATGGGGGCAACCGGTATTACCTGGCCATTGGACCTGTATCTCTCTTTAGAGAGACTGACATTCATTACACTCTCGCCTCCTGCTTAGATAAATGCTGCATAAGCTGTTAATACATAAACTTCTCCACCTCGCCTTTTTTAAAAACTTAAAAACACATCCTTGAGGCTACCTGATCGCCAAGCTGAGAACAGTGTTATTTCAGTGAATGGATGTACTGACCACACTATTATGCATCTTGTGAAGCATTTAAAGTCACACATATAAGAAAAATTTCTATAAATGCCACTTGTTCCCCACGTTGAGAACTGTGTTATTTCAGTGAGTAGATGTGTTAGCTACAATGTAATGCATGTACTGAAGTGGTTAAAGACACATGAATAAACAAAGTTACTAAAAGTGAAAAAAGAGAAATCCTTGAGGCCGGCGTGGTGGCTCACGCCTGTAATCCCAACATTTTGGGAGGCCGAGGCAGGTGGATCACTTGAGGTCAGGAGTTTGGGACCAGTCTGGCCAACATGGTAAAACCCCGTCTCTACTAAAAATACAAAAATTAGTCAGGCGTGGTAGTGGGTGCCTGTAATCCCAGCTACTCAGGAGGCTGAGGCAGGAGAATTGTTTGAACCCGGGAGGCAGAGGCCGCAGCGAACTAAGATCGCGTCACTGCTCTCCAGCCTGGGCGACAGAGCGAGACTCCACCTCAGAAAAAAAAAAGATATCCTTGAGATCACTCCACAGTCCTCCCTGCAGACATCCCTCACTCCTCACGACAACTAGAGGGTACTCCATTGTGTGGACCTACCATAGTGTGGTCAACTGGTCTTCTATTGATGGACACTCTGGTTGTTTCTATTCTTGCTATTATTTTATTTTATTTTTTCTTTTAGTAGAAACGGGGTTTCACCATGCTAGCCAGGCTGGTCTCGAACTCCTGACCTCAGGTGATCCACCTGCCTCGGCCTCCCAAAGTGCTGGGATTACAGGCGTGAGCCACCGCACCTGGCTCTCGCTATTATTTTAAATATGGCTGCAATGGATAGGCTCCTGACATAATCTTTAGCAATTTTTATATCACTACATCTTTGGGATTGATCCCTAGATGTACCATTGCTGCTTAAAAGGTGAAAACACAAGGTATCTTGCTCATTACTGTCAAATACCTCTTCAAGAAGGATGGACCATTTGCCTTTTCCCCATCAATATCGGAGAAAGAAAGTTTTCCCAGCATCTCACCAGTAGTATTGCCAGATTTTTGAATTTGCCCATCTGATAGGAGATAAATGATATATTAGTGCATACATTAGCTTGCGTTTCCCTTCACATGTGCAAGGCTGCACATCTTTTCCATACGGTTAAGAGAAATTCCTGTTTTCTTTATTCTTATGTACTTTTAGTTTATAGTTTTGGCCCAGTTAGTATAGGGGCCTTGGCATTTTCTCCTTTCCAAGAAAAGTTCTTTACGTCTTAGGGATATATTAGGACATTTACCTTTCCTTCTGATATAAGTCGTAAATCATTTTTCCTCTTTGTCATGTATCTTTTTACCTCATTGATGGTGTTTTGTTTCATTGTTTGCCATGCAAAAGCATTTTATGTTTCCTTAATAAACTTTATCAATATTTTGCCTTATATCTTTTGGGTTTTTAGTCATAGCTAGGAAAGATTTCCCACTCTAAATATAGAGAAGATTGTCTCCTGTCACACTGTAAACTCTGGTCCACTTGAAATGTATCCTCGTGTATGGTGTGAGGAAGAGATCCAGTTTTTCCAATACCACTTGTTAAAAAGTTCCCCCATGGGAGTGATATCAGCATGACAGCAGTCAAGAAAGCTACAGTCCCTCCTTCCCTGATAGAGACATTAACTTAACAACATTATATAAACCTAAATACCTCTGTGAGAATTGTAGAGATCACTGGACAAGCTACAGCACATTGGCCCTTGTAAAACCAAGAGGGGATTCCAGTGACAGGGGTAGGAAAATTCCCAGCATTCAGCATCCCCCTTGTGCCCCTCCCTCTACATGGTGTAGTGTGGAACACTAGGAAAAAAAAAATCACGAATTCTGGGCCCCTCCCTTGGGATAAAAACAAGAGAGTGGACCATGCATACAACGTTCTGGCTTGTTTGGGGGCTATTTGAGGGACTGGTTTCTGTCTTGCCTGACTTGGAAGGCTGAAGCAACCTGAGATAGAGTCTGGAAGCTCCTGAAAACGAAAGTGCACAGCAGGTAAGAGCTGCAGTTATGTAGGTAGATGCCAGGGGCAACAAGACATTACAAAAGGTTTGAGAGGTCCTAGAACCTCCAGCCAATTGGCGAAGGTCTTCCTATGCACCAAGCTGGTATGCAAAGACTGGGAGAGGTGATTGTTTCTTCAAATGCCCAAATCCGAACAAAAGATTTCAAGACATACAAATCAACTGGGGAAGATGGCCCAGTCACTGGAGCAAAACAACACTCCAGGAGCCAGCCCTAAATAAATGTAGACCTAAGAGCTGCCTGACAAAGAATTTAAAGTAATTGTCATAAAGATGTTCAATGAGCTAAAATAGAACACAGAGAGACAACTAAATGAAATCGGGAAAATGAAGCATGAACGAAATGAGAATATTGACAAAGAAATTAACACTATAACAAAGAACCACGCAGATTCTAGAGATGAAAAAATAATACAATAACTTAACTGCAAAATTCACTGGAGGTGTTCAATAGACCACTTGATAAGGCAGAAGAATTATCAAGCTTGGAGGCAGGTCATTTAAAATCATCATGTCAGAGGAGCAAAAGAATAAAAGAATGAAGAAAAGTGAAGATAGACTAGGGGACTTTTGGGACACCATCAAGTGAACTAGTATATGCATTATGGTAATCTCAGTAGGAGAAGACAGAAAGAGAGAGAGCTGATTTGAAGAAGTAATGGCTGAAAACTTCCTAAATCTGCGGAAAAAAAAAAATTGACACAAAGATCCAAGAAGCTCAAAAAATCCCACCAAGGTTAAATCCAAAGAGAACCACACATTATACTCAAACTGCCTAAAGACAAAGACAAAGAGAGAATCTCAACAGCAGCAAGAGACATTTGGTCACATACAAGGCTACTTTCATAATGTTATAAATGGATTTCTGAGAAGAAACTTTGCAGACCAGAAGCAAGTAGGATGATATAATCAAAGTGTTGATATTAAAAAAAGAAGAAGAAAGAAAGAAAGAAGGAAGGAAGGAAAAAAAGGAAGGAAGGAAGAAAGGAAGGAGGGAAGGAAAAAGAAAGAAAGAAAGAAAAAGAAAGAAAGGAAGAAGGAAGGAAGGAAGGAAAAGAAAGAAAGAGAGAGAGAAAGAAAAGAAAGAAAGAAAGAAAGAAAGAAAGAAAGAAAGAAAGAAAGAAAGAAAGAAGGAAGGAAAGAAAAGAAAGGGAAAGAAAAGAAAACTGCCGACCCAGCTGTGCTGATGCACAACATTGAATTCTCCTTAAGCTCTGTAAGTCGTGGCAGGCTTCATCAGTGCAATGTTCACAGGGTAAGTCTTAAACTTTATAGAGGATGGCAGGTATATCAGTTATTTCTGATGTAAAAACATTCGTGTTTCTGACTTTGAATTGAGAGCTTTTAGGGGGAGCATAATGGCTAGTGTTGTCACTATCAAAAATCTAAAAAGAAAAACTGAGATCTTTTTAATCTTGGTTACAGCACTCATGGCATGAACCTTACTCCACATGGGTGTCTTTGTTTGGTGGTGTTTTTTTTGTTTTTTGTTTTTTGTTTTTCTTTCTTTTTTTTTCTTTTTCTTTTTTTTTGTTTTTGCGCTTCTGAGGCTGGATATGTATGTCTAGCTGAAGATTTGATGTGGTTCCTCCTTAAGCTGTGTGTCCTGTTAACAATAGGTACTGTACCGGGCTCCATGTGTCACTGGGGGTAGGACCTATATTTTTAATACTGTTCCTAACATTTCATTTTCTAGCGAGAAATCTTTGATTTCATTTTATTTTTTGTAATTCTAGACACTAGATTGTAGTTTAGCCATAACCGACGTTTTTAAAAAAGGGATATATTTTCTTGCACAGTTGTTCGAAAAAGAGACAAGTTTCAGTCCTCAGTGCTGTCTTTTGTTTTACAGGTACAAGTTTTCTAGCTCAGACAACTACCAAAAACTGTAGACTATTCGCGAGGTATTAACTCACAGACCCGCTGGGGGCAGGGGCTGTTTTCTAAGTTGTAGGCAGAGGGGGATTGGGATGGTACAGTATGCACAAACAGGTACTGAGCTGACAGACTGGAATTTTCTGTACTAAAATGTTACTTTGTATCAAAAGTTAAACAGACTTTAGTACAACAAATAAAGGTCAATTTCTGTAAAGAAAAAAAGAAAGAAAACTGTCAACCCGGAACACCGATTCTGGCAAAACAGTTCTTTAAAAGTGAAGGAGAAATTATGACATTCCCAGATAAACCAAAGCTAAGGGAGTCATTACCGCTAGACATGCTCCGTAGGAGATGCTAAAGGGAGTCCTTCAAGTTAAAAGGAAAGGGCCATAGACGGCAACATAAAGCCTTACGAAAATACGAATCTCTCCAGCCAAGGTAAATACATAGAAACACATAGTAACCTATAACACTGAAATTTTGGTGCAAGGAATTTAAATGACAAAAAAAAAAACCATAAACCATAGCTATAAATCTATGTGAATGGGTACAAAATATACAAAGATGTAATCTGTGACTCAACAACATAAATGGGGGTAGGGTGGGTATGGAGCTGCAAAGTCGTAGAGTTTTTCTATGCCATTTAAGTTCATTGTTATTAGTTTAAAATGGAGTCCTATGAATTTAATGTGTTTCATGTAATTGCTGTGGTAATGGCAAAGAACGTATCTATAGAGTATACACAAAAGAAAATGAGAAGAGATTCAAAGCATATCACTAGAAAAGTATCAATGAACCGATGTAAGGCAGTAGGCGAGGAAAGGAGGGACAAAAATAAGCTAGAGAGTGGAGCAAGATGGCAGAATAGAATCCTACACTGTTCACCGCCCCCCCGCCACCCCCAACAATTCCCGCAGGAACACCAGATTTTAACAACTATCTGCACACAGAAAAGCACAGTCACAAGGGCCAAAAATCAGGTGAGCAATCACAATGCCTGGTTTTAACTTTACACAGCTGAAAGAGGCATTGAAGAGAGGTAGAGAGACAGTCATGATTCGCGGATGCCACCCCTCCCAGCAGCGGCCATCTTCTCCTTCACTTTTAAATAACTGTTTTGCCAGAACCGTGTTCCGGGTTGGAGAGCCTGTACACTTGAGGGAGGGAGAGCCAGAGGCTGGGGGACTTCACATTGAACACAGTGCTACCCTGTCATAGCGGAGAGCAAAGCCTTGCTGGGCTCCGCCAGTGCTGGCGCATGGAGGGAGCATTTGGACCAGCCCTAGCCAGAGGGCAGTTGCCCATCCCAGCGGTCAGAACTTGAGTTTCTCGGCAAGCCTTGCCACCGCAGGACAAAGTGCTCTGGGGTCCTAGGTAAACTTGAAAGGCAGTCTAGGACACAAGGACTGCACTTCCTAGGCAACTCCTACTGCTGAGCTGGGCTCAGAGACAGAGGACTAAGGTAGAGACACAAGCCAGGGTGGCTAAGGGAGTGCTTGCCGCACCCCTCCCCAACCCCAGGCAGCACAGCTGGCAGCAATGTGAAAGTGACTTCTTCCTTCTGCTTAAGGAGAGGAAAGCAGAGAGTAAAGAGGAATCTGTCTTGCATCTTGGATACCAGCACAGCCACAGTAGGATAGGGCACTGGGCAGAGTTGTGAGGCCTCCATTCCAGGCCCTAGCTCGCAGACGTTTCTAGACACAGCCTGGGCCAAAAGGGAACACCCTGCCTTGAAGGGAAGGAACCAGTCTTGGCAGGATCTATCACCTGCTGACTAAAGAGCCCTTGGGAATTGTCTCTGTTTGCACGTGACGTGGTTGTATATTTAGAAAACCCCATCGTCTCAGCCCCAAATCTCCTTAAGCTGATAAGCAACTTCAGGAAAGTCGCAGGATACAAAATCAAAAATCACAGGCATTCCTATACATCAACAACAGACAAATAGAGAGCCAAATCATGAGTGAACTCCCATCCACAATTGCTACTAAGAGAATCAAATACCTAGGAATACAACTTACAAGGGATATGAAGGACCTCTTCAAGGAGAACTACAAACCACTGCTCAAGGAAATAAGAGAGGACACAAACACATGGAAGAACATTCCATGCTCATGGATAGGAAGAATCAGTATCGTGAAAACGGCCATACTGCCCAAAGTAATTTATAGATTCAATGCTATCCCCACTGGCTTTCTTCACAGAATTGGAAAAAAACTACTTTAAAGTTCATATGGAACCAAAAAAGAGCCCGCATTGCCAAGACAATCCTAAGCCAAAGGAACAAAGCTGGAGGCATCACGCTACCTGACTTCAAACTATACTACAAGGCTACAGTAACCAAAACAGCATGGCACTGGTACCAAAACAGAGATACAGACCAATGGAACAGAACAGAGGCCTCAGAAATAACACCACACATCTACAACCATCTCATCTTTGACAAACCTGACACAAACAAGCAATGGGGAAAGGATTCCCTATTTAATAAATGGTGTTGGGAAAACTGGCTAGCCATATGCGGAAAACTGAAACTTCCTTACACCTTATACAAAAATTAATTCAAGATGGATGAAAGGCTTAAACGTAAGACCTAAAATCATAAAAATCCTAGAAGAAAACCTAGGCAATACCATTCAGGGCATAGGCATGGGCAAAGACTTCATGTCTAAAACACCAAAAGCAATGGCAACAAAAGCCAAAATTGACAATTGGGATCTAATTAAATGAAAGAGCTTCTGCACAGCAAAATAAACTATCATCAGAGTTAACAGGCAACCTACAGAATGGGAGAAAATTTTTGCAATCTATCCATCTGACAAAGGGCTAATATCCAGGATCTACAAAGAACTTAAACAAATTTACAAGAAGAAAACAAAACTTCCCCATGAAAAAGTGGGCAAAGGATATGAACAGACACTTCTCAAAAGAAGACATTTATGCAGCCAACAACCTATGAAAACATGCTCATCATCACTGGTCATTAGAGAAATGCAAATCAAAACCACAATGAGATACTATCTCACGCCAGTTGTTAGAATGGCAATCATTAAAAAGTGAGGAAACAACAGATGCTGGAGAGGATGTGGAGAAATAGGAACGCTTTTACACTGTTGGTGGGAGTGTAAACTATTTCAACCATTGTGGAGGACAGTGTGGCGATTCCACAAGGATCTAGAACTAGAAATACCATTTGACCCAGCAATCCCATTACTGGGTATATACCCAAAGGGTTATAAATCATGCTGCTATAAAGACACACGCTGACGTATGCTTATTGTGGCACTATTCACAATAGCAAAGACTTGGAACCAACCCAAATGTCCATCAATGATAGACTGGATAAAGAAAATGTGGCACATATACACCATGGAATCCTATGCAGCCATAAGAAAAGGATGAGTTGATGTCCTTTGCAGGGACATGGATGAAGCTGGAAACCATCATTCTCAGCAAACTATCACAGGAACAGAAAACCAAACACCACATGTTCTCACTCAGAAGTGGGAGTTGAACAATGAAAACATACGGACACAGGGAGGGGAACATCACACACCAGGGCCTGTCGGCGGGTGGGGGGCTACGGGAGGGATAGCATTAGGAGAAATACCTAATGTAGGTGACAGGTTGATGGGTGCAGCAAACCACCATGGCATGTGTATACCTATGTAACAAAACTGCACGTTCTGCACACGTACCCCAGAACTTAAAGTATAATTTAAAAAAAAAATGAAAAAAGCCCTTGGGCCCTGAATAACCAGCAGCAATGCCAGGTACTATGCCACGGGCCTTGGGCTCTGAGATATGCTGACTTCAGGTGTGACCCAGCACATTCCCGGCTGTGGTGGCTATGGTGAAAGACTCCTTCTGTTTGAGAAAAGCAGAGGGGAAAATAAATGTGACTTGGTCTTGCTGTCTTAGGTACCAGCTCAGCCACACTGGGGTAGCGCACCACCAAGTTTGGGGAACGTCGGGTCCCCAAGTCCAGGCCTAGGCTCTTGGACAGCATTTCTGGACCTGCTCTGGGCCAGAGGGGAGCCCACTGCCCTAAAGGGTGAGTCCCTGTCCTGGCAGCATTCACTGCAAGCTGACTAAAGTGCCCTTGGGCTTTAAGTGAGCATCGATGGTGGCCTGGCAGAACCGAACCCCCTCCACCCCGCACGTCCATGCGCTGGTGATGGTTGCGGCCACAGGGAGAGGCTTCTCTTCCTGTGGAAAGGGGAGGGAAGAGCAGAAAGTATTTTGTCTTGTGGTTTTGGTACCAGCTTAGCCTCAGTAGAATAGGACATTAGGCAAATTCCTAAGGTTTTTGCCTCCAATCTCTGGTTCCCAGACAGTATCTCTGGACCTGCCCAGAGCCTGGGGGAACTCACCGCCCTGAAAGTAAGGACAGAAACCTGGCTTGCTTCAACACCTGCTGATCGTAGAGCCCTAGGTCCTACAGTGGACATAGGTGTTAGCCAGGTAGTGGATACAGTGGGCCTTGGGTGAGACCCAGTGCTGTGCAGCCTTCATGTCTGACACAGGGCAGTCCCAGCACGTTCTCCAGGTGCTGGAATAAGTGGAAAAGGCAACACATTGTCTGGCGGATTCTCTACCTCTCTGTGATCCTGGCCTGTCAGGGCCCTTAATAAAAGCAGGAAGCAGTGACCATTGACTAGATCTGTGAAACTCATTAAAAGTCATGTATTTCTCAGAAGGCACATCTCTAGGGATTGGTGGAGACTTTCTAAGAAATACATGGACGTGGATGAAAGTGGGGGAGGTTCCAAGATGGCCGAATAGGAACAGCTCCAGTCTACAGCTCCCAGCATGAGCGACGCAGAAGATGGGTGATTTCTGCATTTCCAACTGAGGTACCGGGTTCATCTCACTGGGGCTTTTCGGTCACCAAAAACTGCTAATATGACAAAAAAAGGTGACAATCACAGATTATAGACCTGTGATGGAAGAAGTTGACATCATTCCAATCATTGTTACTGGGAGGAGGCATGCAGGTTTGGTTAGCTTAGTGATGAAATTTGCTCACTCAGGAAACTGAGTCAGCAGGTGCAGCTTCATCTACACACTGCTTCCTGCTTTTATTAAGGGCCCTGACAGGCCAGGATCACAGAGAGGTAGAGAATCCGCCAGACAATGTGTTGCCTTTTCCACTTATTCCAGCACCTGGAGAACGTGCTGGGACTGCCCTGTGTCAGACATGAAGGCTGCACAGCACTGGGTCTCACCCAAGGCCCACTGTATCCACTACCTGGCTAACACCTATGTCCACTGTAGGACCTAGGGCTCTACGATCAGCAGGTGTTGAAGCAAGCCAGGTTTCTGTCCTTACTTTCAGGGCGGTGAGTTCCCCCAGGCTCTGGGCAGGTCCAGAGATACTGTCTGGGAACCAGAGATTGGAGGCAAAAACCTTAGGAATTTGCCTAATGTCCTATTCTACTGAGGCTAAGCTGGTACCAAAACCACAAGACAAAATACTTTCTGCTCTTCCCTCCCCTTTCCACAGGAAGAGAAGCCTCTCCCTGTGGCCGCAACCATCACCAGCGCATGGACGTGCGGGGTGGAGGGGGTTCGGTTCTGCCAGGCCACCATCGATGCTCACTTAAAGCCCAAGGGCACTTTAGTCAGCTTGCAGTGAATGCTGCCAGGACAGGGACTCACCCTTTAGGGCAGTGGGCTCCCCTCTGGCCCAGAGCAGGTCCAGAAATGCTGTCCAAGAGCCTAGGCCTGGACTTGGGGACCCGACGTTCCCCAAACTTGGTGGTGCGCTACCCCAGTGTGGCTGAGCTGGTACCTAAGACAGCAAGACCAAGTCACATTTATTTTCCCCTCTGCTTTTCTCAAACAGAAGGAGTCTTTCACCATAGCCACCACAGCCGGGAATGTGCTGGGTCACACCTGAAGTCAGCATATCTCAGAGCCCAAGGCCCGTGGCATAGTACCTGGCATTGCTGCTGGTTATTCAGGGCCCAAGGGCTTTTTTCATTTTTTTTTTAAATTATACTTTAAGTTCTGGGGTACGTGTGCAGAACGTGCAGTTTTGTTACATAGGTATACACATGCCATGGTGGTTTGCTGCACCCATCAACCTGTCACCTACATTAGGTATTTCTCCTAATGCTATCCCTCCCGTAGCCCCCCACCCGCCGACAGGCCCTGGTGTGTGATGTTCCCCTCCCTGTGTCCGTATGTTTTCATTGTTCAACTCCCACTTCTGAGTGAGAACATGTGGTGTTTGGTTTTCTGTTCCTGTGATAGTTTGCTGAGAATGATGGTTTCCAGCTTCATCCATGTCCCTGCAAAGGACATCAACTCATCCTTTTCTTATGGCTGCATAGGATTCCATGGTGTATATGTGCCACATTTTCTTTATCCAGTCTATCATTGATGGACATTTGGGTTGGTTCCAAGTCTTTGCTATTGTGAATAGTGCCACAATAAGCATACGTCAGCGTGTGTCTTTATAGCAGCATGATTTATAACCCTTTGGGTATATACCCAGTAATGGGATTGCTGGGTCAAATGGTATTTCTAGTTCTAGATCCTTGTGGAATCGCCACACTGTCCTCCACAATGGTTGAAATAGTTTACACTCCCACCAACAGTGTAAAAGCGTTCCTATTTCTCCACATCCTCTCCAGCATCTGTTGTTTCCTCACTTTTTAATGATTGCCATTCTAACAACTGGCGTGAGATAGTATCTCATTGTGGTTTTGATTTGCATTTCTCTAATGACCAGTGATGATGAGCATGTTTTCATAGGTTGTTGGCTGCATAAATGTCTTCTTTTGAGAAGTGTCTGTTCATATCCTTTGCCCACTTTTTCATGGGGAAGTTTTGTTTTCTTCTTGTAAATTTGTTTAAGTTCTTTGTAGATCCTGGATATTAGCCCTTTGTCAGATGGATAGATTGCAAAAATTTTCTCCCATTCTGTAGGTTGCCTGTTAACTCTGATGATAGTTTATTTTGCTGTGCAGAAGCTCTTTCATTTAATTAGATCCCAATTGTCAATTTTGGCTTTTGTTGCCATTGCTTTTGGTGTTTTAGACATGAAGTCTTTGCCCATGCCTATGCCCTGAATGGTATTGCCTAGGTTTTCTTCTAGGATTTTTATGATTTTAGGTCTTACGTTTAAGCCTTTCATCCATCTTGAATTAATTTTTGTATAAGGTGTAAGGAAGTTTCAGTTTTCCGCATATGGCTAGCCAGTTTTCCCAACACCATTTATTAAATAGGGAATCCTTTCCCCATTGCTTGTTTGTGTCAGGTTTGTCAAAGATGAGATGGTTGTAGATGTGTGGTGTTATTTCTGAGGCCTCTGTTCTGTTCCATTGGTCTGTATCTCTGTTTTGGTACCAGTGCCATGCTGTTTTGGTTACTGTAGCCTTGTAGTATAGTTTGAAGTCAGGTAGCGTGATGCCTCCAGCTTTGTTCCTTTGGCTTAGGATTGTCTTGGCAATGCGGGCTCTTTTTTGGTTCCATATGAACTTTAAAGTAGTTTTTTTCCAATTCTGTGAAGAAAGCCAGTGGGGATAGCATTGAATCTATAAATTACTTTGGGCAGTATGGCCGTTTTCACGATACTGATTCTTCCTATCCATGAGCATGGAATGTTCTTCCATGTGTTTGTGTCCTCTCTTATTTCCTTGAGCAGTGGTTTGTAGTTCTCCTTGAAGAGGTCCTTCATATCCCTTGTAAGTTGTATTCCTAGGTATTTGATTCTCTTAGTAGCAATTGTGGATGGGAGTTCACTCATGATTTGGCTCTCTATTTGTCTGTTGTTGATGTATAGGAATGCCTGTGATTTTTGATTTTGTATCCTGCGACTTTCCTGAAGTTGCTTATCAGCTTAAGGAGATTTGGGGCTGAGACGATGGGGTTTTCTAAATATACAACCACGTCACGTGCAAACAGAGACAATTCCCAAGGGCTCTTTAGTCAGCAGGTGATAGATCCTGCCAAGACTGGTTCCTTCCCTTCAAGGCAGGGTGTTCCCTTTTGGCCCAGGCTGTGTCTAGAAACGTCTGCGAGCTAGGGCCTGGAATGGAGGCCTCACAACTCTGCCCAGTGCCCTATCCTACTGTGGCTGTGCTGGTATCCAAGATGCAAGACAGATTCCTCTTTACTCTCTGCTTTCCTCTCCTTAAGCAGAAGGAAGAAGTCACTTTCACATTGCTGCCAGCTGTGCTGCCTGGGGTTGGGGAGGGGTGCGGCAAGCACTCCCTTAGCCACCCTGGCTTGTGTCTCTACCTTAGTCCTCTGTCTCTGAGCCCAGCTCAGCAGTAGGAGTTGCCTAGGAAGTGCAGTCCTTGTGTCCTAGACTGCCTTTCAAGTTTACCTAGGACCCCAGAGCACTTTGTCCTGCGGTGGCAAGGCTTGCCGAGAAACTCAAGTTCTGACCGCTGGGATGGGCAACTGCCCTCTGGCTAGGGCTGGTCCAAATGCTCCCTCCATGCGCCAGCACTGGCGGAGCCCAGCAAGGCTTTGCTCTCCGCTATGACAGGGTAGCACTGTGTTCAATGTGAAGTCCCCCAGCCTCTGGCTCTCCCTCCCTCAAGTGTACAGGCTCTCCAACCCGGAACACGGTTCTGGCAAAACAGTTATTTAAAAGTGAAGGAGAAGATGGCCGCTGCTGGGAGGGGTGGCATCCGCGAATCATGACTGTCTCTCTACCTCTCTTCAATGCCTCTTTCAGCTGTGTAAAGTTAAAACCAGGCATTGTGATTGCTCACCTGATTTTTGGCCCTTGTGACTGTGCTTTTCTGTGTGCAGATAGTTGTTAAAATCTGGTGTTCCTGCGGGAATTGTTGGGGGTGGCGGGGGGGCGGTGAACAGTGTAGGATTCTATTCTGCCATCTTGCTCCACTCTCTAGCTTATTTTTGTCCCTCCTTTCCTCGCCTACTGCCTTACATCGGTTCATTGATACTTTTCTAGTGATATGCTTTGAATCTCTTCTCATTTTCTTTTGTGTATACTCTATAGATACGTTCTTTGCCATTACCACAGCAATTACATGAAACACATTAAATTCATAGGACTCCATTTTAAACTAATAACAATGAACTTAAATGGCATAGAAAAACTCTACGACTTTGCAGCTCCATACCCACCCTACCCCCATTTATGTTGTTGAGTCACAGATTACATCTTTGTATATTTTGTACCCATTCACATAGATTTATAGCTATGGTTTATGGTTTTTTTTTTTGTCATTTAAATTCCTTGCACCAAAATTTCAGTGTTATAGGTTACTATGTGTTTCTATGTATTTACCTTGGCTGGAGAGATTCGTATTTTCGTAAGGCTTTATGTTGCCGTCTATGGCCCTTTCCTTTTAACTTGAAGGACTCCCTTTAGCATCTCCTACGGAGCATGTCTAGCGGTAATGACTCCCTTAGCTTTGGTTTATCTGGGAATGTCATAATTTCTCCTTCACTTTTAAAGAACTGTTTTGCCAGAATCGGTGTTCCGGGTTGACAGTTTTCTTTCTTTTTTTCTTTACAGAAATTGACCTTTATTTGTTGTACTAAAGTCTGTTTAACTTTTGATACAAAGTAACATTTTAGTACAGAAAATTCCAGTCTGTCAGCTCAGTACCTGTTTGTGCATACTGTACCATCCCAATCCCCCTCTGCCTACAACTTAGAAAACAGCCCCTGCCCCCAGCGGGTCTGTGAGTTAATACCTCGCGAATAGTCTACAGTTTTTGGTAGTTGTCTGAGCTAGAAAACTTGTACCTGTAAAACAAAAGACAGCACTGAGGACTGAAACTTGTCTCTTTTTCGAACAACTGTGCAAGAAAATATATCCCTTTTTTAAAAACGTCGGTTATGGCTAAACTACAATCTAGTGTCTAGAATTACAAAAAATAAAATGAAATCAAAGATTTCTCGCTAGAAAATGAAATGTTAGGAACAGTATTAAAAATATAGGTCCTACCCCCAGTGACACATGGAGCCCGGTACAGTACCTATTGTTAACAGGACACACAGCTTAAGGAGGAACCACATCAAATCTTCAGCTAGACATACATATCCAGCCTCAGAAGCGCAAAAACAAAAAAAAAGAAAAAGAAAAAAAAAGAAAGAAAAACAAAAAACAAAAAACAAAAAAAACACCACCAAACAAAGACACCCATGTGGAGTAAGGTTCATGCCATGAGTGCTGTAACCAAGATTAAAAAGATCTCAGTTTTTCTTTTTAGATTTTTGATAGTGACAACACTAGCCATTATGCTCCCCCTAAAAGCTCTCAATTCAAAGTCAGAAACACGAATGTTTTTACATCAGAAATAACTGATATACCTGCCATCCTCTATAAAGTTTAAGACTTACCCTGTGAACATTGCACTGATGAAGCCTGCCACGACTTACAGAGCTTAAGGAGAATTCAATGTTGTGCATCAGCACAGCTGGGTCGGCAGTTTTCTTTTCTTTCCCTTTCTTTTCTTTCCTTCCTTCTTTCTTTCTTTCTTTCTTTCTTTCTTTCTTTCTCTCTCTCTTTCTTTCTTTTCCTTCCTTCCTTCCTTCTTCCTTTCTTTCTTTTTCTTTCTTTCTTTTTCCTTCCCTCCTTCCTTTCTTCCTTCCTTCCTTTTTTTCCTTCCTTCCTTCTTTCTTTCTTTCTTCTTCTTTTTTTAATATCAACACTTTGATTATATCATCCTACTTGCTTCTGGTCTGCAAAGTTTCTTCTCAGAAATCCATTTATAACATTATGAAAGTAGCCTTGTATGTGACCAAATGTCTCTTGCTGCTGTTGAGATTCTCTCTTTGTCTTTGTCTTTAGGCAGTTTGAGTATAATGTGTGGTTCTCTTTGGATTTAACCTTGGTGGGATTTTTTGAGCTTCTTGGATCTTTGTGTCAATTTTTTTTTTTCCGCAGATTTAGGAAGTTTTCAGCCATTACTTCTTCAAATCAGCTCTCTCTCTTTCTGTCTTCTCCTACTGAGATTACCATAATGCATATACTAGTTCACTTGATGGTGTCCCAAAAGTCCCCTAGTCTATCTTCACTTTTCTTCATTCTTTTATTCTTTTGCTCCTCTGACATGATGATTTTAAATGACCTGCCTCCAAGCTTGATAATTCTTCTGCCTTATCAAGTGGTCTATTGAACACCTCCAGTGAATTTTGCAGTTAAGTTATTGTATTATTTTTTCATCTCTAGAATCTGCGTGGTTCTTTGTTATAGTGTTAATTTCTTTGTCAATATTCTCATTTCGTTCATGCTTCATTTTCCCGATTTCATTTAGTTGTCTCTCTGTGTTCTATTTTAGCTCATTGAACATCTTTATGACAATTACTTTAAATTCTTTGTCAGGCAGCTCTTAGGTCTACATTTATTTAGGGCTGGCTCCTGGAGTGTTGTTTTGCTCCAGTGACTGGGCCATCTTCCCCAGTTGATTTGTATGTCTTGAAATCTTTTGTTCGGATTTGGGCATTTGAAGAAACAATCACCTCTCCCAGTCTTTGCATACCAGCTTGGTGCATAGGAAGACCTTCGCCAATTGGCTGGAGGTTCTAGGACCTCTCAAACCTTTTGTAATGTCTTGTTGCCCCTGGCATCTACCTACATAACTGCAGCTCTTACCTGCTGTGCACTTTCGTTTTCAGGAGCTTCCAGACTCTATCTCAGGTTGCTTCAGCCTTCCAAGTCAGGCAAGACAGAAACCAGTCCCTCAAATAGCCCCCAAACAAGCCAGAACGTTGTATGCATGGTCCACTCTCTTGTTTTTATCCCAAGGGAGGGGCCCAGAATTCGTGATTTTTTTTTTCCTAGTGTTCCACACTACACCATGTAGAGGGAGGGGCACAAGGGGGATGCTGAATGCTGGGAATTTTCCTACCCCTGTCACTGGAATCCCCTCTTGGTTTTACAAGGGCCAATGTGCTGTAGCTTGTCCAGTGATCTCTACAATTCTCACAGAGGTATTTAGGTTTATATAATGTTGTTAAGTTAATGTCTCTATCAGGGAAGGAGGGACTGTAGCTTTCTTGACTGCTGTCATGCTGATATCACTCCCATGGGGGAACTTTTTAACAAGTGGTATTGGAAAAACTGGATCTCTTCCTCACACCATACACGAGGATACATTTCAAGTGGACCAGAGTTTACAGTGTGACAGGAGACAATCTGCTCTATATTTAGAGTGGGAAATCTTTCCTAGCTATGACTAAAAACCCAAAAGATATAAGGCAAAATATTGATAAAGTTTATTAAGGAAACATAAAATGCTTTTGCATGGCAAACAATGAAACAAAACACCATCAATGAGGTAAAAAGATACATGACAAAGAGGAAAAATGATTTACGACTTATATCAGAAGGAAAGGTAAATGTCCTAATATATCCCTAAGACGTAAAGAACTTTTCTTGGAAAGGAGAAAATGCCAAGGCCCCTATACTAACTGGGCCAAAACTATAAACTAAAAGTACATAAGAATAAAGAAAACAGGAATTTCTCTTAACCGTATGGAAAAGATGTGCAGCCTTGCACATGTGAAGGGAAACGCAAGCTAATGTATGCACTAATATATCATTTATCTCCTATCAGATGGGCAAATTCAAAAATCTGGCAATACTACTGGTGAGATGCTGGGAAAACTTTCTTTCTCCGATATTGATGGGGAAAAGGCAAATGGTCCATCCTTCTTGAAGAGGTATTTGACAGTAATGAGCAAGATACCTTGTGTTTTCACCTTTTAAGCAGCAATGGTACATCTAGGGATCAATCCCAAAGATGTAGTGATATAAAAATTGCTAAAGATTATGTCAGGAGCCTATCCATTGCAGCCATATTTAAAATAATAGCGAGAGCCAGGTGCGGTGGCTCACGCCTGTAATCCCAGCACTTTGGGAGGCCGAGGCAGGTGGATCACCTGAGGTCAGGAGTTCGAGACCAGCCTGGCTAGCATGGTGAAACCCCGTTTCTACTAAAAGAAAAAATAAAATAAAATAATAGCAAGAATAGAAACAACCAGAGTGTCCATCAATAGAAGACCAGTTGACCACACTATGGTAGGTCCACACAATGGAGTACCCTCTAGTTGTCGTGAGGAGTGAGGGATGTCTGCAGGGAGGACTGTGGAGTGATCTCAAGGATATCTTTTTTTTTTCTGAGGTGGAGTCTCGCTCTGTCGCCCAGGCTGGAGAGCAGTGACGCGATCTTAGTTCGCTGCGGCCTCTGCCTCCCGGGTTCAAACAATTCTCCTGCCTCAGCCTCCTGAGTAGCTGGGATTACAGGCACCCACTACCACGCCTGACTAATTTTTGTATTTTTAGTAGAGACGGGGTTTTACCATGTTGGCCAGACTGGTCCCAAACTCCTGACCTCAAGTGATCCACCTGCCTCGGCCTCCCAAAATGTTGGGATTACAGGCGTGAGCCACCACGCCGGCCTCAAGGATTTCTCTTTTTTCACTTTTAGTAACTTTGTTTATTCATGTGTCTTTAACCACTTCAGTACATGCATTACATTGTAGCTAACACATCTACTCACTGAAATAACACAGTTCTCAACGTGGGGAACAAGTGGCATTTATAGAAATTTTTCTTATATGTGTGACTTTAAATGCTTCACAAGATGCATAATAGTGTGGTCAGTACATCCATTCACTGAAATAACACTGTTCTCAGCTTGGCGATCAGGTAGCCTCAAGGATGTGTTTTTAAGTTTTTAAAAAAGGCGAGGTGGAGAAGTTTATGTATTAACAGCTTATGCAGCATTTATCTAAGCAGGAGGCGAGAGTGTAATGAATGTCAGTCTCTCTAAAGAGAGATACAGGTCCAATGGCCAGGTAATACCGGTTGCCCCCATTTCTCTAGCCTTTAAGAAATCTGTTGACAAAAAAGAAAAGAGAAATCTGTTGAATATAACCGTGTATGGATGGGTTTTGCCAATTCTGAGATCCCTACCACTCACCTCTACCCGACTTTGGCCCCCTCCAAGAATGCGCATTCCCACATAAATGGTTTTGACTGTTTATTCCGCTCAATATTTGTCCCAGGTCTTTCCATTTTTTAATTTAAAAATAATACTTTCCCATACATTTTAGGCTGTTCTTGATCAGAAACCAGCAGTAGCAGCCCTTTATGGCCCTGCAGTGTTAGCGGAACCTACTTTGGAAAAGCTGTCTTTCTGGGCAAGGGTTGAAAGTGGCGGAGTGCTGGAGCTGGCTCTTACCAGAACATAAGAGCCAACCATAAGATTTTCAAGAATTTTGTGAGCCAGTTGTTAAATACAGCCATTATTAAAAACTACATTATATAAACTAACAATCACATCAATTATATTGAAAACAAACATAATATATGCTAAAAAATATCAATCCCTAATTATTTTTCTACGTTGTACTGTTATCTGTGTTCTTGTGGTTATTTACATTTATGGTATCCGAATGGTAAAAATACATCTCTTCCCAACTCTGCGTTCACTGACATCACTTTGATATCTTGCATTCGGCAAATGCAACAACCCAGGGCATTTCCCCCAACCTTCCTTTCCCCTGAGAGCCAGTTGCTAAACCTGTACCTGCACACTAATGGTTGAAATTGATCCACTCTACAGAAGCTCTGATGTGATGGGTATGCTCAGATCTAACCAATGCTGTTATGTGACATACACGAGTCAAGACATAACTCACAGTGCTCTACACAGCCATGTTTTAAATCTATGAACAGGGGTAGTACACGGCTAAGGGAAGTACACGAAAAAGGTTTGATATTTAACATTCACAAAGATGTCCTAAGATGCCAAAAATACACCATTATGAGACTTTAGAAAAAGTGTGTGTGTGTATGGGGGGAGGGGGGCATCAGGAAAATAAAAGGGGACAGGGAAAAGGGCCTCACTGCTTCCCCCAATGCCCATCACTTTATTTCTGTTTTTCCTCCCTCTTCTCATGCCACATCCTTTAACCAAAATATGCCTCCTCTTTCACCCAAGTCAACTGTGGGACTGTGGTGTGCCTAGGACACGATTTCATAGCAGGATCTTAGTCCTCTTCCAGGTACTACCGCTTCATTCCTCCAGAAATATGTGGACTTGTTCATCCATCACTAGGAAAGGAGGGGCTTTGGGATCATTTGTTCGAGTAACAAATCAGGGAAGAAGGAAGGTGTGAGCTGGACTTCAGTCTAGTCTTGCTCCGAGTCTGAGTGACTTTGCACGTTTGTTTCTCTGCCATCAGATCAAGAATATAAGAATCCTGACTTCTCGGGGTCTCAAAAAAGAAAGGACAAGTTGTAATTGGATGTCATCCGAATCAATTGTCTTGGGTAAAGTACTGGGAGGGAAGAAAGGAGGGAGATAATAGCATGGAAAAGGGCCCATATCCAGGCATGTCCAATTGAGCTTTCTTTCTGCCTGGTGGGGGGTCTCCAGGTCTTCATTTGTTTAGAATATCAGCAGAGGACTGGGAAACCAGTGCAGGTAAGAAAGATCTGATCGATTACTACATATTGTTGTTACCTTGAGTAAGAAATAAAGGGACTATTTTGGAAAAACCCTCTGACTGATGTTTGTTGCTTTGAGTTTTGAACCTTTTATTCAATGCTTTATTTAAAAATCGAATTATTCGCTGATTTAGGGCCTGATAAAGACAAGGGAGTGTTCGCTGATCTTTGGCTTAAAATTTCCCCCAAACCACTTCTGCAAGTCACTTTCATTCTTTGAGTGTGTTTCCTCATAGGCAAAATGGCAATAATAATGCTCAGCTTGCAAAGTTGCCGTGAGGCTGTATGTGCTTAGTGCGGTGTGCACAGAATAAATAAAAGGTAGTGATGCTTCCTCATATTTCATGGGTCCTTCAAAAACAGGGTCTGAGTCTAACTCATTTCTCCTGTTTGATTCTTCTTGTCCTGATTGGCCTCAGTTTCCCCCACTGTAAAATTCACATTGGTCTAGAACAAAACTGGCATTTCCCTTGGCCAAAACTGTCCTTCAAGGAAGTTTGGTTTGGCCCAGATATAGGGCTTAAAGAAGAAACCCGAGCCAACGTTTAAAGTTGAGTGATTTTATGTAGAAATCTAGAATTCCATCTTCTCTTGAAAAAACAGTCAATTTGGCCACCATGAGTCGCTATCCCTGCATGGCAACAATTGCCTGGAGCCAAGCAGCAGCTGCCCACTTACGCAGAGCATACACTGTCAGTTTGGCCAGAGGCCATCGGGCCTGCTCTACTCATTTACATGATCTGCTTGATCCTACAGGCATTGCCACTTACGGCCCTCTGGGCAACTGGAAACAGTCTATGCCAGGCAGAGGGTAGGTACTTCCTTGCTCAATGAATACATACCCTACTCTTTTTCCTCTACCATTTTCTTATCTAGCCATGTTAGGAAATCCCAGTTATTGGATAAGGTGATTCTCACTTTGAAACATGAATTGAACAAATCGGTTAGAGTCGCGATAGTCTGGGTTATACTGTGGTAACAAACAACCCGTATATCACAGTGCCTTATAACAACAACGGTTTATTATTTGTTCACGTACATAAACCTAGACACAAAGTGAAAACATCTTCATGTTTCCACATGCAGGGGTATACACATGAGTGCACAGGTATGTCAGCAATCACAAGACGAATAAAAACTCTGGCATATGAACTCACACAGAACCCCACTGAGAGACTGATCAACTTAGATTGCACAATCCTGTCTTTATGAGACAGAAAAAGGCCCCAGCATCCAAAAGAGTAAGGGACAGAGGTACAAGAATATCCACCCTCAGCCAAGGAGTTGCCCCATATAATAAAAAGCTTATAAAACACCTGAAGGCTTTAAAAAAAGACGTTAAGCGTTTTGGACGTTAACCATTTTGCACATTCAGAAACTGGATACCAAATAGGCAGTGCTCTATTGAGGCCTCCTCCTCTGGGTTCCTAGCTCAAGAGGGAGATGCATCCCAGATGTCCAATAGGCAGCGAGATGGAGCTGGCTGGCCTGGGGCGGAGAGAGGGGCTGGGAGGCTGGAATCCTTTATCTCCAGCAGGAGCTGTGGACAGAAAGGAAGGGGCCAGAGCCAGGTCACATCCACATCCCCTTCCAGATCTACTGTTTTTATGCGTCCCACCCAACCAAAGATTTGTCACCTGGACTGTTGCATAGACCTCTTCCTCTCTGATTTCCCCATCTCCCATCTTGCCTCCCCCAATCCTTCCATCAAAGCCACCACAACTCTTTTTGTCAAGCTCAGGGTCTCTGAAATTGTTCTCCCTAGCTCAGAAAACGTTCCCTGGCTCCTCACTACCCACAGTTGCTGGTCCAGCCTCCTAAGCCTGACCTGTCAGACCTCTGTGATTGGTATCCTCTCCAGCCTCATCCCTTTCTGTTCCAGCAGTCCCTCCAGGGGTGTTTCTTCACTGACACACCATGCTCCATTCACCATTTGGATCTGGGAATGCCTAGCCTTCCCTCCCAGCCTCCCCAGTTGTTTATCCCCCCTCGGAGCTCCTCCAGCCCCTCCTCTCTGGGCACATCGTTAAAATTTGGCCACAAAACACAGCTTGCAAGGGCATCCAGGCTCCACATCTAGACTGGAAGCTCCCGGAAGGCAGAGACCAGACCTCCTTCCAGACCAAGCCCTTTATCACCTCTGTATGTCCTCCCCAGACCACAGTAGGCCACAGGCGGCTGAGCATAGACCCTGGGCTGAAAGTCAAGAGGGCCGGTTCTTCCACTTGATATGCTGCATGCATATCAGAGAGGGCAAGTCCCTGCCACTCTCAGGGCCTCAGCTTCCTTCTTTCTTGACATCAGGGCACTGAACGCTTGCTGTTGCACACAAAGCTCAATAAACCGAAGATTCAATAAACAGCCCTCAACTACCATCTCGGGAGTCATACTGAGGAGCTTGGGTGCCTGGCCCCAAGGAGATTCAACTTACTGACTCTGATTTTTCAGTTAGAACCTGCTTACCACAACGACCCCCATTCCCCAGCTATTCCCACCCTGTATTCTCCTTTCAGGGAGCAGGCTACCTGGTGGGTTGCAAGGCTGGTGCAGGGAGATGGAGTCAGGAGGGGCCTGGGCAGAGTTTCTCAGAGTCAGCAGAGCCTCAGCGGCCTCCAGCTTCCGCTGCCACTCTGAGTGGGCAGAAACCAAAGCCTGGTCAGAGACTTTGGGGACCTGGAAAGGAAAGTGCATGAGAGAATAGGCACTGGGAAACTACACCTCTTCCCAATACGACAAGTGCCCCTTCAGCCCCCTGTTCCCTCAACCTCCTCCCCCACCCCCACCAAGGCCTTCTGCTCTTCCCATCCACTAAACTCCGCCCCTCCCAGGGTTCTGGACCCCACTACTTTCCCAGGACCTGTGGCTGCAGTAGAAGAGGGTCAAGGGTGGCACAGGGCTGGAGGATCAGAGTTGAGCATCTAGAAACAAGGAAAGGAGAGGCCAGGGGATTAAATCCGCTGGCGGACACATACTACCAGTAGACAGAAAGAGGGGCAGGATTTTGCAGTATCTGGATGTGAGAATCCCAATGCCTGCTGGACCATTAGTCATTGTGGCTGGGGCAAGTCCCTTCTCCTGCTTGGCCAGGTTTCTTTTCCATACCTCTTTTTCCTGACAGGGACGCTTATTCCTACCAGCTCTTTCCTCCCAGGGCAATGGTGAAAATCATGGGAAATTACAGGTGTCCGTGCTTTAATTTGCAAAACACCTGGAGAGATGTGATTACTGTCCCTCTTCAGGGACTGGTTCTCACTTCCATATTGCCCAGTCCCCATGGGTCTTGAAGGGTCTCCAGGAAGCTTTCTCTAATGGCCTCTGGGCTTTGCCCTGGGCCTCTGTGGCCCTCGCCAGCACGGACCCCACCTTTCAGCAGGACCTTCTATCCCATCCACCTGTTTCATGTGGCATAACAACCCCCATTTGTTGAAGCCCTACTATGTGGCAGGCCTTGTGCCCGTTCCCTTTTCAATGCTATGGGTATAGAATATTGTCCTCAGTACATCCATAGGGAAATGGAGGTTCAGACACATAAAGTCACTTGTCCAAAGTCTCACAAATAGAAAATAGCAAAGCTAGGAGAGCCCTGTCCTCGCCCGTTAGTATTAGATGCTGCCTTGCCCTCCTCCTTCTTCTCCTCCTCCTCCTCTCCCTCCTCCTCCTCCTCCTCCTCCTGCTCCTCCTCCCCCTCCACCACCTCCTCCTCCTCCTCCCCCTCTTCCTCCTCCATCTCCCACGGCATCAAGGACAAGGTTAGGCACACAAGACACAACCTGCTCCATGGTCCTCACGCTACTCACATGCTGGGCAGGGCAGGGGCCCTGTGGGGATCCCCAGAAGGAGAAACCAGTTGCTGCTCCAAGGTCACTGGAGTACAGGGCAGAGACAAAGGTTCTGGGGCCTGGCCAAGCAGCAGAGCCCCTTGGGAGCTCCCCTGCAGGGGCAGAGAGCACAGGTTGCAGTCAGGTACCAGGCCAGCCATGGAGAGAGGAGGTGTGGACATGTTTTAGGATGAGGATAGGAGCCTAGAATGTCAGAGCTCCGAAGACCTTGAAGACCAGCCAGTCTTGCCTTTCATTTTGCAACTGGGGAAATTGAGGCCCAGGGAGGAGAAGTGATATTTCCCAAGGTCACATGGTGAGCTGGTGATAGGATTGGAGATGAAACCCATGTCCTTGGGACACGGTGAAAGATGTCTGGACAGTGGCTGGGTGGGAGCCTGCCCGACTGGTCACCGACTCTCCTTACCTCCTCGGGGGCTGTGAAGATGTGGGTCTCGGGCTGCAGCATGTTGTTCTCCTTCCCAGCTGTGAAAGACCAGGAACAGCTTTGGTGAGTCTTTCCCCCAACCCCACCCCACTTCACCCCACCTCCAGTCGCAGGTCTCATCTCACCATGGAGCTCTTCGATTGCCCTGTCCCCCAGCTCTCTCCTTCCTACAAACACTTGGTAGACAACATTGGTGACATTTTGCACCTGGGCACACTAAGGTCCAGGGAGCAATTTGCCCCAGGTCGCACTGCAATTCTGTGACAGGACTGGTGACAGAACCACTCATGCTTCCTCCACCCAAACTCTGGCTCCCTCCCTTGCCAGAAACACTCACTGAGGGCTCCTGCTCTGATGGTCAAATTCCTGACACGGATGGGAGCTTTGGGAGGGGCAGCCATACTCCTTATTGGTCCTTGAGCCAGGTGTCTCTTTGATCGTGCCCGCTGCTCCCTCTTCAAGGCACTCACAGCAGGCAAGACCCTGAGGCGTTCTCTGAAGCAAAGGATAGCAGGGCTAAGATTAGTCCCATTTAGAGGAGGTCTGGCCCCTCCGCATCTCAGACACCATACTCATGAGAAGAGGGCACAATTGTGACACTCGCAGGCCTGGAAGAGGCAGAAATGCTTGTGGCCCCTGATTTGGGCAGTGATACCCAAATGGTTGTGGCAGCGGTCACAGCAACCTATAGCTCTTCTGGGGCCAAGTTCAGTCCCCCATGGGGCTCCAGTCTGACGCCCTGTGGTGCATTCAGAGTCAGAGGGGCAGCAGGGTGCAGCGGGTATTTATTTGTCCTCAGTACATCCATAGGGAAATGGAGGTTCAGACACACGGGATCCATGCTTCTAGGGTCAGGAGCGGAGGTCAGAATGGCCACGTGATCCCCTACCCCCAACGTACTTCCTCTGCCCTTGGAAAACCCTATCTGAGGTGGCTCAATGCTCCTTCTCCATCCTTCTCACCGCTGGAATCAGATTGCCTTCCCTCCCCTTCTTCTCCCATGGTTTTCGCCAACCTTCACTGCAACCCCCTTGCTGATGTTGCCTCCTTCCCAGAAGCCCCACTCACACATAGCCCCCTCCCAAGAAACTCTTGGAATGGATCCCATACCCATTCAATGCAGTCATTATTCTCCTTGCTTACCGTCACTTCACCATAGACCCCACTTTCAGGCATGCACATGCACTCCCCTGCCCTCTTCCACCATTACTACACGCCCTTCTTGTGTATCATCCTGCACTCTGCCAAACCCAAGTATTATTCCTGGCATCCACTTCACCAATTCTCTTCAGAACCTCCTGCATTCATTCACTCCCCGCACAGGATTTTGTGCCACCAGCACTCAATTCCATTGTCAGTCTCTTCTATGCCCTATATTCAATTTTCCCCTCACATTTCATGCTGGTTCATGCTGATTTTTTTCTTGTACTCCACCTTACACTTAATTATTCCCTTGCTCCCCCTTTGAGCTGATTTCCCTCTTGTATCCCATGAAATCATATTGTTCTCCTGGATCCCTGGCCCTCTTTCAGTTACTAATTTCATTCATCCCTTCATGCATCCCCCCCGGCCTTTTTTTTTTTTTTTTTTTTTGAGACGGAGTTTCACTCGTTACCCAGGCTGGAGGGCAATGGTGTGATCTCGGCTCACTGCAACCTCTGCCTCCCGGGTTCAAGTGATTCTCCTGCCTCATCCTCACGAGTAGCTGGGATTACAGGTGCCTGCCACCACGCCTGGCTAATTTTTTGTATTTTTTTTTTTTTTAGACGGAGTCTCGCTCTGTCGCCCAGGCGGGAGTGCAGTGGCGCAATCTCGGCTCACTGCAAGCTCCGCCTCCCGGGTTCACGCCATTCTCCTGCCTCAGCCTCCCGCGTAGCTGGGACTACAGGCGCCCGCCATCACGCCCGGCTAATTTTTTTGTACTTTTAGTAGAGACGGGGTTTCGCCGTGTTAGCCAGGATGGTCTCGATCTCCTGACCTCGTGATCCGCCCGCCTCGGCCTCCCAAAGTGCTGGGATTACAGGCGTGAGCCACCGCGCCCCGCCATTTTTTGTATTTTTTAATAGAGACGGGGTTTCACATGTTGGCCAGGCTGATCCACCTGCCTCGGCCTCCCAAGGTGCTGGGATTACAGGCGTGAGCCACCGGGCCCGGCCGATTCCCTTGATTCTTCATTCAGCAGGTACCTGTTGAGCCTCCTATGAAGTGTCAGGTTCTGATCTAGCCAGTAGGGAACTCCTCAGTGCAGTAGTGTTTCTCTTGGACTCACACACCTTTTCTGCTTTCATGAAAACCCACACATTCCCTCCACAGCCTCCCCAAAATCTTCCATAATCCTCTCCACACTTCAACAATTGTGCTTGAGCACACCATTTCCCCCCACCCCCACCCCACCCCACACACGCAGTCCCACCACCCTGGAGCGCACCACTTCCTCAGGAAGCCCAATCATCCACTCCCTCCCGGACCTCCGAATCAAAAGCAATCCCATGAGCCCTGCCTCATTGGCCAAAGGCCAGGGCTCAGGGGGCTGGAGCAAGGAGTCCTCCCGAAAGGGATTCCGGGAGAGCTGAGGGCGCGATGGGACATCAGGAGCAGTTGGGGGTTCCCTGCTGAGGTAGCAGAGAGGGGAAGGGGTTGGGAATCTGGCTCAGGAGGGTGGGAGGAAATAAGAGGCGTGGAGAACGAGGACCTAATTCTGATGTCAGCCTGTGGTTGCCTCAGCCTCCGGCAAGTCAGAACCAGTCAGACGGTCTGAGGGAAGATCCAGCTTCTGCTTCCCTTCCCGCTCTTGCCACAAAGGCCAATGAGCTCTTGCGCTGCCTTCGACCTCCCGCCGCTGTGGCTGGCGACCAATGAACCTCGAGATCTCTTGACGCTCACGTTCTGAGGCCACGCCCCCATCACCTCCCCGTAGCTTCTCCCGCTCCCTGTACTAGGTCAGTCAAGAAATCGTGAAGTGATCGTTGAGCTTTATGCTCCCCAGGGCTTGTTTCCCAGATTAGTCTCCCTTTGGGTGTGAAATATTTGGTGTGCATGCATTTATAACTCATGTACTTGGTATTTTGTAATTTACCTTTTAAAAATTCAGCATGTGATTAAAGATCCATCCATATTTCCATGCCGCGGATTCCCAATCAGTGGTGACTTTGCAACCCCCAGGGAACAATGCTTGGAGACACTTTCGTCCATATTTGTGTGTCTCTGTTTATGAACTCCCTGTTATGTTCCACAGATAAATGTGTCTATTCCTGTACCACTACTAAATTGTCTTAAATTTTTTCACTTCGCAATACATCTTGACATCTGCTAGGGCAAGTCCCTGCATGGTGTTCATCATCTCCAAACACATCTTTGCTATTCTTTGCCATTCTTTGCCTTCTTGTCCTTCCGCACGAATTAGTATGCAATGTCAAGTCTCCCCAGACTCAGTCGTAACAGCTTTGGATTGCATTTTCACTGAATCTATGGATCAGTTAGGGGGAGAATCTACTATCTGTAGAATACTCAGCCTTCCTGTTCACCAACTTGGGATGTCTCCACTTATGTGCGTCCTTAATGTTTTAATCTTTCAGTTCAGTTTTTAGTTTCATCTTTTGTATATTTAGATCTTGCACATCATTTATTGTATTTATTCCAAGATACTGTAGATTGTTGCTGTTCTTGTACTTGATGTCTGTTTAAAAGGACAATTTCTATTTGGATCGAATTTACAGAAATGCCTTTAACTTTTAAAAACGTGACTTGATCTTAAAGTCTGTCAACATGCTAAACTCTATAGTAGGCGTTCTGGGATTATCTGTGAGTTTATGCATAGTAGAAATAGAATTGAAGTTATGGGGGTTTTTTGTTTGTTTGTTTTTTTTTTTTTTTTTTTGGTTGGTTGGCTGTTTGTTTTTTAACAGCGCTGGCTAGGAAATTTAGTACCAGATCTAATAGCGACAGCAAAATTGGGCTTCTTTGGGTTGTTCCGGATTTTAAAAGGAATGCTGCCAGCATTTCCATATTAATATTGTTTCCTTGTGTTTTCCTTAACTTTTCGTTTCCTTTTCTTTGCTTTCCTTTCCCTTCCCTTCCCTTCCCTTCCCTTCCCTTCCTTTCCTTTCCGTTCTTTCCTTTCCTCCTTCCTTCCTTCCTTTCTTCTTCCTCTCTCCCTACACCACACCACCTCCACCCCCGAATGTCTTAGGCCTTTTGTCCTTCTGCATAAATTAGCATGCAATTTCAAGTTTCCCAAAAACTCGGTTGTAACAGATTTGGACTGCATTTTCACTGAATCTATGGATCAGTTATGGGAGAATCCATTATCTCTAGAATACCCAGCCTAGGTAACTTCCCAGGTTTTTTCCAAAACCTTCAGCCAAGTTTAACTTATAATCCAAAAGGTTAAAAAATCATAAATGTATATCTTAATCAGTTTTCTATCTCTTTCTTTCTTTTCCTTTCTTTCTTTCTTACCCTTTCTTTCTCCCTTTCTCTCTCTCTTTCTCTTTCTCCTTCCTTCCTTCCTCCCTCCCTCCTTCCCTCCCTCCCACCCTTCCTTCCTTCCTTCCTTCCTTCCTTCCTTGGGCTGCTTTCTTTATTTGATTTGTAAACAAAGAAGAAACAAAAAAGCAGCCCCTCACTCTGTCACCCAGGCTGCTGAAGTGCAGTGTCGTGATCTTGGCTCACTGCAACCTCCACCTCCTGGGCTCAAGCAATCCTCCTGCCTCAGCCTCTCAAGTACCTGGGACTACAGGCACACGACCATCCCCAGCTAATTTTCGTATATTTTGTAGAGACGGGGTTTCTCCATGTTGCCCAGGCTATCGTGAACTCCTGGGACTACAGGCACACGACCATCCCCAGCTAATTTTCGTATATTTTGTAGAGACGGGGTTTCTCCATGTTGCCCAGGCTATCGTGAACTCCTGGGCCCAAGCAGTCCGCCCGACAAAAGTGCTGGGATTACAGGTGTGAGCCACCAAGCCAGGCCTCTTAATGAGTTTTCAAAAATTAAATATACGCATGCAATTAGTATCTAGAACAGGCAACAAAATATATGAGCAACACACAAACCTCTCTCGGGTCCCCTTCCAGTTACAGCTTTGCTAATGTCAAACCAGCTTTCCTCTCCCATAGTAAATGTAACTTAGCTATGGTGTATTAATTTTTTTGTGTATGGTACATTAGAGCAGTGGTCCTAAAACACTAGCTTGCATCAGAATCACCCAGAGGGCTTGATAAAACAAAGATTTCTGAGCTCCGTATCTGTATTCTCAGACGACAAGATCTGGGGTGGGACCCAGAGTTTGCTTTGCTTTGCTTTGCTTTGCTTTGCTTTGCTTTGCTTTGCTTTGCTTTGCTTTGCTTTTTCTCTTTGCTTTGCTTTGCTTTTTCTCTTTTCTTTCTTTCTTTTTTTTTTTTTTTTTGACGGAGTTTCGCTCTTGTTGCCCAGGTTTCAGTGCAATGGCGCGATCTCGGCTCACCGCAAACTCCGCCACCCGGGTTCAAGACATTCTCCTGCCTCAGCCTCCCGAGTAGCTGGGATTACAGGCATTCACCACCACGCCCGGTTAATTTTGTATTTTCAGTAGAGACGGGGTTTCTCCGTGTTGGTCAGGCTGGTCTCGAACTCCTGACCTCAGGTGATCCACCCGCCTGGGCCTCCCAAAGTGCTGGGATTACAGGCGTGAGCCACCAGGCTCGGCCGAGTTTGCTTAGCAAACAAGTTCCCTGGTGATGCTAACACTGCTGGTAGGGGACCACATTTTGAGAACGACAGCACAAGAGAGGATAACATAAGGAACCTCCAAATATCCATCTCCCAACTGCAACCATTAACGACTCATGGCCAATCACATTTCATACATATCCTCTCCTCTCCCCCTCCTCCAGATTATTTTCAAGCAAATATCAGAAATCAAAAAAGTACAAAAATCATACGTGGATATCTTAATGTATCTTATTTGATTTGTAAACATTTCAGTGCGTAACTCTAAATATGAGGAATCTATTTTCCTCAACGTTTTATTTTGAAAATACACAAAGCTGAGGGGGTAATACAGTGAACAATCTGATGCCTAGATTCACGTTGTCTCATTGCTTTATCTCTCAGTAATTTTTTTTCTTGCCTAACCACGTAGCAGTTCCAAACACTTCACCCAGTTACTTCAGCATGCACCTCCTAAACACTAGAATGTACTCCTATGAAACCGCAGTGCCATTATCACATTGAAGAAATGTAACAATGAAGGGGTAATACTATCCAAGTTCACATACAGTTCATATTTAAATTTCACCAAATGTCCCAATAATATCCTTTTGAAAGACGTTTTGGGGGATCAACAATCCAGTCAAGCATGGTACACTGCACACAGTTGTCATGTCTCTTTAGTGTCCTCTAATTGCAAACAGTACCCCCAAACAATTTTTTAAACCTTCCATGACGATGACATTTTTTCCAGAGCCGAGGCCTGTTGTCTCGTAAAGTGTCCCACAATACGGGCTGGCCTGATATTTGCCTCTTGTTTATATTTATGTTTGACACTTTGGGTACGAATATTAAGAAGGTGATGAGCAGTTCACATTATGTCACATCTGGAGGCTCCTAACGCCAGTTTCTCTAGTTATCGGTGATGCTGTTTGTATTCATCAGTTTTATCACTTTAACTAAGGTATTTTTCAGACAGAGTACTACACTGGGAAGGTACTTCTCTCCCTTTGTGATTAATAAGTAGTCTGTCAGGATATTTCGATGACATGCGGATATTCTGCTCTCCAACAGAATTTTACCTCTTGGCCTTAGTATTCATTCAGGGCTCCTGCCCGATTTGATTATTACTTTGTTGGTTAAAAAGTGGTGATTTCTCTAATTCTATAATTCATTTCTGCTTTTATGGATGGGCATTTTGATGTAAAAAAGCTCATCTCACCCCCTCCCCCACCTCGTTGTTGTCGATGTTGCATTTGCTGTGGCAGAGACAGAGCACAAGCTGTTTATTCGTTTTGTTGAAAGAAATGTAAAGAGAATAAACTGGACAATATTAAGAGAAATGTAAGCAAATACATGATGAATTTGATAAGAATTTTCCCTCTAACAGTCTAATCAGATTGACAAAATTCGTTGCCTGAAATTAGAATTAATTGGTCAGCAATAGCAAAAAAGGCAGTTTATGATAATTATTAAGAGGATCTGAGGTTATTAATTTGGCCAACTAAAAAATGGCTCGGATCTTGTAGAATACACACACACAGACACACACACACACACATTTTTGGTGGAGACCTCATAAAAAGGTATTGTTATTTCAGTTACATAACGCATAATAGAAAATTATGAGACCACATATATAATATTTTACAGAACGCAGAAGGCCTTCACCTAAGTCGCCACTCAAATGTCCATGTAATACAAGACCTTTCTAACAGTATGGAAGAATAATTGATTCAAAGTCTGAAAAATTTCAACTACCTTACTTTTAGCATTACATGAATCATGGGAAATTTTGTCTCCAAGAACTTTCCAATTTGCAAAGACACGCTCGTAGCATGAAAAATTGAACTCATAGTGCAGTTATTTGGGTATCATGTCTACCTCTTAGAAAGGAAATCGAGTTAATTGTGAAAGACATCGCAGAAACTAGTTTCTATGGTGAAAGGCAGGGATCTGGCTGTTAGTTCAAAAATCAAATTTTGTTGTGATTTAAGTCAAGAGTCTGATGTTTCTTTTATTTCTTCTTTCCATTGTATGATTCATATTGAAAACATAAGGGCTTAGCTTCCTAAAGTCAACTATATGAAAAGTTTCATAACTATAGTTATTAAAGTCATTCAGTAAATATGCACAGAGGCAGTGAATCATCATAGGCTTATTTTGTCAGTCTTTGTTGAGTTTTGTATGTTTTGTTGGTCTTC
Organism: Homo sapiens; assembly: GCF_000001405.40. NCBI lineage: Eukaryota > Metazoa > Chordata > Mammalia > Primates > Hominidae > Homo > Homo sapiens. The sequence continues at coordinate 72,837,640 of NC_000023.11, read as the reverse complement.
TTAAAGACCTCGGTTTTTATTTATTGATTTTCTCTATTATTTTTCAGGTTTCCATTTCATTGATTATTTTACCTATCTTTCACATTTCCTTCCTTCTGCTTCTTTTGCTCCTCTTTTTCTAGTTTAGTGTAGTGACATCATAGATTACTGCTTTGATAATTTTCCATTTGTCTAATGGAAGCACTTAATGGCATAAATTTTCCTTTCAACAATGCTTTAGCTTTGCACCACAGATGTTGACATGTTTTATAATCATTTCCATTCAGTTCAATTCACTTTCTGAAGTCCTGGAAGATTTAGTCTTCAGTATTCTTTTTATTTAAATTGGCCAATAAAAATTGTATATATTTGTGGTGTACAACATGATGTTTTGATAATAAGTATACACTGTGAAATGGCTAAATCAAGGTAATTATCATATGCATTACCTCACATACTTACCATTTTTTGTGTGTGGTGAGAACACCTAAAAACTACTCTCAGCAAATTTCAAGTATACAGCATATTGTTATTAACCATAGTCACCACGGTGTAGAATAGATCTTTTGAAATTATTCCTCCTGTCTAGCTGAAAGTTTGTACCCTTTGGTCAACATCTCCCCCACTCCCCCAAACTCCAGCCTCTGGTAACCACCATTCCACTCGCTACCTCTAAAAGATCGACTTTTTCACCTTCCACACATGGAAATGCCACGTGTTGTTGGAAACGCCATGATTTCCTTCTTTTACATGGCAGAACAGTATTCCATTGTGTATATAGACCACACTTTTCTTTATTCGTTAATCCGCTGATGAACACTTAGGTTCATTGTAAGTCTTGGCTATTGTGAATAGTGATGCAGTGAAGATGGGAGTGCAGATATCTCTCTGACATGCTGATTTCATAGCTTTTGAATATAGTCCCAGAAGTGGGGAGGCTAGGTCATATGGTAGTTCTATTTTAACTTTATGAGGAACCTTCACACTGTTTTCCATAATGGCTCTCCTAGTTTACATCTGGAAGATTTTCTCTTTAGCCCATGGATTGAGTGGCATCCTTAACACTGAGTGGTGGTGAAAATCCTGACATCATCCCAGCAGGGACAAAGAGGGGTGTCTCCTTATGGCCTGGTGGGAGTATATGTTGGAGATCTCCACATAATCCTGGTGATATGATAGCGCAAAGGGGCCCTCGTCTCTGCCCATGGAAATGAATGTGGAAGTCTACGCTCCCCACTAGATCTTTGCTGGCATGAGTGGGGAAGGGGCCACAGAGTTTTCTGAGGTGTTCGACTGGAGTAGAGCAGTTATTGTGAAAAATATTTTCTGTCTTGTTTGGCTGCCTCTTTTCTGATCCTTAGGCTAGGCAGAACAGGCTTTTGTAGGTTTATTTCTTTGTTTCTTCACCTGTTTTGTTTAGTTTTGTTTCGTTTTGCCTGTGCATTTTGGCATTCCCTAGTAGCTGGTTTCTTCAGCTCCAAGTTTGGGATATATCAGGCAAAAACAAAACCCAAGGAACTCACCACCATGTCGTTCTGAGGTCCCCAGTTGGTCTACTTTCTTCTCTCCACTTCCAGCCTTATGTTTGTTTTATATATAGTGTCTAGAATTTTAAGTTGTACTTAGTGGGAAGAATAGGGAAATGTACAACTACACCATCTTTCCATCTTTCCAGAAGCAGCGGTCTCTATAAATTTATTTTATTTAAAAAAGCAAAAAATAATTATATATATTTGTGGGGTACAATACGATGTTTTGATATATGTATACAATGCGGAATGATTAAACTAAGCTAATTAGCATATCCATCTCCTCACCTACCTATCATTCTTTTGTGGCGAGAACATTTACAATCTACTCTTTTAGCAGTTTCAAAATACGTAATACATTATTTTTAACTAGAAATGCTGTGCAATAGATCACTAAAGCTTCTTGCTCCTGTCTAACTGGAACTTTGTACTCTTTGACCAACATCTTCCCTTGCCGTATCCCCCCCAAGCCCCGTCACCCCCAGCCTCTGGCAACCATCATTCTACTCTCTGCTTCTATTAGATCAACTTTTTAAGATTCCACATGAGTGAGATCATGTGGTATTTGTCTTCCTTTTTTTTCTTTTATTTTTTAGTTGACACATAGTAGTTGTGCATATTTACGAGGTACAGAGTGATATTTTGATACATCCATTCAATGTGTAATGACTATACCAGAGTAATTAGGGTATCCATCACCTCAAACATTTATCATTCCTTTGTGCTGGAAACATTCAAAATCCCCTCTTCCAGCTTTTTCTTAGCATATACTATACGATACTGTTAACTGTATTCAACCTACAGTGCTATAGAACACTAGAACTTATTCCTCCTATCGATCTGTAATATTGTATCCATTAGCCAACCTCTCTCTATCCTCCCCTCCCCTCTATACTTCCCAGCCTCTAGTAACCACAATTCTACTCTCTACTTCTATGAGCCCAGTTTCCTTCAGCTTCCACATATGAGTGAGAACGTGTGGTATTTGTGTCTTTCTGTGCCTACCTTGTGTCACTTAACATAAAATCCTCCAGGTTCATTCATGTTGCCTCGAATGACAGGACTTCATTCTTTCTGGTAGCCGAATAATGTTCTATTGTGCATAGATACCACATTTTCTTTATCCATTCATGTCGACGGACACTTAGGTTGATTCCGTATCTTAGCTATTGTGAATAGTGCTGCAATAAACGTGGGGAAGCAAATCTTTCTTTGATATACCGACTTCCTTTCTTTTGGATAAATACTCAGTTGAGGGACTGTTGGATCATATGGTAGCTCTGTTTTTAGTTTTTTGAGAAACCTCCGTACTGTTTTCCATGATGTCTGCACTAATTTACACTCAGACCAACAATGTGTAAGAACTCCCCTTTCTTCACATCCTCGCCAAAACTTATCTTTTTGTCCTTTTCATAATGGCCATTCTAACTGGGGTGAGAGGATATCTCACGGTAGTTTGGACTTGCATTTCCCTGATGATTAGTGAGGTTGAGCAATCTTCCATAAACTTCTTGGCGACTTGTATGTCTTCTTTTGAGAAATGTCTATTCCGATCCTTCGCTCATTTTTAATAGTGTTATTTGGGGGAGTTTTGCTGTTGAGTTCTTTGAACGTCTAGTGTATTCTGGATATCAGTCTCTTATCGGACGATTAGTTTGTAAGTATTTTCTCCCATTCTACAGGTTGTCTCCTCACTCTATTGATTGTTTCCTTTGCTGTACAGAAGCTTTTTAGTTTTATATGGTCCCATTTGCGTATTTTTGCTTTTGCTGCCTGTGCTTTTGTAGTCTTACCCATAAAATATTTGCCCTACTAGAACAATGCCCTGAAGCTTTTCTCCTTTGTTATTTTTATAGTTTCAAGTCTTCCATTTAAGCCTTTAAGTTTCTATAACAATATCACGGTGTCTTGGTTACTATAGCCTTATAGTATATTTTGAAGTCAGGCAGAGTGATGCCTCCAGCTTTGTTTGTTTGCTTCCCCCAACCCCTCAGGATTTCTTCGTTTATTTGAGGTCTCTTGGGGTCCCATATGAATTTTAGGATATTTTTTTCTATTTCCGTAAAAAATATCGTTGGTATTTTGGGTGGGATTGCATTGAATCTGTAGATTGTTTTGGGTAATATGGTCATTTAAGCAATTTTCATTCTTCTAATCCATAGGCATGGAATGCCTTGCCATTATTTTGTGTGGTCTTCAATTTTTTTTATCAGTGTCTTGAAGTTTTCATTGTGGAGATCTATCACATCCTTGGTCACATTTATTCCTAGATACTTTTTTTTTTTTTGTAGCTACTGTAAATGGGGTTGCCCTTTTTTTTTTTTTTTTAATTTTACTTTAAGTTCAGAGATACATGTGCAGAACGTGCAGGTTTGTTACATAAGTATACATGTGCCATGGTGGTTTGCTGCACCTATCAACCCGTCATCTAGGTTTTAAGCCCCGCATGCATTAGGTATTTGTCCTAATGCCCTCCTTCCCCTTGCCCCCCACCCCCAACAGGCCCCAGTGTGTGATGTTCCCCTCCCTGCGTCCATGTGTTCTCATCGTTCAGCTCCCACCTATGAGTGAGAACATGCGGCGTTTGGTTTTCTGTTCCTGTGTTAGTTTGCTGAGAATGATGGCTTCCAGCTTCATCCATGTCCCCGCAAAGGACATGAACTCATTCTTTCTTATGGCTGCAGGGGTTACTCTCTTGATTTCCTTTTCTGCTAGTTCATTATTGGTGCATAGAAGCACTACTGATTTTCGTACGTAGATTTTGTATCCTGCAACTCTATTGAATTTGTTTATCAGTTCTAAGAGTTTTCGGGGAGTCTTTAGGTTTTTCCATCTATCCGATCATGTCATCTGTGAAGGGGTGCAATTTGACGTCCTTTCTTTCCATTTGTATGTCATTTATTTCCTTCTGGTGCCTAATTGCTCTGGTAGGACGTTCAGTACTATGTTAAATAAGAGTGGTGAGAGTGGGCCTCCTTCTCTTGTTCCTGTTCTTAGAGAAAAGGCTTTCAGCTTTTCTCCATTCAGTATGATGTGGGTTAGTTATATATACAGCCTTTTATTATGTTGAGGTATATTCCATTTGTACCTAATTTGTTGAGAGCTTTTATCATGAAGTGACGCTGCATTTTGTCCAACACTTTTTCTGCATCTACTGAGCTGATCATATCATTTTCAATCTTTGTTCTGTTGATGAGACAGATTATTGATTCGTGTGTGTTGAACCATCCTTGCATTTCTGGGATAGATCCCAATTGATCGTGGTGTATTATCTTTTTGATGTGCTGTTGGATTCAGTTTGTTAGTATTTTGTTGAAGATTTTTGCACCTGTGTTCATCAGGGACACTGGCCGGCAGCTTCCTCTTTTTCACTGTGTCTTTGTCTGGTCTGGGCATCAGGGTAATGCTGGCCTTATAGAATGAATTAGGAAGAATTTCCTCCTCTTCCCCCACCCCCTCCCCCTCCCCCTCCCCTCCTGCCCTCCCCAACCCCCACCACCACAGAAATAGCCAGGCAGGCAGTCTTGGGAAGGAGGGGCAAACACGGGGGCATGTGGCTCAGATGCACCTTGGTCCCAGGGCAATGGCAGCGGGGCCTGTGTTGGGCACATGAGCACGCCTGGACTCCGCTATCTCCCGGCCCAGCAGACAGTAGGAGCTGCAGCTGCTTAGGGCAGGACACGGAGCCTTGGGGGTGGGCACCTAGAGCCATGTTTTGCTGCAGCTGCCCAGCACACTGAAGCCTTTTGGGCTCCACACAGGTTCAAGCAGTGCCTCTGCATCTTCTCCCTGTAGCTCTGCCTGCCAGCCCAAAGGGAACTCCTGTGTCTAGGATCTCAGAGGTCCACAGCAGGAATGTGGTGCCTTAGGGTTCCTTCACTCACCACTTCCTCGGGTCCAGTCTGTGTCCAGGGGCCAGTCGTGGCACCCAGCAATACCAAACAGGCAGTCCTGCTTCCTCCCTCTTCCACCACAGTGTCTTCCATTGCCCCTTTATTGAATTCCCATGTTTTCTCTCAAAAGATGTGTTTGAAGTGTGCAGATTTACTTAATATTTTGCTTCCTCTCTGGGGAAGAGGCACATCCCAGCTGCATTTGGTCAACCATCTTTATTCCCAATCAAAATAAGCAATTCTGTCTGATAAAGCCATTGAAAAAAATGCAAGAGAACACTAAGAAAAAAAAAAAGCACGTATGTTGAATAGATTTTTTTTAATGGTATTTGAAAGACTCCCACGTATATCAAGAATATTTAAGGAACTCTATCATATGCAAACTGCCAGATTTTGGATTGAAAAAATAATAATTCAGAAAATTTTCAGTCTTTAATTCTGGATTTTTCCCCAGTTCCTAAGGTATGTCCACCTCCACTGAGTTAATATTCAGAAAGGTATATTTCATCTTTAATAACCAAAAATTAGTACTCCTGTGAAAGCTGTTAAAATGACAATCAGGAAATTCAGTAAATGTGGCAAATTGGCCATTATGTAAGTGCATTAATTTGAGGAGAATTGATTGTGTTGTCACCTAGCATCACTAAGCATATCAGGGAGAGTCATGAACATGAAGGATCTCTCTCCCTGGCCACTTTACGTCCGTGGAAACACAGGGGAAAAGCAGCTCACTGTTGGTCAGGTGAGGCAACTGGATTCCAAATCTCTTAATTTGGGTCACTAAAACAGACTGGGTGTTTATGGCATTAAGAGGTTGCTCACAGGTAGAGCTGGCAAAATGGCCAAATAGGAACAGCTCCGGTCTGCAGCTCCCAGTGAGATCGACGCAGAAGGCGGGCGATTTCTGCATTTCTAACTGAAGTATCCAGTTCATCTCGTTGGTACTGGATGGACAGTGCGTGCAGCCCACGGAGGGCAAGCCAGAGCAGGGTGGGGTGTCGCCTCACCCAGGAAGCACAAGGGGTCAGGGGATTTCCCTTTCCTAGCCAAGGGAAGCTGTGATAGACTGTACCGGGAGGAACAGTACATTCCAGCCCAGATACTGCACTTTTCGCATGGTCTTCACAACCGGCAGACCAGGAGATTCTCTCCAGCGCCTGGCTCAGCGGGTCCCACCCCCACGGAGCCCCGCAAGCTAAGATCCACTGGCTTGAAATTCTCGCTGCTAGCACAGCAGTCTGAGGTCGACCTGGGATGCTCGAGCTTGGTGGGGGGAGGAGCATCCGCCACTGCCGAGGCTTGAGTAGGCGGTTTTACCCTCACTGTGTAAACAAAGCCTCTGGGAAGTTTGAACTGGGCGGAGTCCACCGCAGCTCAGCAAGGATGACTGCCTCTCTAGATTCCTCCTCTCTAAGCAGGGCATCTCTGAAAAAAAGGCAGCATCCCCAGGCAGGGACTTTCAGATAAAACCCCCATCTCCCTGGGACAGAGCACCTGGGGGAAGGGGCGGCTGTGGGCACAGCTTCAGCAGACTTAAACGTCCCTGCCTGACAGCTTTGAAGAGAGCAGCAGTTCTTCCAGCACAGTGTTCAGGCTGTGATAAGGGAAGGACTGCCTCCTCAAGTGGGTCCCTGACCCCCATGTATCCTGACTGGGAGACACCTCCCAGTAGGGTCCAACAGACACCTCATACAGGAGAGCTCTGGCTGGCATGTGGGGGGTGCCCCTCTGGGACGAAGCTTCCAGAGGAAGGACCAGGCAGCAATCTTTGCTGTTCTGCAGCTTCCGTTGGTGATACCCAGGCAAACAGGGTCTGTAGTGGACCTCCAGCAAACTCCAGCAGACCTGCAGCAGAGAGGCCTGACTGTTAGAAGGAAAACTAACAAACAGAAAGGAACGGTATCAACATCAACAAAAAGGACGTCCACTCAGAGACCCCATCCGAAGGTCACCAACATCAAAGACCAAAGGTAGATAAATCCACGAAGATGTGGAGAAACCAGCGCAAAAAGGCTGAAAATTCCAAAAACCAGAACACCTCTTCTCCTCCAAAGGATCACAACTCCTCACCATCAAGGGAACAAAACTGGACGGAGAATGAGTTTGACTAATTGACCGAAGTAGGCTTCAGAAGGTGGGTAATAACAAACTCCTCCAAGCTAAAGGAGCACGTTCTAACCCAACGCAAGGAAGCTAAGGACCTTGAAAAAGGGTTCGATGAATTGCTAACTAGGATAACCAGTTTAGAGAAGAACATGGATGACCTGATGGAGCTGAAAAAAACAGCACGAGAACTTCGTGAAGCATACACAAGTATCAATAGCCGAATCAATCAAGTGGAAGAAAGGATATCAGAGATTGAAGATCAACTCAATGAAATAAAGCGAGAAGACAAGATTAGAGAAAAAAGGGTGAAAAGAAACGAACAAAGTCTCCAAGAAATATGGGACTATGTGAAAAGACCAAACCTACGTTTGATTGGTGTACCTGAAGGTGACGGGGAGAATGGAACCAAGTTGGAAGACACTCTTCAGGATATTATCCAAGAGAACTTCCCCAACCTAGCAAGACAGGCCAACATTCAAATTCGGGAAATACAGAGAACACCACAAAGATATTCCTCAAGAAGAGCAAACCCAAGACACATAATCGTCAGATTCACCAAGGTTGAAATGAAGGAAAAAAATGTTAAAGCACAGCCAGAGAGAAAGGCCGGGTTACCCACAAAGGGAATCCCATCAGACTAACAGCGGATCTCTCTGAAGAAATCCTACAAGCCAGAAGAGAGTGGGGCTCAATATTCAACATTCTTACAGAAAAGGATTTTCAACCCAGAATTTCATATCCAGCCAAACTAAGCTTCATAAGTGAAGGAGAAATAAAATCCTTTACAGACAAGCAAATGCTGAGAGATTTGGTCACCACCAGGCCTGCCTTACAAGAGCTCCTGAGGGAAGCACTCAATACGGAAAGGAACAACCGGTATCAGCCACTGCAAAAACATGCCAAATTGTAAAGACCATCGACGCTATGAAGAAACTGCATCAAGTAACAGGCAAAATAACCAGCTAGCATCATATTGACAGGAACGAATTCACACATAACAACATTAACCTTAAATGTAAACGGGCTAAGTGCCCCACTTAAAAGACACAGACTGGCAAATTGGATAAAGAGTCAGGACCCATCGGTGTGCTGTATTCAGGAGACCCATCTCACGGGCAAAGACACACATAGGCTCAAAACAAAGGGATGGAGGAAGATTTACCAAGCAAATGGAAAGCAAAGAAAAGCAGGGGTTGCAATCCTAGTCTCTGATGAAGCAGACTTTAAATCAACGAGGATCAAAAGAGACAAAGAAGGGCATTACATAATGGTAAAGGGATCAATGCAACAGGAAGAGCTAACTATCCTAAATGCATATGCACCCAATACCGGAGCACCCAGCCTCATAAGGCAAGTCCTTAGAGACCTACAAAGAGACTTAGACTCGCACACAATAATAGTGGGTGAAGCAGACCTAACGGACATCTACAGAACTCTCCACCCCAAGTCAACGGAATATACATTCCTCTCAGCACCCCATCGCACTTATTCTAAAACTGACCACACAATTGGAAGTAAAACACTCCTCAGCAAATGCAAACGAAAAAATGGAAATCATAACAAACTGTCTCTCAGACCGCAGTGCAATGAAATTGAACTCAGAATTAAGAAACTCACTCAAAACCGCACAACTACATGGAAACTGAACAACCTGTTCCCGAATGACTACTGGCTAAATAACGAAATGAAGGCAGAAATAAAGATGTTCTTTGAAACCGATGAGAACAAAGACACCACGTACCAGAATCTCTGGGACGCATTCAAAGCAGTGTGTAGAGGGAAATTCATAGCACTAAATGCCCACAAGAGAAAGCAGGAAAGATCTAAAATCGACACTGTAACGTCACAATTAAAAGAACTAGAGAAGCAAGAGCAAACAAATTCAAAAGCTAGCAGAAGATAAGAAATAACTAAGATCAAAGCAGAACTGAAGGAGAGAGAGAGACACAAAAAACCCTTCAAAAAATCAATGAATCCAGGAGCTGGTTTTTTGAAAAGATCAACAAAATAGGTAGACCGCTAGCCAGACTAATAAAGAAGAAAAGAGAGAAGAATCAAACAGACGCAATAAAAAATGATAAAGGGGACGTCACCACCGATCCCACAGAAATACAAACTACCACCAGAGAATACTATAGACACCTCTATGCAAATAAACTAGAAAATCTCGAAGAAATCGATAAATTCCTGGACACATACACCCTCCCAAGACTAAATCAGGAAGAAGTCAAATCCCTGAATAGACCAATAACAAGTTCTGAAATTGAGGCAGTAATTAATAGCCTACCAACCAAAACATGTCCAGGACCAGACGGATTCACAGCCGAATTCTACCAGAGGTACAAAGAGGAGCTGGTACCATTCCTTCTGAAACGAATCCAAACAATAGAAAAAGAGGGAAACCTCCTGAACTCATTTTATGAGGCCAGCATCATCCTGATACCAAAACCTGGCAGAGACACAACAAAAAAAGGAAATTTCAGGCCAATATCCCTGACGAAAATCGATGCGAAAATCCTCAACAAAATACTGGCTAAACCAAATACAGCAGCACATCAAAAAGCTTATCCATCACGATCAAGTCGGCTCCATCCCTGGGATGGAAGGCTGCTTCAACATACACAAATCAATAAACGTAATCCGTCACATAAGCAGAACCAATGACAAAAACCACATGATTATCTCAACAGATGCAGAAAAGGTCTTCAACAAAATTCAACAGCCCTTCATGCTAAAAACTCTCAATAAACTAGGTATTCATGGAACGTATCTCAAAATAATAAGAGTTATTTATGAGAAACCCACAGCCAATATCATACTGAATGGGCAAAAACTGGAAGCATTCCCTTTGAATGACAAGGATGCCCTCTCTCACCACTCCTATTCAACATAGTATTGGAAGATCTGGCCAGGGAAATCAGGCAAGAGAAAGAAATAAAGGGTATTCAATTAGGAAAAGAGGAAGTCAAATTGTCTCTGCTTGCAGATGACATGACTGTATATTTAGAAAACCCCATCGTCTCAGCCCAAAATCTCCTTCAGCTGATAAGCAACTTCAGCAAAATCTCAGGATACGAAATCAAGGTCAAAAAATCACAAGCATTCCTACACACCCGTAACAGACAAACAGAGAGCCAAATCATGAGTGAACTCCCATTCACAACTGCTACTAAGAGAATAAAATACCCAGGAATACAACTGACAAGGGATACGAAGGACCTCTTCAAGGAGAACTACAAACCACTGCTCAAGGCATTAAAAGAGGACACAAACACATGGAAGAGCATTCCATGTTCATGGATAGGAAGAATCAATATTGTGAAAATGGCCATACTGCCCAAAGTAATTTATAGATTCAATGCTATCCCCATTGACTTTCTTCACAGAATTGGAAAAAACTACTTTAAAGCTCATGTGGAACCAAAAAAGAGGCCACATAGCCAAGACAATCCTAAGCCAAAAGAACAAAGCTGGAGGCATCAGGCTACCTGACTTCAAACTACATTACAAGGCTACAGTAACCAAAACAGCGAGGTACTGGTAGCAAAACAGATATATAGAACAATGGAACAGAACAGAGGCCTCCAAAATAACACCACGCATCTACAACCACCTGATCTCTGACAACCCTGACAAAAACAAGCAATGGAGAAAAGATTCCCTATTTAATAAATGGTGTTGGGAAAATTGGCTAGCCATATGCAGAAAGCTGAAACTGGATCCCTTCCTTACACCTTATACAAAAATTAACTCAAGATGGATTAAAAAGTTAAACATAAGACCTAAAACCATAAAAATCCTAGAAGAAAACCTAGGCAATACCATTCAGGACATAGGCATGGGCAAAGATCTCACGACTAAAACAGCAAAAGCAATGGCAACAAAAGCCAAAATTGACAAATGGGATCTAATTAAATGAAAGAGCTTCTGCACAGCAAAAGGAACTATCATCAGAGGGAACAGGCAACCTACAGAAAGGGAGAAAATTTTTGCACTCTATCCATCTGACAAAGGGCTAATATCCAGGATCTACAAATAAGTTAAACAAATTCACAAGGAAAAAAACAAACTTCCCCATCAAAAAGTGGGCAAAGGATATGAACAGACACTTCTCAAAAGAAAACATTTATGCAGCCAACAAACATATGAAAAAAATGCTCATCATCACCGATCATTAGAGAAATGCAAATCAAAACCACAGTGAGATACCATCTGACACCAGTTAGAACGGCAGTCATTAAAAAGTCAGGAAACGTCAGATGCTGGAGAGGATGTGGAGAAACAGGAACGCTTTTACACTGTTGGTGGGAGTGTGAATTAGTTCAAACGGAAGAAAGTGTGGTGATGCCTCAAGGATTTAGAACTAGAAATACCATTTGGCCCAGCAATGCCATTACTGGGTGTACACCCGAAGGATTATAAGTCATTCCACTATAAAGACACATGTACACGTATGTTTATTGCGGCACTGTTCACAATAGCAAAGACTTGGAACCAACCCAAATGCCCATCAATGATAGACTGGATAAAGAAGAAAATGTGGCACACGTACACCGTGGAATACTATGCAGCCGTAAAAAAGGGTGAGTTAATGTCCTTTGCAGGGACATGGATGAAGCTGGAAGCCATCATTCTCAGCAAACTAACACAAGAGCGGAGAATCAAACACCACATGTTCTCACTGATAAGTGGGAGTTGAACAATGAGAACACATGGACACAGGGAGGGGAACATAACACACCGGGTCCTGTCCGGGGGTGGGGGGCTGGGGGAGGGATAGCATTAGGAGAAATACCTAATGTAGATGACGGGTTGATGGGTGCATAAAACCACCATGGCACATGTATACCTATGTAACAAACCTGCACGTTCTGTACATGTACCCCAGAACTTAAAGTATAATAAAAATAAAAATAAAAATAAAAATGAAAATAAAAAAAGACGTTGCTCAATAGTAACTAAACCTAATATTTTTTGAAGCATTAGCTGGCTGCCGGATAGTGCACCACATGCTTTACACGTATTGTCATCTTTAATTCCTACAATCCCTTTAGTCTTATCCTCAGTTTTGCAAGTTAGGAATCTGAGGTTGAGGGAAGCTAAGTCATTTATCCATGGTCACGGGAAAGAAAGTGGCAGAGCCTGGATTCAGAGTAAAATTTGTCTGACTCTTAAACATTATACTGTCATTTGAAGGCTCTTGGCAACTTTACAGACATATTTATCCAAGGCACCAGAATACTTTGAGAAGTCACGCCCTCAACAAACAGGTTGTGAGTAAGTTAGCAGCTTCAGTTCAAAGGGTTTCAGAGACAGGTTATTCTATGTAAACTCAAGTCTTAGGTTACTAACGGGATCCTCGATCAATGACCATGTGATGTTTGTTGATATGCAGAGGTTGATTCAAAAGGAGAGGGATGGAGTTATGTTTCCACGCTGTGGTGTAAAGAGCAGTCTCTTGGGTCCCTGCTGCTTTCTACCTAAAGGCCTATTAATAACTGCCCAGGTGGTGGGCTGCATCGATATAAATCAAGCCATTTCAGTGGGAAATCCTAGATTGGTGCTAAGGAGTTATTCAAAACCAAGCCCAGTTGTTGAAATAAATTTCAGTTTCTAGCTCTTCATATGGGACATCTCTGCAGCACCTCATCTGCACTCTTACTCCCTGAGGCTCCCAGCCACTTCTGAAGTGGCTAGGAATAAAACCTGTTGTGACAAGAGATACTAGCCAGGCTGCTGCCAAATATGCAGGTAAAAGCCTGGTTATATTTAAGACACGGTGGCCAAAAACAGCCCACATCCTTGATCCTCCATCCCTGCCCCCATCTTACTGAATTAAGAAATAATTTGGTGACCAGATGCAGGCTTGGTGATCATAAGGCTTTAAATGTTTTGGTTAAATGGAATCTACTTGAGAATGACAACTTTGAGATCAAAGGTGGTGAGCTATACATCTTTGCTTCTAGAGCTCCGGTTGTGGTCCCTTTCACATGGTCGGTAACCCGTAAAGTGATTATTGAGAGATACGTAAGTTCCGAGCACAGAGGGACCACCTAACAACAGACACCCTCATGGATAGGTATAATGAAAACTCGTGCAGAGAGTCAGCAACATCAGCAACGTAAGGACCTCTAAAAATTCTCCCCTTCGTAAATGCAATGAGAAAACTGGCAAAAATTGTCAAAATGAATGTTTTCGGAAACCTGCAAATTCACCTAAAGCTGAGGGGCAACCTTGGGCGTGTTTATTCAAGAAAAACAGCAGAATCTTTTTAGGAACAGTGAACTATGTGACATTTCAACTAGCCCTATCCTCATGGCCCTTTATGCAGCTCCATGGTAGCCTTGAATACCAACAGCCTGCAATCATGGTGAAAACCAGCAGCCTGGCAGCCACCAGAGGGAACAGAACAGGGTTGGAGCTCCTGCAAAGCCGCATTCCCGAGAATTGTCATTATTTGATCTGTCTGGTAGTTCCCGGGAAGGCCCTACTTACATGGCTGTCTTTATTTGGACTGACTCAGAGTGTGCCCAGTTTGAAACGCCTTTTTCCCTGGATGCATTTGTGAAAAATATTTGGAGGCAATTGCTCAATATTGCAGCTGCCTCAGGCAATGGATAACACTTGGGGCACACAATAGGCTAACCGATACCTTAAAAGGAAATCTAGGTAACGAGGTGTCCATTGGGACTTTTAAAAGCGATTACCTATTCCTGGGAATCTAGAAGGCCAGACACTCACCTAGGACTATGACATGGTCTGCAAAGACCCAAAAGGTGCCTAAACGGCCAACTCTGGTTTATTTTGAGGCTCTGTGAAAGAGTTGTCAATTGCCTGGCTGCGAGTTGAAGGCATGTCCAACATATCCACAGAGCCCCATGGCAATGACTGGGAAACTTACCTTTTCCAGGCATATAAAGACATCTCTGTCCAATCACCAGGTCACCACTAAGCCAACCAAGCAGGGCATTCAGTAGCCACACATAACAGAGGATACAGACTTTACAGAAGTAGTTCAGAAAAGTCACTAAACAAACAAGTGACAGCAGGATTAATAGCACCAAACAACAACAACAATACCTTGAAAGAAGGGAGAGTCTGAATTTCAGCGTTGCCACGTTCTATTAGTTAAAGTGTCCAGTTTTCAACAAAAAACTTACGAGACGTGCAAAGAAACAGGAGAGTATGGAACACGCAGAGAGAAGCTCAGACATTGGACTTACTAGAAAAAGACTTCAAATCAGCTATTGTGAATATGTTCAAACAACTAAAGGAAACCATGTGAAAAGAATTAAAGAGAAGTATGAGAATGATGTCTCAACAAATAGAGAAATCATCACAGAATATAAATTAGTGTTTTTAAAACACCCAAGCAGAAATTCTGAAGTGGAAATGTACAATAACTACAGCGAAAAACTCACTAGAGGGGCTCAACAGAAATGGGAACTCGAGAAAGAGAGAACATTTGAAACAATAATGGCCCAAACTCCCCAAGTTTGATTCAAATTATTAATGGACACAAATGAGAACCACAGAAACTCCAAAGAGGATGAATTCAAGAAAATCTTCACCGAGGCACATCTTAGCCAAACTGTTGAAAATCAAAGACAATGAGAGAATGTGGAAAGCAGCAAAGAAAAACAGCTCACCACACACAAGGGATCCCCAGTAAGATTAACAACCGAGTTCTTATCAGAAACCAAGGGGACCAAAAGGTAGTGAGAAGTCACAGTCAAAGGGGTTAATGAAAACAACAACAACAACAACAAACAGTTAACCAAGAATGTTCCATCCAGAAATACTCTCCCTCAAAAATGATGATGAAGTAAAGCTATCCCCTGATAAAGAAAAGCTGAGTCAATGTATCATCAGCAGACTTCCCTTACAAAAAAATATTAAAGGGAAATCTGGAAAAGACAGTAGACAGTAACTCAAATCCCGATGAATAAATAAGAACACCATTAAAGGTAACTAACTACAACAGCATTGATAAAAGACTGTACGAATGTATTGTTGTTTGTAACTCTTCCCTTCTTTTACCTGATTTAAAGGACAATTGTTGCATAAAGCAATCATTATAGAACTATCTAGATGGGCATCACAGGTATAAAGAAGTAATTTTATGACAATAGTAGCACAAAGGAGAAGAGACTCTTGAGCTTTATAGGGTCACAGTTTTGTGTAATATTGAAATTAAGGTGGTATCAATCTGAACTAGATTCTTTTGAGTTAAAATGTGATCTGTAATCTGTGGGGCAACCACTAAGAAAACAACCCAAAAATACAATAAAGAAACAACAGGTAAATGAATAGAGTATATGAGAAAATATCTGTTTAGCAGAAAAGAATACGTCAGTGCAGGGACAGAGGAACAGTAAGACATGAGAAAGAAAATACAAAAAACGGCAGGCATAAATTCTACCCCAACAGTAATTACATTAAGTAATTACATTAAGTTCAGTGTGAATAGACTGAACAATACAAATGTATTTTAAAGCAGATATTGGCAGGATGTAATAAAAACATGGTTGAACTAGATGCTGTCTACAAGACACACACTTCGGATTCAAAGGCACAAATAGTTAGAATGTAAAAGGTTGAGAAAATAAATACACTGAAAACAGCAACCGCAAGAGAGCTGGAGTAGTTTTGTCAACCCCAGAAAAAATAGAGTTTAAAACACAAACTATGACTAGAGATAAAACATGAACATTCTACAATTATAAAAGTGTGAAGAGGAAGATATATAAATTATAAATATATTTGCACTGCACAACAGAACACCAAAATACCTGAAGTAAATGCTGACAGAAATGAAAAGGGGAATAGATAATTCAGCAATCATTGTTTGAGACTTCAATACCTTGCTTTCAATAATGAATAGAAAAGCTAGTCAGAATACCAACAAGGATATACTAGATTTGAAAAAGCAATAAATCAAATGGTCCTAACAGACATTTATAGAACACTACACCCAACAACATCAGAATATATGTTCTTCTCAAGTACACCTGAAATGTTCTCCAGGATAGACCATACGGTGGGCTATAAAACACCTTAATAAATGTAAAAGGACAGAAATAATATAAAGTAGGCCCCCAAACCACAATGGAATGAAGTTATACATCAATAAAACATACATTAGTGGGAAATACATGAGCATAAAGAAATCAACAAACTCCTAAATAATCAAGGGTCAGAGAAGAAATCAAAAGGGAAACTAGAAAATACTTTTTGAGATATATGAAAATGAAGACTCAGCATGTCAAACTTTTGGGATGCAGTTAAGCAGTGCTTAGAAGAAAATGTATAGCTCTAAATGCTGATACTAAAAAAAAATAAGAAACATCTCGGTTGGGAGGCCGAGGCGGGTGGATCACGAGGTCAGGAGATCGAGACCATCCTGGCTAACACGGTGAAACCCCGTCTCTACTAAAAATACAAAAAATTAGCCGGGCGAGGTGGCGGGCGCCTGTAGTCCCAGCTACTCGGGAGGCTGAGGCAGGAGAATGGCGTGAACCCCAGGGGGCGGAGCCTGCAGTGGGCCGAGATTGCGCCACTGCACTCCAGCCTGGGCGACAGCGAGACTCCGTCTCAAAAAAAAAAAAAAAAAAAAAAGAAATATCTCGGGTCAATAACCTTACCCTCCGCATTGAGACCCTGGGAAAAAGAGCAAACTAAACCTAAGCAAATCGAAGAGAAAAGTGGACACTGATTAGAGCATGAATTAATGAAATGAAGAGTGGAAAAATAACAGAGATAAACCAATGAAACAAAAATCTGATTCCTTGAAGAAGTCAACAAAATTGACAAACTGTAAGCCAGATTGATCAAGAGAAAAGTGAGGAGGTTCTATTCGCTGAAATCAAGAAAGAAAGAGGAGACACTGCTATCTACATTATGGAAAAATAAAGAATTATAAAGAAATAATATGAACAATTGTATGCCAATAGATTTGATGGCTTAGATGAAATGGATGAATTTCTAGGTATACATATACCATGCAAACTGGCTGGAGGAGAAATACACAAGTTAAATAGATCTATGAAAATGAAACAGAATGAAATAGTAATTAAAAACAAAAAACAAAAAGCAAAAAAACTACCCAGAAAAAAAGATCAGGCTCAGATGGCTTCAATGGTTAATTCTACTAAATATGTAAATAAGAATTAATAGCAATTCTTCAACAGTTCTTCCAAAAAAATAGAAGAGGAGGGAAAACTTCATAACTCATAAGCCTGGCAACAAAATCATATATAGACTCAAAAGCAAAACTATGAATAGGACAGAAAAAATCCCCAACAAAATATTAGCAAACCAAATCCAGCAACATACAAAAATATTTATACTCGGTGACCAAGTGGCATTTATCTCAGGCACATAAGGTTGCTTTAACAGCTACACATCAATAAATGGATTTTATCATATGAACAGATAATCATTCAAAAAACACGTATTCATCTCAATTTATGCAGAAGAAGCATTTGAAAAAGTTCAACAGCCTGTCATAAGAAATACACTCAAGAAAAAAAAAACTGGGAATAGAAGGGAATTTTCCTCAAACTGATAAAGAGCACCTATGATAAAGAACACCCACAGGTAACATCATATTTAATGGCAGAAGACCGAATCTTTTACCCTTAATGTCTGAAACAGCACAAGGATGCCTGATGTAGCCACTACTACTCAACAATGTATTGAGGGTTGTGGCCATGGTACCTGGTTTTCAAAAAGATGGGAAATGAAGACATAAAACTACCTCTATTAGCATACGGCATCATCTTGTAATTATAGAATCTTAAGGAATCCACTAAAAGACTTTAAAGACAAATACTGAATTTGGCAAAGTGAAGGAATACAACGTCAATACACGAAAATAATTTCTATTCCTATAGAGTAGCAAAAAGGACATTGAATACAAAATTAAGAAAACAATTCCATTTGCAATAGCAGCAGAAATAATAAAATACATGGGAATAAACCTAACAGAAAGTGCAAAACTTATACTCTGCAAAACCACGAAGCATCGTGGAAACAAACTAAAAGACTTACAGTGTTGAAAGACAAACAATAGTTGGAGACGTCAACACCCCATTTTGAGCGTTGAACAGATCATCCAGACAGAAACTCAACAAAGAAATATCGGACTTGCTCTGCACGATACACCAAATGGACCTAACAGGTATTTACAGAACATTTCCTCCAACAGCTGTAGAATACACATCATTCTCCTCAGCACGTGGATAAGTTCTCAAGGATATGCCGCATGTTAGGCCACAAGACAAATCTTAAAACATTCAAAAAATTGAAATAATATCAAGTATCTTCTGTGACCAAAATGGAATAAAACTTGAAACCAATAACAAGGGAAATTTTGGGAACTATACAAAAATGTGCAATTTAAAGAATGTGTTCCTGAATGAGCAGTGGGTCAATGAAAAAATTAAGAAGGAAATTGAAAAATGTCTTAAAACAAATGATAGTGGAAACACAAACTGCCAAAACCTGTGGGTTGCAGCAAAAGCAATACTAAGCGGGAAGCTTAACAGTTATAAGCCCCTATATCAAAAAAGTAGAAAAACTTCAGGTAAACAACCTAACAACCTAACAGTGCATCTTAAGAAACTAGAAAAGCAAGAGCAAACCAATCTCAAAATTAATAGAAGAAAAGAAATAATAAAGATCAGAGCAGAAATACATAAAATCTAAACGAAGAAAACAATGCACAAGATCAATGAAATGAAAAGTTGGTTTTTTCAAAAGAGAAACCAAATGGACCCACTTTTAGCCAGAATAAATGAGAAATAAAAGAAAAGAACCAAATAAATAAAATCAGGGATGATAAGGGAGACATTACAACTGATAGTGCAGAAATTCAAAGGATCGTTAGAGGCTACTGTGAGCAACTATATGCCTGTAGATTTGAAAACCTTGAAGAAATGGATAAGTTCATACACACATACAACCTACAAAGATGGAACCATGAGGAAATTTAAAACCTGAACAGAACAATAACAAGTAATGAGATGGAAGCCATAATTAAAGTCTCCCAGCAAAGTAAAGCCTGGTACCCAATGGCTTCACTGCTGAATTGCGCCAAACATTTAAAGAAGAACAAATACCAATCCTACTCAAAGTACTTCAAAAGGTAGAGGAGGAGGGAATACTTCTGAACTCATTCTATGAGTGTTTTCCTGATACCAAAACCAGACAAAGACACACACACACACACACACACACACACACACACACACACATACACACACGCAGAAAACTATAGGCCAATATCCCTGATGAACATTGATGCAAAAATCCTCAACAAAATACTCACTCACAAACCGAATTCACCAACACATTAAAAAGATAATTCATCATGACCAAATGGGATTTATCCCAGAGATGGAAGGATGATTCGACATATGCAAATCAGTCAATGTGATGTATCATATTAACAGAATGAGGGACAAAAACATATGATAATTTCAAAGGATGCTGAGAAAGCATTTGATAAAATTCAACATCCCTTCATTATAAAAACTCTGCAGAAACTGAGTATAGAAGGAACAAACCTCAGCATAATAAAAGTCATATATGACACACCCACAGCTAGTATCATACTGAATGGGCAAAAACTGAAAGCCTTTCCTCTAAGATCTGGAACATGACAAGGATGCCCACTTTCACCACTGTTATTCAACATAGTACAGGAAGTTCTAGCTAGAGCAGTCAGACAAGAGAAAGAAATAAAGGGTGTCAAAATTACAGAGGAAAAAGCCAAATTATCCTTGTTTGCATATGACATAATCTTATGTTTGGAAAAACCTAAAGACCCCACCAAAAAACTATTAGCACTGATAAACGAATTCAGTAAAGTCCCAGGATACAAAATCAACATACGAAAATCACTACCAACTGTGAACAATCTGGAAAAGAAATCAATAAAGTAATCCCATTTACAATAGCTATCAATAAAATAAAATACCTAGGAATTAACAAAGGAAGTGAAAATCTCTACAAGGAACGCTGTAAAACACTGATGAAAGAAATTGAAGGGGATTGCAAAAATATGAAAAGCTATTCCATGTTCATTGATTGGAAGAATTATTATTGTTAAAATATTCATACTATCCAAAACAATCTACAGATTGCCAAAAGAAGAGCAAAGGCTATCCTGAGCAAAAAGAACAAAACTGGAGGAATCATATTACCTGACTTCAAATTATACTACAGAGCTATAGTAACCAAAAAGGCACGGTACTGGCATAGAAACAGACACATAGATCAATGGAACAGAATAGAGAGCCCAGAAACAAATCCACACACCTGCAGTGAACTCATTTTCCACAAAGGTGCCAAAAACATGCACTAGAGAAAAGAGTCTCTTCAATAAATGGTGCTGGGAAAACTGGATATTCACATGCAGAAGCATGAAACTGGACCTCTATCTTTCAACTTACACAAAAATCAAATTAAAATAGATTACAGACTTAAATCTAAGACTTCAAACTATGAAACTACTAAAAGAAAACATTAGGGGAAACTCTCCAGTATATTGCACTGGGCAAAGATTTCTTGAGTAATACCCCGCACACACAGGCAACCAAAGCAAGAAAAAAAAATAGACCAATGGGATCACATCAAGTTGAAAAGCTTCTGCCACAGCAAAGGAAACCGTCAACATTGAAAACAAAATAGAGAATAGAAAACCATGGGGGCAAAATCAATGAAACTAGGAGTCTCAAGTGGAATCCTTTGTTCATCAACAAAGTAAAGAGGCAAACCCACAGAATGGGAGAAAATATTTGCAAACTACCTGTCTGACAAGAGATTAATAACCACAATACATAAGGAGCTCAAACAACTCTATAGGGAAAAAATGTAATAATCCGATTAAAAAATAGGCAAAGGATCTGAATAGACACGTCTCAAAAGAAGACACATATATGGCAAACAGACATACGGAAAGGTACTCAACATCATTGATCATCAGAGAAATGCAAACCAAAACTACAATGGGATAGGATAAACAGGACTTTCATTAAAATTAAAAACTTTTTGCTGCAATTAATAATACCATCAAGAATGTGAAAAAAGAAGCCCCAGAATGGGAGAAAGTATTTGCAAATCATATAACTTATAAGTGACTTGTATCTAGATTACAGAAATTAGTTTTAGAAATTAATAATAAAACATATAACCTCATTGAGAAATGGGCAAAAGATGTGAACAGCCATTTCTCCCCCCAAAAAAATACAGGCAGAAGTAAATATAGGCAGAAGTAAAATGATACCACGTGGAAACTAGGATTGACCAAGAGGAATGAATGAAACCTATGGCTATATATGAAAGATAGCTTTTTTCCTCATTTAAAAAAATATATATATAAATGACAACTGACAGTTTATAACTAACTTGAAAGCGGAATGATGTTTATAACATACATATGTTATAGCATATGTAGAAATAAAATGCGTAACAATAGCACTGCAAAAAAAAAAAAAAAGAGGAGAAAAATAAGGTATACTCCAGTGAGATTGAAGCACTGTATGTGAAATGCTATAGTATTACTTGAAGATAGAGTGTGGTAAGTTGAGCAACCATTTAAATAAATTGAAATAGATACAGCTAATAAGACAGTAGTGAAGACAAATGGAATCCTAAAACGCCCAACCAAAATGTGATGAGATGAAAAAAAATGGACGAGAGGAGTAAAGAACAAATGGGAAAATAGAAAACAAACAGCAAGTACATAGATTTAAACAAAATATATTGATGTCCATTAAATTTATTTTTTATTTTAATTTTTATTTTATTTATTTATTTATTATTTTATTCTGAGACGGAGTCTCGCTCTGTTTCCAGGCTGGAGTGCAGTGGCGCAATCTCAGCTTACTGCAACCTCTGCCTCCTGGGTTCAAGCCATTCTCCTGCCTCAGCCTCCCGAGTAGCTGGGACTGCAGGCGCCCACGCCCGGCTAATTTTTTGTATTTTAGTAGAGACGGGGTTTCACCATGCTGGCCAGGATGGTCTCAATCTCCTCACCTCGTGATCCACCCGCCTCGGCCTCCCAGAGTGCTGGAATTACAGGCGTGAGTCACGGCGCCTGGACTAAATTTACTTTTTATCTCCAGGAACTAGGAAAAGAAGAACAAACTAACTCCAAAGTTAGCAGAAAGAATGAAATAATAAAAAATTAGAGCAGAAATAAAAAAAAATAGGGAATAGAAGACCACAGGAAAATAATCAGTGAAAATAAGAGTTGGTTTTTTGAAAAGATAAACAAAATTAACAAACCTTTAGCCAGACTAAATGAGAAGAAAAGAGAGAAGAATCAGGGAAATAAAATCAGAAATGAAAGAAGAGACTTTACAATTGATGCCAGAAATATAAAAAGAACCATAAGAGACAACTGTGAACAATTACGCAGCAATAAATGGGTCAGCCCAGAAGTGGATAAATTCATAGATGCATACAACCAACCAAGCCTGCATCATTAAAAAAAACAGAAAATCTGTACAGAACAATAAGGAGTAAGGAGATTGGATCAGTAATCAAAAACTTCCCATTAAAGAAAAGCTAAGGACCAGATGGCTTCCCTGGTGAGTTCTACCAAGCATTTAAAGAAAATTAACCCCAAACCTTCTCAAACGCTTCCCAAAGCTTGAAGAAGAGAGAATGCTGTCAAGTTCGTTCTATGAGGCCAGGGTCACCCTGATACCAAAGCCTGATGAAAACACTTCAAGAAAAGGAAGCAGGAGGACAATATCTCTGATGAACATAGAGGCAGAAATTCTCAACAAAATACGAGCAAACCAAACTCAGGAGCACATTAAAAGGATCGTTCACCATGACTAAGCAGGATCTATTTCTGGGAAGCAAGCAAGGATGGTTCAACACGTGCAAATTAATTAATGTGATGCACCACATTAAAAGGAAAATTACAATTGAGGCAGTAACTAATAGCCTACTGACCAACAAAAGCCCAGGACCAGACGGATTCACAGCCAAATTCTACCAGAGGTACAAAGAGGAGCTGGTACCATTCCTTCTGAAAGTATTTCAAACGATAGAAAAAGAGGGACTCCTCCCTAACTCATTTTATGAGGCCAGCATCATCCTGATTCCAAAACTTGGAAGAGACACAACAAATAAAGAAAATTTCAGGCCAATATCCCTGATGAACGTCCACACAAAAGCCCTCAATAAAATACTGCCAAACCGAATCCCGCAGCACATCAGAAAGCTCATCCACCACGATCAAGTCGGCCTCATCCCTGGGATGCAAGGCTACTTCAACATACGCAAATCAGTAACCGTAATCCATCACATAGACAGAACCAATGACAAAAACCACATGATTATCTCAATAGTCGCAGAAAAGACCTCCAATAAAATTCAACACCCCTTCATGCTAAAAACCCTCGATAAACTAGGTATTGATGGAACATATCTCAAAATAATAAGAGCTATTTATGACAAACACGGAAACATTCCCTTTGAAAACCGGCACAAGACAAGGATGCCCTCTCTCATCACTCCTATTCAACATAGAATTGGAAGTTCTGGCCGGGACAATCAGGCAAGGGAAAGAAATAAAGCGTATTCAAATAAGAAGAGAGTAACTCAAATTGTCTCTGTTTGCAGATGTCATGACAGTATATATAGACAACTCCATCGTCTCAGCCCAAAATCTCCTTCAGCTGGTAAGCAACTTCAGCAAAGTCTCAGGATACAAAGATCAATGTGCAAAAATCGCAAGCATTCCTATACACCAATAATAGACAAGCAGAGAGCCAAATCATGAGTGAATTCCCATGATTTCTTCTTTGCTACAAAGAAAATAAAATACCTAGGAATACAACTCACAAGGGATGTGAAGGACCTCTTCAAGGAGAACTACAAACCACTGCTCAAGGAAATAAGAGAGGACACAAATGGAAGAACATTCCATGCTCATGAATAGGAAGAATCAATATCGTGAAAATGGCCATACTGCCCAAAGTAATTTATAGATTCAATGCTATTCCCATCAAGACCATTGACTTTCTTCACAGAACTAGAAGAAAAACTACTTTAAGTTTCATATGGAATCAAAGAAGACCCCATATAGCGAAGACAATCCTAAGCAAGAAGAACAAAACTGGGGGCATCACGCTACCTGACTTCAAACTATACTACAAGTCTACAGTAACCAAAACAGCATGGTACTGGTACCAAAACAGACATATGGACCAATGGAACAGAATAGAGACCGCAGAAATAACACCACACATCTACAACCATCTGATCTTCGAAAAACCTGACAAAAACAAGGGGAAAGGATCTCCTATTAAATAAATGGTGCTGGGAAAACTGGCTAGCCATACGCAGAAAACAGAAACTGGACCCCTTCCTCAGACCTTATACAAAAATTAACTCAAGGTGGATTAAAGACTTAAATGTAAAACCCAAAACCATAAAAACCCTAGAAGAAAACCTAGGCAATACTATTCGGGACATAGGAATGGGCAAAGACTTCATGACGAAAACGCCAAAAGCAATTGCAACAAAAACCAAAATTGACAAATGGAATCTAATTAAACTAAAGAGCTTCTGCACAGCAAAAGAAACAAGCATCAGAATGAACAGGCAACCTACAGAACGGGAGAAAATCATTGCAATCTACCCATCTAACAAAGGGCTAATATCCAGAATTTACAGGACACTTAAACAAATTTACAAGAAAAAAAAAAACAAACAATCCCATCAAAAAGTGGACAAAGGATATGAACAGACACTTCTCAAAAGAAGACATTTACATGGCCAACAAACATATGAAAAAAAGCTCAACATCACTCATCATCAGAGAAATGCAAATCAAAACCACAATGAGATACCAACTTATGCCAGTCAGAATGGCGATTATTAAAAATGTCAAGAAACGATAGATGCTGGCAAGGCTGTGGAGAAATGGGAACGCTTTTACGCTGTCGGTGGGAACGTAAATTAGTTCAACCATCGTGGAAGCCAGTGTGGTGATTCCTCAAGGATCTAGAACCAGAAATACCATTTGACCCAGCAATCCCATTAATGGGTATATACCCAAAGGAATATAAATCATTCTACTATAAAGATACATGCACATGTACGTTTATTGCAGGCACTATTTACAATAGCAAAGACTTGGAACCAACCCAAATGTCCATCAATGATAAACTGGATAAAGAAAATGTGGTACATATACACCATGGAATACTACGTAGCCATAAAAAGGAATGGGATCATGTCCTTTGCAGGGACATGGATGAAGCTGGAAACCATCATTCTCAGCAAACTAACACAGGAACAGAAAACCAAACACCGCACGTTCTCACTCAGAAGTGGGAGTTGAACAATGAGAATACATGGACACAGAGAGGGGAAGGACACACACCAGGAGCTGTTGGGGGGTAGGGGATGAGGGGAGGCAACTTAGAGGATGGGTCAATAGGTGCAGCAAACCACCATGGCACACGTATACTTATGTAACAAACCCGCACGTTCTGCACATGTATCCCGTTAATTGTTTTAGAAGAAATAAAGAAAAATAAAAATTAAAGAAAAGAAGAAAGAAAATAAGACATTTAAAAGCTGAGGAAAATTTTTTAAGCACACTCTTCTAATAACTACATATAATTAATTGGTAATCATCCCTAAAGACCTTGTTAAGGTTAAAAGAATGGTTATGTGGAGACTTTTTAAAACCGTATTTGTAAATCATAAAGAAAACTTCAGTCTTCAATAGATTTACTGGTTAGCAGTGTCATACATTTAAAGAAAACATAGTAGTAGTCCCAAAAGAACACTTTTAGAAAATACAGGAGGGAACACTTTCCAGTTCATTTTATGATGGCAGCATTACTTTTATTTAAAAAAAAAAAATAGAAAAAAGATACCAGAAGAAAAAAAGGAACTACAAACCAGTGTTCCTAATGAACATAGTTACAAAACTCCTTGATAAAATTTTAGCAACTTGAATCCAATAATATATGAAAAAAAAATAATCTATTACCAAGCACAGTCTGTCCTGGGAATGTAAGGTCATTTTACCATTAAAAATCCGTGACTATATTTCACCATATTAATGGAATAAAAGAAAAGAGCATTTATTATCCAGATATATAACAGAAAAGTAATTTGATAACATAAAACACCCATTCATGACCAAAAAACCCAAACCACTTGATAAGTACATAAAGCAACGTCCTCAACCTAATAAAGTACTCCTACAAAAAACCTGCAGCTGGCACCATGCCTAATGGTGAAATACTGAATGCTTCTCCCATAAGATTAAAAATAAGGCAGACTCTTACTATGCGTATACAATTATCCTTGAGGTCCCAGCTAGTGCAATGAGCCAAGGAAAATAAGTAAAAGGCATACAGATTGAATAGGAAGGAATAAAAAAAACCTCTCCATTTACAAATAGCATGATAGTCTACATACAAAATACTAAGGAATGTGGGGATAAACATCTCCTAGACCTAACAAGTCACATAACAAAGTTACAAGACAGAAACTCAACATACAAAAACCCACTGTGTTTCAACATACTGGGAACAAATAATTGGAGATGACATTATTTAAAATGTCATTTATAATTACAGCAAAATAAATGAGGTATCTATTGAGAATTTTAATGTAATATGTGAAAGACCTGTATGCAGACCACTATAAAATACTGGCGAGAGAAAGTGGAGACCTAAATAAACAGAGATATATAATGTTCGTTGATCAGAAGACTCAGGTTAAGATGCCAATTCTCAAGTAATGGATCTATAGGCTCACCATAATCATAATTAAAGTGAAGAACTGTTTCTCAAAAGTTATATATAAATGCAAATGACATAGAAGATCCAAAGCCATTTGGAAAAGAACAAGCATGAAGGACTCACATCACCAAAGTCTCTGACTTAATATAAAGACATGGTAATCATGACAGCCTGGTATGACCTTAAGAATTCACATAGGGATCATTGGATGAAATAGAAGAAGGGCTAGAAATAGACTTACATATATATAGTAAGTTGATTTCTAATAAAGGCTCAAAGATAATTAAATTAGCTGACAATTAACTAATAGTGCTGGAAAAAGTAGATCTCTTTACGGAAGACCCAAACAACTTCAATATCTCACCATTCATCCCGACATTATTCACACTTCATGCAGGCATTAATTCAAAATAAATCCTAGATCTAAGTGTAAATTGCAAAATATTAAAACCTACAAACATCAGAAGAGAAAATCTCTGTTGTGAGGCTAGGCAACGATATCTTAGGGTAGGACACATGAAAGCATGAATCACACTGGAAAAATGATCAATGGACTGCTATTGATCAAAATTCTATTATCAAATTCTATTAAATCAATATATATCAAAATTCTATTAAAAATATACCCTTTGGGTTCTCAAAAACCAGGGTTCAGTGTCTCTGTGAGGCACAGCTTTTCAGGTTCCTGTACTGGAACCTCGTGACTGACTTTGACTTCTATTAAACCCTAGAACAGAAAACCAGGCCTACATATTTTCAGTTGCAAAACCTCACGGTATTGTCTTGGGCTTCTACTTGTGATGCTCTCCCTTTTCTCTATTTCTTGGCCAATTTCTTTTGTCCCTCCTTTCAGGCACGCCTCCTCTGGGAACTCTTCACTGACTCCGTTCCAATTCCCAAGGCTGAGTGACTGCCCGCCTCCTCAGTCCTCCCGTAGCCCCATAAACGTCCCTCCATCACTCTCTGTTACATTCATGCCTCTCTCGGTTTCTCCCTCACAGAAGAGCTTGAAGCAGAGCCTCATTCAGGGCACGGCCCATGATAGGCTCACAGAGATCAACTCTGTAGCCTCAGGATTATGTAAGAGATGCTTTCCTAAACAGCACTATTGTTTCAAAAGCCAAAGAAAGACTCTGAGGCCACCTACTTCCACTTTCCCTTCAGGATACTGTTTGCAGGGAGCTCCTGTGAAGTCAGCGGTGCGGACCGCACAGACCTGGTTAGCAAACGGGGGGCATAACTTGGCAGCATTGCTTGTAACTCAAATGTCAAAGCCTGATTTTGACATAGCAAGACTAGGCAACAAGGAGCTTTCACCTCTGCTCTTCTACTTTCTTTTGTTTGTTTGTTTGATTTGTCAGTTTGTTTTTGAGACAGAGTCTCCTTCTGTCTCCCAGCCTGGAGTGCAGTGGAGTGGTGCCATCACGGCTCATTGCAGCCTCCGCCTCCCAGGCTCAAGCAATCCTCCCCCCTCAGCCTCCTGAGTAGGTGGGGCTAGAGGTGTGTGCCACCATGCCAGGCTACTTTTGAAATTTTCTGTGGGGGTGGGGTCTCCCTATGCTGCCCAGGCTGGTCGGCTGTTCTACTTTCAACTCACCCCAGCCCAGGCCCTTCACCTCTCCCTCTCTCTCACATTTTCCAAGCCCTCCAGGCCCTAAACCACCTGATACTGACTGGTACATAGACGTGGAGTCTCACGTAAACCTCTGAAAAGAAAACTGCTGTTGATTTGGACTCTGGATACCATTACCCAGCTCACGCTCCTTGCTGTGACGACTCATTTGGACTCATACACCTGCCCAGGGCATCCATGTACATAATCCTGTGAATCAAAGGCAGGAGAGCACCCACATGGACACTCGGGTCTGTGGCATCCCCACCAAATGATGACTCATCACCAGCTTGAAGACCTCTGCTTTTTCTGCTCGGCAAGGAGAAACGTGGCTCGAGCCTGCTGAGAGGGCCAGGAAGCAGCAGCAAAGGAAAGAAAGATTGGAGGACTGGGAGTAAGAGATACAGAAACAAATGGAATGCGACATGCCAGAAATGTATCCCCTGCTGGAGCACCAGGCTGTAGGGGGGGAGGGACGATGGGGCAGGGGCAGAGGGGCTGAATGGGGCGTGGAGGGGGCAGGCCCTCGGCCTCTTTGCACCGGGCAGAGTGACGAGCTTCGCCGGTGTCTTCATTGAAGTCCTGTTGGTCCCTACCGGCACATCACACACTCCTGGAAGCATGATCTTCACTCCCTTCCTTCCACCTGCTGACCTGGTGAGTCTGGCTTCCCTCCGTTGTCCTGGAATGTCCCCTAGGAGGCTGGGCTTTGGTCTGCGCAGGTCACTGCTGCATCCCTCACCCATGGAAGAGGGCCGGAGATGCACACAACAGTTGCGTAACGGAAGCCAGGGATGGGAGGGATCATTAGGATCCAGTTATTTAGTCTGTCTTTCAGAATGTGAAAGGGCCGCAAAAAGACCCTGAGGAATTGGTTGCTGTATCTGACACCGCGGAGGACCCATCCAGTGGCACAGGCTTGCCCAGGGAACCTGCTCTTCTGCGAGGGTCTTGGAGGAGCCGGTTCCAGAGGGCCCTGGCATGTTTCATCAAGTGCTTCAGGCGAGAGCTCCTTCGGAGCCAGCCTCTGCCTGTCTCACTGGCTCGCCACCAAGCCCATCCGCCTCCCCTTCCTGTTCCACCAAGAGAACCTCAGGCCAAGTCAGAAATCCCCAGGGCTCCCGAGGGTCCACTTGTCACTCGCTTTCCTCCCTAGGGGAGGATACCGGGCACTCGGAATCTGAGACCACCGGAGCCACAGACACAGGCGTGAACGGTGACCGAGCCCCCTCTGATGCTCCATGCCCCTGCTCGCCCCAGTGTCCCGGTCACCGGGCCTGAAATAAATGCTGGCACGCTTGACTGTTTTTGCTTTGTGGCATTTGATGTAACTTTCAACACGTCGGCTGAACTGGGGGTGGTCAGCTTTGGTGGTGGTGGGGTTGTGAAGGGAGAGAGCTAGCATCTTCCTTAGCCCTGTTAGGCTGTCTGCCCTCCTCCTCGAGGCAGCGCTGCTTGTTACTAGGTCCTGGTGGCGATGGGCTGTAGCCAATCAACGGTGAGTTTTCCACGGCTCTCAGCTCTGACCCTGGCGGGGCACTTACATGCAGGAATGAGGACGGAATAACATCTCACATGCAGGAATGAGGACGGAATAACATCTCTCTTACCCCCAGCAATGCACACAGTCTTCATATCTGAGGAAAACTGGGCGGTGTTTATATGCGGAGGCGAGAGGGTCATGTGGAGGAAGAATCTGTGGACCTCAGAAAAGGCGTTAACCCCTGTACTGACAAAGAGCTCCCAAGCCCCGCCTACTCCACCACAAGACAGAGACCCCTTCCAACAGACGGCCTTGTCTCCAACTATGCATTGTTCCTTTCCATAAGATGAGGACTTTATTTTTTTTCTTTTGCCTTCCTAAGGTGACCTTGATATGTGTTGCAACACAGTATCAGCAGGAGAATTCTGAAAGGGGGGCGGTTGGAGCATAATTGTCCCTGTTAACTAACAACCATGGAGGAGGCCCTGTTAGAAACTGCAGCACCAGGGGTCACCAAAGTAAATGGACAAGGATATTGGATGTGCTCTTTAGCATCAAGAAGCCTAACTAGGACACAGGAACACCAAAATTCTCTCTCCCCCTCCCCCGTCTCATGCAGTCCCCTGTGCAAAGCCAGGGGAGGAAAAAAAAAAAATGCTTTCTTAGGGCCTGCTGGGTGAATTACTCACCCTCTGGTTCTTCAGAGGTCCAGGGCCTTTAAGCTCAAATGAAATCCAGATGGGGTAAGGTTCAGGTAGGCGACAGCATTTGGAAGTCCCACAGCCCTTTTCCTATATTCCTGGGGAACAGCCACGGTGAGACCCA
Source organism: Homo sapiens (assembly GCF_000001405.40). Taxonomy (NCBI): domain Eukaryota; kingdom Metazoa; phylum Chordata; class Mammalia; order Primates; family Hominidae; genus Homo; species Homo sapiens. The sequence goes on along the minus strand of NC_000023.11, from coordinate 72,806,423 downwards.
TAGGTACTGAACAGACAGAGCTGTTAATTATGGAGTGATGGAGTTCTTTAGATCCCATGTCTCTGCAGCTTTTTCGATGGCACAGGTACCACCTATCTCCCCACAATGGCTCTGTCCTCCTGAGCTGGGCCCTAACTCAGTGGGGGAAGTTCAGCTCCATGTTGCTGCTTCTCCAAAAGGGGCTAGGACTTGACATCATGGGGTTTAGCCCTAAACCCCATGTTTAGTCCAAAAGAGGAGCAGCGTTCCAACTCCCTAGGGCTGGGGGCTTGTTGGGTGTTCGTTCCTTCATAGCTGCTGTCATAACCATGAGCTCAGTCATTGCACTGGTAAGGGAGTGTCAGGGAGAGTCTGTGCATACATGTGCATGGGCATGCTTGTGCTTGTATGTGTGTATTTAGGATGCAAATACTTGTTGAAACAAGAAATGATGTGGGGAAATCTGGTGGATAGGGCACAACTTGGCAGTCACTCTTGAAACCCAAGTGGCAGAGATGGGATTTAAAGGTAGCCAGACTCAGCAACAAGGAGCCCTTCTCCCCAGCACCACACTCTCTCCAGGGCTCTCCAATCTGATCCTAACATTGTCCAAGTCTGCTTTGCCCAGAACCATATGCCCACTACCCACCAGATGCTGACTGACTCCCACACACAGCCACAGCACTACGCATCATCTCCTGAAAGGAACACCTCCACTGCTGATTCGACCTCCAGTTGCCATCGTCCACCTCAGGCCCTCTTGGGTTGGATGGACCATGAGGACTTCCCTGCCTTCCCCATTGCGCAGGCCAGTGGACTCTGCAGCCTCACAGCAGAAAATGCTTTCCTCTGCCAGCCCCGTATACACAGGAGATTCCACTCATGTTGAAATTTGGTCCCCAAGGTGGTGGTGCTGGGAGGTGAGGCTTAGTGCACGGTTGTTTGGGTCACGAGGGCTCCACCTTTGTCCTTGTAGGTGTCTTGGTGCTCTCCTCACAGTAGTGAGTGAGTTCTTGCTCTGGCGAGACTGGATTAGTGCTCGCAGGAATGGACAAAGTGCCCAAGATAGTAGGTTGCTATACAGCCAGGATGCCCCTCAGGTTTTCTCTCATTGCATGTGTCCACTTCCCCCTTGACCTTCCTCACCACATTATGACACAGCACACAAGCCCTCGCCTGAAGCTAGGGCCATGCCCTTCAACTTCCCAGCCTGCAGAACCATGAGCTAAATAAATATTTTTTTATTTATAAATCACGCAGTCTCATGTATTCTGTTACAGCGACACAAAACAGATGCTCATGCATCTCAAGAGCAGGCCCATTACCCATTGCATGATGAACCATTTGAGCATGCAGGGCAATCACATGCAGGAATGGGGAAAGACAGGTCAGCAATAGGGGAAGGCATGGGTCGTCAGCTTTACACCTTCGTTTCTGAAATATGACCGTGACCGAGTTATGAGTTCTTCTCCTTTGCTTACACCTCCCCCCGACCCGCGTTTACATCACCTCACAATCCCCGTGCCTGAGAGACGTCTCAGGTAGGTCGGTAAAGTAAAGTCGACAGTGCCTCAGAAGAAGGTGTGGGGTCAGAAATTCCACGGCTCCAGGCTCACCCAGCACTTCTGGTGAACAGAAGACCATTGGACTGTGCGAGTGAGCAAGAGATTAAGCTTGTTTTTCTGCCCCACCTGTCCTCAATCTCTCTGGTGCTATGTTCCCGTGAATCCTGGGCAGCCTTACAGAGGCAGCAACATTTGTACTTAGCTCCATGAAATGTTACACAGCCTGCTGTGTTACAGGAGCGTCACATGTTTTTGTTTTATTATTCCACCATCCGGATCAAGGTGAGTGGTGTGATCACCATTCTGAGGTTGCATCGCCAGCACAAGAGGGAGCCATGATACAGTGCCTGGTTGATCTGAGGCAAGGATCCTTCCATTACAGCAATGCAGCCTAAGAGCCACTGTCACCAACTACAAATCTAGGGGGTCCTATTGAACTGTGAGTTACAGCCCATGCTCTTGGTGATGGGGACACTGTACTTGCAGTCCCACATGCAGCAAAGCTAAAACATTCATGGAGTCAGGGTTCCCCGGTAACAGGGTGCTTGGAGACAGTTCCCACCACACAGTGCCCAATCTCCTCCCACACTGCACCCACTGGGGACTTGTTTTGACTGGTAAAATGATGGTGCGACGTAATGGGGAAAAAACTGCATCTGTCGTGCCCCTCCTCCAGTGCTCCCCATGGTCACCTGAGGTAATTCTACAGACTGCCAGAGTACTCCTGAGAACAGTCGGAAGACTGCTGGTGTCCTACAGAAGATGGAGCCTAACCGTGGGCCTTCCAGACACATACTAATGAGTGATGGGACCTCACATTGGTCATATCAAATCACATTCATCTGGTTTATTTCCTGTAGGGGGAAAGCTGCATCTCGCTGGAACCCCCAGAGTGGTGCCCGCAGCATCACAGGGTGGGCAGCTCAACCTTTAAGCCATCCCAAGGGGGAGCACACGCTCCAAGACCACTCTCATAAAAGGCTGACCCATCCTCACTGCACTGATTACAAAGAGAGACTTGGCTTTCCTGGGACTCCAGCATGAGGAAGTGTAATGAGATCATGCCAGTGAGGGTCAACGTGGGCTTTGCTTGTTTCTGTGACCCTGCCAGTCAATTTTATTCATTCACTGGCCATCTTTAGACACCTCTAGTCTCAATCACAGAAAATAGATGGGCATAGGGAGAAATTGTGCCCAAAGAAAATGCACTCACTCACTCGTGGGTTTTAAAGTTTGTGGGGAAAATTAGTGGAGGAGGGTTTGGAGGGAAGTGGCATTACTTGAGAGATGCTTTTCATAGGATAGATAGAACGGTGCTGTGTTAGGCTGGAGGTGGGCCTGGGGCAAGGTCCAGAGGCAAGGGGCCAAGGATGACACCCAGGTTTCTGGCTTGAGTGACTTGTGGCCCTGGGGTACCATTGACCCAGATAGGGATCACAGGCGGAGGAGGAGAATTCAGTGAAAGGCTGAAGAAATCGGGTCTAGTCTTCGGTTCTGCTAAGATTCATATAGCTGATGGGTTGCTGAGAAGCTACGTTGAACATACTTGGCAATTACACAGGAAATAACCAGAATTCTACCCCATTCAGGAAATTTATACACATCCTGTTCTTGTTTCGGCTTGGTTTGGAGTTTGTTTACATACACGATAACACATGTATGTTTTGGTGTATGGTGTAAAGGTGAGGCTCAAAACTGGTGGTGCTCAACCATGTTGGGTAATATTTGCAGGCTGTCCCAGGCCCTAATTGGCCACTTAAGGGTGGACAAGACCTGTAGTGCAGAGACATCATAAACCATTGGCACACACCATGGAGCATGGGTTAGGAGGCTTTGGTCTTGGTTTACTTATCCATCAGCGTCCTCTGGGGATTGTGAGGGGAGGGTGAACAGCCTCCTCCCAGAGGTAGGAGCTAGACTTGTCTTATTTACTTGCTGTGAGAACTAGATGGGGTAAAACGTGTGGGGGCATGCCAGGCAAAACCTGGTCCCCAGTAACAGTGACTTCCCATATCTACCGAGAGGACAGGAGCTATGGATTCTTTGGGTGGCATTTGTAACTCCACTGGGAATAGTATCATCAGTGGGCATTTAATGATTAGTAGTAATGTCGGTGACCATTTGTCTCATAATACACAGCTCTGGTATGTTTTCTGCAATTGCCTGGATGAGTAATCTGTTGGACTTGCATCATGTTCCTCATGTTCTTGTTTTTTTGTTGTTGCTGTTGTTGTGGGTACATAGCAGGTGTATCTCACTTTCTAATATCTTCCAGGGCTGTTGGGAGCTTTCTCATTACTCCTCACAGCAGTCCTGGGTGGTTGAGAAGGACCGACGCTATTACTCTTTGTGGGAGCGGGAAAGAAAGCGTCTCACAGAGGGGTTGTGAAGATTACTTGGGATGCCCCCTCCACAGAGCAGCTGGTGTTGTACCAGGCCTAGAGGCAACATCCATCAGGTTCCTTGAGATCAGGCCCTTTGGGATAAGCTCTGGATGCCATTTGTCCCCAGATCATCATCCAGCAGCAGTCATTTACATGCAAATCATGATGATACTAGCAATAGCTGCTAAGCCTGAGAGGTTGCATTGATAAGAGCTATGGGCTGCTGAAATGATTGCTGGAGGTATGTCTCACCCCCTTTCCTTTTATCCCAGCTGGGGTCAAAAAACCCACCTTTCCGACACTTGCAATGGTGGCTCAGAACTGTTATCTGGTTATTAGAGAAGTGGCCAGGAGAGAGCCAGTTGCTTAGACAAAGTCACAGTTAGTGGTGGGTCTTGTCCTGGCCCCCAGATCTCCCAACCCTCACTACAAGTGTCCTGTCCAGCAGGCCCATTATTATGCCCCTTCTTCTGCCATTCCTTGTCTTGTGTGCTTTGAAGTAGGCACACACCTCTGAGGACAAAAGAGGGCTTCTTCTGCTACATGCTGTGTTCCCTCTGTGTCTAGGAGGAGGCCAGTATGAATGGGGCTTTAATGTTGGCCTATAGCCTGCCATGGGCCCACGTCACTGCATAGCTTTCCAGTTAGGCACACATAGGTCGGGATCTTGGATTAGAATCTAGGGACAAATCCCTGCACCTTTTCTTAGCCTCGCTTTCTGCATTTGAGCGCTGGGGTAAATAGGAGGAGCGACGTCAGCAAGAAGGCTGAACAGATGATCCCACAGTACCACTCTCCCCACAAAAGTACAACTACAAATTAATCAAAGGCAAGAATACCACCCTGGTTTCACTAGAACTTGGGGGAGAAGCAAGGAAACTTCCTGGGATGACAAAACTGAGAAAAGCCACAACCAGTAAGAGGAACAACAGTCACGTTAGACTGTGCCACCTCCTCCCCCAAACCAGCATAATGCTACTCACAGAGAATTTCTCTAGACCCACAATTTCTGAGGTGGAAGGAGGGAACTGGAAGTGGACATGTGACCTCCCCATCAGTCTGGGAATCTTCATGGGAAGTCCCCTCCAGCCCTATCCCACGGGTACCCTTCAGAGTTCCAGAAGAGAGCTGAAACACCTGGGGTGAATTGGGAACAGAAAGTGGGTGCACTGATCACAGCAACTCTCACGTGGATCTTGGCAGCTGCTCTGTGCCACGATCAGTGGGCATGCCAATGCTGAGGAGACTGGCCAGAACCACAGCACTGCTGGGGGCGCAACACACAGGAAGGCCCAGATCCCTGGCCAGATTTCTCACTAAGCCCATGTGATCACATGGAGCCTTCCCTTGACCTGGAAAGAACTAAAAGGTTGGCAATAATGGGCCAGTGTTCGCTTAAGTCTTCCCCAGACCAAGAAACAGTGGCAGGGCAGCAACATAGTTAAGTGGAGCATTTAAGTTCTGGTGCTCACAGTAAGTCTTTTCCAGACTGAAAGCAACAGCTGGCCAGGGATTAAGTTCCAATATTAAGTAGTAAAGGTTTGACACCACCAAGGAGCAGCTGCAAAACCTGGAAGAGGTGAGCATCTCCTTAAACACACAGACATCAACATAAAGAGACAAGGATTGTGAAAACTCACAAAATGTGACACGCCAAAAGAAACCAACCAAACTCCAGTAACAGACCCAGAAAAACTGAAGATCTATGGAATGTCTGACAGACAATTCAGAATAATCCTAAAGAAGTTTGGGGAATTACATGACAATATGGATAACAAACTAAATAAAATTTGAATAACAATCCAGGAACAAAACAAAAAATTTGACAAAGAAATAAAAACAATTAAAAAAAAAAAAAAAAAAAACCAGAAGTCCTAAAATAGAGAATACAGTGACTGAACTGAAAACCTCATTAGAAAGGTTTAACAGCAGAGTTGACCAAACAGGGGAAAGAATCTGTAAGCTCCAAGACAGAACATATATAGAGGAGGAAAAAGACAAAAGCATTTTAAAAGAGGGAAGAAGGCCTTTAAGAATTATAAGACATCATCAAGAAAATTAGACTCTGCATAATAGAAATTGCTGAAGAAGACAAAAAAAAATACAAGGTCTAGAAAGCATATTTAGAAAAATAACGGCTGAAATTTCCCAAATCTGGAGAAAGATCATAGCATTCAGGCACAGGAAGCTCAGAGGTGACAAATAAAATTCAACCCAAAGACAAATTCCCCAAGGCACACCATATTCAAATTATTTAAACAAATCAGAGGCAAAGAAAAATGCTCAAAGCATCAAGAGAAAAACAACAAAAACAACATATCACACTCAATGGGTCACCAATACAGCTTTCAGTGGATTTCTCACCAGAGACCCTGCAGGCCAGGGAAGGGAGGAATGATACATTCAACGTGATGAAGAGGAAAAAAACTGTCAGTCAAGAATACCATATTCAGCAAAGCTATCCTTCCAGCAAAAAAGAAAGAAAAAGACTTGCTGAAACAAAAAGAAAAGAAAGAAAAGAAAAAACGTGAGAAAAATCATCAACACAACACCTGTCTTACAAGAGATGCTAACGGGGTTTCTTCAGTCTGAAAGAAAAGAACACTAACATGTAACAAAAAAATATCCGAAGGTATAAAACTCACAGGTAATAGTAAGAAAGCAGACAGATTTACAATGCTATAATATTGTCATCGCGGGTTGCCAAATATATCTTAAGTATGAAACCTAAAAGACAAAACTGTTCAAAACAGTAATAACTACAACAATTGGTTAAGAGATAAGAATACAAAAAGATGTAACTTAAAACATCAGAAAGTCAAAGTGTGGAGGGAGGGATGAGTTAAAGTGTAGAGTTTGTTTTTGTTCGTTTTTCCTGTGATTAAAGTTAAACTGCTATCTGTTTAAAATAACCTGTTGTAATTATAAGACATATTTTATACATCTCATCATGGTAACCACGAAGCAAAAACCTATAATAGGGACACTAAAATATAAATAGGAAGGAATCAAGATTTACTACTAGAGAAAAATACATAACAGCAAAAGAAGACAGTAAGAGCAAAACAAAGGAAGAACAGATCTACCAAAAAAAAAAACAAAAAACAAAAAACAGAAAACAGGTAACAAAATGGTAGTGTTAAACTTTTACCTGTCAATGATAAACTTGAATGTAAATGGACTAAGTTCTCCAATTAAAAGACATAGAGTGGCTAAAAACACAAGCCCCAACTAAATACTGTCTAGAAGAAACTCACTTCACCGACAAAGACACACACAGACTGAAAGCAAAGGGTTGGAAACAGACATTCCATGCAAATGGAACCCAAAACAGAGTGGGAGTACCTCTACTTAGATCAGATAAAATAGACTTTATGTCAAGAACCATAAAAAGAAAAAGACAAAGAAGGCCATTATATGATGTTAAACAGGTCAATAAAGCAAAAGGATATAACAATTGTAAATATATGTGTGTGTATATATATACATATGTTTTTGTAACAATTGTATATATAGTAATATATATTACAAAATATATATATTTTAACAACTGTAATATATATTGTAATATATATTTAATTGTTAAATACGTATATTCTAACCATTGTAAATATACATATTTTGTAAATATATATATAGTAAATATATATAAATACTTATAATTGTTATAAATATATGCACCCAACACCAGGGCATCCAAATATGTAAAGCAAATATTAAAAGACCTGAAAGGAGAGATTGACCATAATACAATAATAGTGAGGGACTTTAATACCCCACTTTCAGCAGTGGACAGATCATCCAAACAGAAAATTAACCAAACAGAAAATTAATGTCGGCATTAAACTGCACTCTAGACCCCATGGACCTAACAGATATTTACAGATCATTCCATCCAAAAGCCACAGAATACATATTTTTTCTCAACAGCACATGAAACATTCCTCAGAATAGACCATACGTTAGTTCACAAAGCAAGTCTTAACAAACTTTTAAAAATCAAAATCACATTGAGTACTTTCTGACCACAATGAAGTAATCAATAACAGAGGGAATATTGAAAACTGGGCAAAGTCGTGGAAATGAAACAACATGCTCCTGAACAATGGATGGGTCAATGAAGGAATTAAAAAGGAAAAAGGAAATTTAAAGATTCCTTGAGACAGATGAAAATGGAAACACAACATACCAAATCCTATGGGATACAGCAAATGCAGTTCTAAGAGGAAAGTTTATAGCAATAAATGCCTGTGTAACAGAAGTGGAAATATCTCAAATAAACAACCTAATGTTACGCCCCAAGAAACTAGAAAAAGAACAACAACAACAAAAAAAAAAAAAACCCAAAGTTGGCAGAAGAAAAGAAATAACAAAGATCAGGGCAGAAATAAACAAAATAGAGATTTTTTAAAAACAACTTAAAAATCAAAAAACAAAGAGTTAGCCTTTTAAAAGATAAAGAAATTGACAAATCTTTAGCTAGACTAACTAAGGAAAACAGAGAGAAGATTCAAATAAAAACAGAGATAAAAAAAGGAAACATTACAACTGGCACAACAGCGGTGGAGATGATGATAAGAGACTATCATGAACAACCATCTGCCAAGAAATTCAAAATCTAGAAGAAACAGATAAGTTCCTGAACACATACAAGCTACCAAGATTGCATCACAAAGAAATAGAAAACCTGAACAGAAACAATAAGGAATAATGACATTGAAGCAGGAGTAAACACTCTCCCATCAAAGAAAAGTCCAGGACCTGATGGATTTGCTGGTGAATTCTACCAAACATGTAAAGAACTGGTACCAATTCTTCTCAAAGGCTTAAAAACAAACAAACAAACAAACAAGCAAATAAATGAAGAGGAGGGAATAGCTTCAAACACATTTTACGAGGCCAGCATTACTGTAATTCCAAAGCCAGACGAGGACACGACAAAACAACAAAGCTAAAGACCAATATCCCTAGTAAGCATGGATGCGAAAACCCTCAACCAAACACCAGCAACACATTAAAAACATCATCCATCATGATCAAGTGGGATTCATCCCAGGGATGCAAGGTTGGTTCAATATATGTGCAATGTAATAAAAGTGATGCCTCACATCAACAGAACAAAGGACAAAATCCATATGCTCATTTCGATAGATGCTGAGAAGCATTCAAAAAATGTCAACATCCCTTCATGATAGAAACTCCCAGCAAAGTGGGCAAAGAGGTAAAAAACATACCTCAACAAAATAAAGGCCGCATATGATAAACCGAAAGCTAATATCATACTGAATAGGAAAAAGTTGGACGCTTTTTCTCTAAGATTTGTAACAAGAAAAGAATGCTCACTTTCACTGCTTAAATTCAACTTAGTATTGAAAGTTCTAGCCGGAGCAATTAGGCAAGAGAAAGAAATAAAGAGCGCCTGTATTAGTCTGTTCTCACGCTGCTGATAAAGACATACCCGAGAGTGGGTAATTTATTTTTTAAAAAGAGGCTTAATGGACTCACAGTTGCACGTGGCTAGGGAGTCCTCACAATCATGATGGAAGGCAAAAGGCACATCTTACATGTCGGCAGGCAAGAGAGAAAATGAGAGCCAAACAAACGGGGAAACACCTTATAAAACCAACAGGTCTCGTGAGACTTATTCACTACCGCGAGAACAGTATGGGGGAAACCGCCCCCAAGATTTTATTATCTCCCACCAGGTCCCTCCCACAACACATGGCAATTATGGGGGCAACAGTTCAAGATGAGATCTGGGCGGGGACACAGCCAAACCGTAACAGCATCCAACCTGAAAGGAGGAAGTCAAATTGTCCCTGTTTACAGACGACATGGTCTTATATAGAGAAAACCCTAAAGACTGCACCAAGTAACTATTAGAACTAATAAGTGAATTCGGTAAAGTTGCAGAATATAAAATCAGCATACAGGAATCAGTAGCATGTCTGTTTGCCAATAGCAAACTATCTGAAAAAGAAATCAAGAAAGTAATTCCATTTACAATAGCCACAAAAAAATAAAAAATAAAATCCTAGCAATAAACTTAAGCTAGGAGATGAAAGATCTCTACAGTGAAAACTGTAGAACACTGATAAAAGAAACTGAAGAGCACACAAATAAATGGAAAGAGATCCCACATTCATGGACGAATTAATATTGTTACAATGTCCATATTAACCAAAGTGATCTCCATGTTCGACATTTGACATCCCTGTCAAAATACCAATGACAGTCCGGATAGAAAAAAAAAATCCTAGATTTGTATGGAGCCACAAAAGATGCTGATAGCCAAACCAATCCCAAGCAGGAAGAACAAAGCTGGAGACAACACACTACCTGACCTCGAAATATACAAAAGCAACCAATACAACAGGGCACTGACATAAAATCAGATACATAGACCAATAAAACATTATAGGGAACCCAGATATAAATCCAAGCATTAACAGCCAACTGATTTTCTACAAAGGAGCCAAGAACATACATGGAGGATAGGACAGTCTCCCCAATAAATGGTGCTGGACAAACTGTACGTTCACAATCAGAAGAATGAAACCAGACCCCTATCTCTCACCATATACAAAAGTCAAATCAAAATGACTTAAAGACTGCAATGTCAGACCTGAAACTGTGAAACTTCTAGAAGAAAACATAGGGGAAACGTTTCACGAAATTGAACTGGGCAACGATTCTTTTCTTCAGTAAGGCCTCGAAAGCATAGGCAACAAAAACACAAATAGACCAATAGGATTATATCAGACTATAAAGCATCTGCACAGCAAAAGAAACAATCAGTAGAGTAAAGAGACAGCTTACAGAATGAGAGAAATAGTATTTTCAAACTATGCATCTGACAAGGGGTTAATATCCAGAATATATAAGGAGCCCAAACAATAGCAAAATTCATAATAATTCAATTAAAAATTGGGAAAAATGCCTGAATAGACCTTTCTCAAAAGAAGATGTGCAAATGGCCAACGGATATATGAAAACAGTCAACATCACCAATCATCGGTGAAATGCAAATCTAAACCGCGATGTGATATCACTTCGCCCCAGTTAGAATGGCTATTATCAAAAAGACAAAAAGTAGCAAATGCTGGAGAGGATGTTGAGAAAGAGGAACACTTATGCACTGTTGGTGGGAATGAAAATTACTACAGTCATTATGGAAAACAGTATGAAGATTCCTCAAAAAATTGAAAATAGAACTGCTGTGTGATTCAGCAATCTCGTTACTGGGTATATAGCGAAAGAAAAGGAAATCATCACGTTGACGAGACATCTGCACTCCCGTGTTCGTTGCAGCAATATTCACAATAGCCAAGATATGGAATCAACCTAAATGCCCATCTACAGATGAATGGATAAAGAAAAATGTGGCTTGTATATACAATGGAATACCATCCAGCCATAAAACAAAATGAAATCCTGTCATTTGAGGCAACATGGGTGAACCTGGAGGACATTATGTTAAGTGAAATAAGCCAGGCACAGAAAGACAAACACCACATCACCTCACTCAGATGTGGAATCTTAAAAAGTTGATTTCACAGAAGCAGAAACTAGAGTAGTGGTTACCAGAAGCTGGGGAGGGAAGGGGGTGTGGGGCAACGGGAGAGGTTGGCAAAAATGTAAAAAGTTACGGTTAGACATAAAGAACGAGTTCTGGTGTTCTATTACACAGTAGAGCGAGTATAGAAAATACCAATGTAGTGTATACTTCAAGATTTTAAATCTAGAAGATTTTAAATGTTAACACTGCAAAGAGATGATAAATGTTTAAAGTGATGAATATGGTAATTACCCTGACTTGAAGATTATACAATGTATACAGGGGTTGAAACATCACACGGTACCCCATAAATATGTACAATTATGTGTAAGTAATGCATTTTTAAATCATGAATGAAAAGAAAAAGAAGCTTAAGAGTGTGCCCGAAACTCTTACAGGTGGAAAGCTCTGTAAGGGTACAGCTCATTACTGTGCCGCCAGCCCTCAGTGTGATCTTGGCGCATGGAACTATGGTGATTCTATCCCCAGTGTGCAGAGTACCTCTGACACCTAACTCAATGAGCATTTATTAAATGTAAATAAAACCAACCAAACAAAAAGAAAACTGAGGTAAATACGAACAACCTCACATGGTTGTGGTGAGGCCTGAATAAAGCAGTCTGTATGAACACCCCAAATGAAAAGTGTCCATGCAAGAAGACACAGGAAACAAAATGCAAACACAAGTGAGAGACAGGGAGCAAACATCTTCTTCAATTATAACAGACTAAATAATCACATTTGCAATATACAGAGAGCTCTGATGAGACAACTCAAGAAACACATGCGAGAACAAACAACAATAGAAGAGCTAACAAACAATCTGAGCAGGCCATTTATAGAAATACAAATGGCCACTATGAAAGGAATAGGAGCTCCACATCACAAGTCATAATGGAATTAAGATAACAGTGAGATTCCACTTTTCAAACTGCAACCTGACAAACACTTAAAATTATAATGATACCAATCGGGTATCATATACTGAGGTTCTGACGCTGGTAGTGTGAATTGGCACAGATTCACGCTACGCGCCAAATGTGCACTCCACATTTGGAGTGCCATTTGTCAGGGATTAAACAGTTTTAATATATTTACCCTATGGTGCATCCCCAAATTCTTTCTTCCTCCTGACACCAATCATAACTAGAAGTAGGGTGGGAAAACTGATGCTTCCTAGACCAGAGCCCTGGGGGCTCAGATGCCACTGTCTCAAGGCCCATCACAGGGTCCTAAAAGGGTTCTGTCAAGCCCTTGACAGACCCCTGGGCATCCTCAAGGCCAGGACCTTGGAAGGCTCCCGTAGGCTGAGCCTGAGCCTTGACTGAGCAGCCTGACTCAAAAATTATAGCTAAAAATCTCAGGGCTCCGTGAGACACAGTTTTCTACATCCATGCTTCCCTCAAGCACCCTACGTTGGCTTCCACTAATGCACAGAAGAGAAACCTGGAGTTTGATTGTGGATCCCCAGCAATGCTGGGGTTCGGCTCACTGGGAATTTAGGGGTAGTTTCAGGGTTGTCTACTCACTGAGTTTCTTGACATGAAGATGGAGCTGGTGGGGGGAAAAATATAATTGGCAAGTACCCCGGTTTGAATTTCAGTAAACCTTAAAGATAACAATGCAGAAATAGATCTTCCCTTAAGTCTTTAGGCTTATATAAGTAGAGTAATGTGAAAATCAGAAACCATCACTTTCAATTCGTCATTTAATCATCTACATGAGAGTCGCGTTGTGGGGCTGGAAGCTGATTAGAGTGGGTTCAAGGGGGAGTCGGGAGAGAGGAAAGGGAAGCGATGATACTAGTCAATGAGGCATCTCAGCACGTGAGGGAGTTTACGAGAATGTATCATCAACTGCTTGAAAAGAGCATACTCATCTACAGGAGGGGAGGGTGAAGATCCAGGCCAGGGACACGGGGATGGATTTTCACAGGGGGGGACAGGCCCTGAGCCAGAGGCCCAGCACAATGAAGAGTTCTGCCGGCCTCTGACAATAAGTCCTTTCAGACACCACATGTACATCGCACTTCTCAGAAAACATGAACTTCACTGGCATTCCTGCTGCTGCTGAGTCCTGATCTGACTGTATGGAGAAAGCCGCATCCCCCAGACTGGTGCTCTCAGCTTTGCAAGGTGGGCAGCTGCAGTTTTTAGCCTTCCCAAGGAAGAGCAAACTCTTGAGGACCTGGTGAGCCTGATTTCCCTCCAGCGTGGCAGATAGTCAGCCCCAGGAGAGCTGGGATCTAGATCTCTAGAGTTCATTGCTGTATCCCCAGTACCTGCAACTGATCCTGGTGTACACAAAACAGGCCCCCAGCGAACACCCGACGAATGAAGGAAGCAATGTTAGTGCTGGCTAGAATGATTTTTCCCTATTTTCCTGAACGGAACTGGCTCAGCTAAAGACACTATGCCCTTGGTTTATTTTGCCAACACCATAGAGGACCAGGCTTGCCCAGGGAACCTGCTCTTCTGAGAGGGTGTTGGAGGAGCTGGTTCCAGGGAGCCCTGACATGTTTCACCAAGTGCTTCAGGTGAGAGCCTCTGCCTCTCTCACTGCTCACCGCCAAGCCCACCAAGAGAACCTCAGGCCAGGCCAGAATCCCCAGGGCTCCCAAGGGTCCAATTGTCACTCTGTTTTCCTCCCTAGGGGAGGATACCGGACACTCGGAAACTGAGACCACGGGGGCCGCAGACACAGAGCCGTGAACGGTGACCACGCCCCTTCGGCTGCTCCATGCCCCTGCTCACCCCAGTGGGCCTGAAATACATACTGGCACACTTGACTCTTTTGGTGTTATGATATTTGATGTCCCTCTCCACATGAATATCCACCTCCTGTGATTTATGGTTTGCCTCTTTCGGTGAAGGTGGCAGGGAAGGGGGTCGCTGTGGAGAGAGAGTTAGGCACGGGGTACCTAGCCAAATGGGTTACTGTCCTCGTACCTTGGAGCAGTACTGCATGTCCCCCAGTCACTTTTGCAATAGCACAATGGTTGATGGACAGTAAACATGCTACTGGTTTCAAACACTTCATATAGGGTGGCTGATGGGCACTGACTGAGTGATAGCCCTTGGGCCGGAGAGGAGGGCTGTAGGTTGAGGGACAGGGAGGTGAGGTCAGAAGGAGAGAAGATGTCACAGAATCCACAGGAAAGGCTTCAGAGGCATTAAGTTATAATCTGACCACAACAACCCCCACCTCAACCTTGGAGAGAGCCCCTCCAGCACATGGCCTCATATCCATCACCTCAGGTTGTTTGTCTCTTATTATGACACCGTGTCTCTTTGTAAGCTGCCCCTGATATATATTGCAAGAAAATAGCAGCAGTGGGAAGAGCTGAGTCTGGTGGATGCTTCCCAGAACTGGAAAAAGCCCAGGCTTCTCCGGGATGGCTCTGCTCCTGGCTAAGGTTCTGCCATGGGAGTCCAGCCACCTGCAGTCCCGATCCCCACAGCCTAATGGAACCACTGGGTTCCTAGGAAACTCACAAGTTCACAATGCCACCCCCCAGCTTGACGCATTTGGCTCTGAGACACGCCTGGGAAATGTGGAGTCCAGGGGTCCTGAGAGCCCCCTCCTTCTCTTCTGTTTTCTACTTTTAGAGTATTGTACTACTGAAATATTTCAAACCTACAGAAAAACAGAGAGAAGAATACAGCAGCCACCATCCCTACTTAAAAATGCTTTGCTATATGTGCTTCACATCTCTCTCTGCTTTTGAGTTAAATACATTTTGGAGACACACAAACCATCCCCAATCTATACTCACTCCTCTCCTCCCTAGAGTAGGTCCCCCATCTTAGGCGTCTGAACACTTCTGGGTCTCCACGCAGCTTCAGAGCAGCTCCTTCTCTGGCATGGGTGCTCCCACGTTGCCTTAGAGATGTTTCTGTGATGCCTGCTGGAGAACTTGGGGGGATTCTACCCAGAATCCCAACCCAGAGGGTAAAAGCAAGAACATCTCTGCAGCTTTCACAGATAACTCTGGACCCAGCCCTCTCCCACCTGTACCCGTGTTCTCCTGAGGTGGGCCCTGTCTCAGTGGGAGAGCTGAGCCCTTCACCTCTGTTTTACCAGGAGAGGCCTGGAGCACCATCCTGGGTCCCAGTCCCACCCGAGTGATGGGTGTGTGCTTCAGTCACAGGGAGCAGGTCCCTTTTCAGCTGCTGTGACATCTCATGGGCTCAGTGGCCAGGAGTAGCTGGTAGGTTTGGGGAGGAAGGCAAGGCCAGGCAGACTCGAGTCCTGGGCCTGCTGGAAGAGAGGTGGGATCAGATAGATGCAGGCCACATAGCACAGTCCAAGGTGGCCCATCAACCATTTGCTCCGTCAAGGTGGTTGATACCCAAAGGGGCTCACTATACTGAGGTGGGTGCAGGAGCAGGTGTGGTGGGCAGCCTTCCAGAATGGCTTCCAAGGATCCCCCTTCCTGGCACCCATGCTCCTATGGAATTCCCTCCCCTTGAGGGTGGGCTGGACCTAGTGGCTTGCTTCTAACCAACAAAATTTGGCAAAGGTGATGGCGTGTCATTTCCATGCTTAGGCTATAACAAGACTGTGACTTCTGACCTGCTGGCATTCATTCTCTCCCTCAGGCTCTTCCTGCACGCGTGTTTGCCCAGATGGAGAAGGCCAGCTGGCGAGGAGCTGATGAAAGTCTCTGGCCAACAGCCATAGAGGAACTGAGGCCCTCAGGCCAGCGACCCACTAGAGCCTGCCAACAATCACATGAGTGAGCTTGGAAGTCTATCTTTCCCCAGCTGAGCCTACAGATGAGGAACTGGATCCTGCCAACAGCCGCATGAGTGAGCTTGGAAGTCAATCCTTCCCCAGTCAGGCCTACAGATGAGACTGTTGTCCCTGGGCTGGCAGCCTTGTGAGAGACTGGGAAGTAGAGGATCCAGTTAAGCCATACCCGGATCCCTGATCTACAGAACTCTCAGAGAAAAACTGCTTATCATTTTAACTTGATATGCTTGGGGTAGTTTTTTATGCAGCAATCAATAACAATTAAGACAGCAGGAATATCTGGGGGCTAGGGACTGGGTGCAAGACACAGAAGGCTCCATTAAGGCTGGGAGGGGTTCTCAGGTGCCAGGGTGGTGCATGGTGCGCCCACGTTTTAGTCAGACCTGGGGTCAAGTCCCAGCTTTGTCAGTAAATATCTGTGTGACCTTGGACAAGTATCTTGAAGTCTCCGGCTCCAGATTACACCCTGTAAAATTTGACTGACATTGAACTTGCAGGACCGTTGGAAAGATAAGTGTCAGCTTATGTAATCCACACGACAGAGTGTCTGATGTGTATTAGGCCCTCAGTAAGTGGCAGCCATGAGTAGTAATATAGTTGACCTGGGACCCTGCATCCTCCTCTTGGGAGCTCCCGGGTGACTCCGGGTCATTCCAGTGCCAAAAAACAAAAACCAAAACCCAAAAACAGTGCAGGAAAAATATCTTCCTAGCAAGTAGGACAAAGGCGTCTGTTCTCCAGGAAGAGAGGCCCATCACAGTGGATACTTTTCCAAAAATTCTGGTGTGAGGGAGGCAGCCCCAGCAGGCTGCAGCTCATAGGCCATATCCCTTATGCAAAGGACCAAATGCTCTCCTCCCTCCCTCCCTCCCTAGATTCCTCTCTTCCTCCCTGCCCCCATCCATCCCTTCCTCCCTCCCTCCCTCCGTCACTCCCTTCCTCTCCCTCTCCTCACTTTCTCTCTCTCTCTGCCTTCCCCTCTCGCCGAGGCCTGATTCCAATATCTTTACCCCACAATTCTGCCTCTTCACACTCATTTGACCCCTACTAGAAACCCAGCCCTTCTTTATGTCATCCTGGTTTTATTCTAGATGAACCCATATCAATGTCCTCATTATGCACTGTTTGCCAGCTTCCCCAGCCACACAGGATGGTATCCGATCACTGGCTTCTAGGGAACAGCTTGGGTGGGCATCACTCTGACCTCACCATTGCGCTTTAGAGTTGGTGTGTTTAGAAGGCCCAGTGTATGCACTGTAGAAAACTGCACAGGGACGGGAGCCCAGGACTCATCCTGGACCAGCAATGGAGACTTCCTTCTATACCATCCAGATCCAAATGAGATGATTCTGTGAGAGCCCCTTTCTATCCAGGACATTGTCTCTCATCCCTCAGACTTTCCATCTGGACATCTCAACTCTGCTCCTCTCCTACAGCCTCGTCTCTCTCCACAGCGTGGCTAAAATTTGCCTTCAGTACCCCCGAAAATAGCTGTTAATTCTGCCCTGCCTCAGGGCCTTTGCATTATGGCTCTCCTCTGGAGCCACCATTTCCTTGCTCAGCCTGTCACTTGTCCTTTTGATCTCTGATGTTCCTACCCTCAAAAAGAACACGTCCTTCTTCCCTTGGTAACATGTCTCCCCTCCACCATGCCAGTCCCAATCACAGTCTCCTCACTTGACTGTCTCACCATAGTGATACATTTTCTCTCTGTGTTACCTTGAGGAAGTTGCTATACCTTTCTGGGCTTCCATTTCCCTATCTATATGATGAAATATTTGACTAACACACAAACATACTGTGTACTCTTCTCTATCATAGCATTTCTCATGCTAGACTGCCCCCTCTGGCAGCTTAATTTGCATGACTGTCCTCACCCAGGTTCTCATCTCTGGAGCATGAGCTCTGCCTTGTTAGTCCTGGAACAGCCAGTACCTGGACACAGGGCTTTACCTACAGCACGGCACCAATAAACCTTTATTGAAGAAAACAAATCAATGAGCATGTGTCCACCAGAGCTTTGCTGTGCCTGGACTCTCTGATCTGGGATAAGGGTGAGAAGTATTCCTTTTATTTCCTCTAGCTTGGAGCCCAGAGCCTCCTGCTCAGCAGGAACCAGATGTTTTCAATGTCTGGACTCAGAGCTGTCTTCCTGGAGGTGCTGAGGCCTTTTCTCCAGTCCAGAAATGAATCTGGGCTGGCTGAATGTGGGTAGGGCAAGGGATATGAGACTGTGTGGGACACAGATATGGATGAAGCTGCCACTGTAGCTTAAGAGGCTCAGGCCCAGGGGACAAGATTTGAGGCCACCTTGTTCCCTCCTTCCTTCCCTTGGGCTCAGAGGGAGGACCCTTGTCTGCAACGATACCACCGTCCAACCAATCCAGTGGGTTACGAGGGGCCATAACTTGGAAAACAGCAGTCAAAACCCAAGTAGTCATAGGGGATTTAATAGAGCAGGGCTTGGTGTCAAGGGGACCTCACCTCTAAAACACACACACACACACACACACACACACACACACAGAGAGAGAGAGAGAGAGAGACAGAGAGAGAGAGAGAGAGAGAGAAAGAGAGAGAGAGAGAGAGCGAACGCCAGCCTGGAGCCCCCTGTTCACCACCCACCAGAGGCTGATTCACACACCAACACAGCCTCACACATTATATCCTCAGAGGCACAACACTGCTGCTGATTGGGACCTGGCTGCCATGAACCTCCTCAAGCTGTTTGCTGTGATGACCCATTTGCACAGGCTCTTGATTTCTAGAACCTCTCAGGTTCAGGGGAAGACAGGTTTCATCTGTCAGTGTTAGTCACAGTGTCCTCCCTTCACTGTCTCACCATAGTGATA
Organism: Homo sapiens; assembly: GCF_000001405.40. Taxonomy (NCBI): domain Eukaryota; kingdom Metazoa; phylum Chordata; class Mammalia; order Primates; family Hominidae; genus Homo; species Homo sapiens. The sequence continues at coordinate 72,787,330 of NC_000023.11, read as the reverse complement.
CATTTTCTCTCTGTGTTGAGCAAGTTGCTATACCTTCTTGAGCTTCCATTGCCCTATTGACATACTGAAATCTTTGGCTAAATGACCTCCAAATTCTTGTTCTTCTCACACATTTAGTGACCCCGTGGCTTAGGGGACTACTACATTCACAGCTACCTGCTGTGTCAGCCAGCTGCCTAGTTGCAAGTCCCCTGATGGCACTGCTGCCCTGGGGGCTATTATGCCTCCCATGAGCCCCATTGCAAGTATTTTCAGTATCCTCTAAGGATACCCTCACTACCCCCTAAGATACTGCATGACACCATTGGCATCTCACCCTGCCTAAAATTGCTTCTTTTCATACCCCAGAGCTACAGAATGGGTGGGCAGCTGACTAGAGTCTCCCAGGCTAGGTCCTTAGGAGACTATATATATATGTATCACTATCTTATGTCCCATGACAGACTTCAGAAACTCTAGGCCAGGGCCTGGATGCAACCCAGAAGATCCTCAAGGGCTGGACCTTGGAACTCAGGCTAGCCCCTGATTGAGCACCCTCATTCTAGAGAACTGCAGCAGAGGAACTCAGAGTCTCCACTGGGACACACGTTTCTGATCCAGCACCGTTTCATGGTAGCCAACCTTGACTGCTACAAGTGCACAGAATAGAAACTGGGTCTGCTTATTTGCAGTTTCCAAAATCACCTCAGTGGCCTGGTCTTTGTGCTTCAAGTGCTGTTCCTCCTCTCCCTTTCCCTGTCTAATTTCTTTCCTCACGCCTTTCAGGCACCTAATCCTCTGGGAAACCTCCACTGACTCCATTAACATCCCCAAGGCTGAGTGGGTGCCCTGTCTGAGCCTTCTCATGGACCCCGAAACTTCCTCCTGTCACTCTCTGTTGTACTCTGTTGTGCCTTTCTCAGCCTCTCCCCACCCAGCCCACTGGAGGCGACATCTGAGTATGGGCTTGCAGGCATGACCAGCCCTGGACCTTCACAGATTCTGTAAGGAAGGCTTTGTCTCAAAACCTTTTATATATCAACCACCAGATTAGCAAATAGTTAAAGGGATGAATAACATCAAGAGCGACGGTGAAGGACAATGAACACTATCCTACACTGCTCCTGAGAGAATAAATTGCTGCCACCTCTTTTCAGATCCATTTATCAACGGCTACTCAGTGTTGAAATATTTGTAGGGTTTTGTGCCAAAATTCTATTTATGTGTATCTCTTCTAGAGCGACACATCCTCTGCAAACAAAGATATTGGAAAAACTTTTGAGAACTTTAAAAGTTGAGGAAAAAAATGTGAAGGTCCTTGTGTATGGAAGTAGTTAAAGAATTATGGCATATCACTTAGAACACTATGCAGAAGTTAAAAATGATGAGACAGTTCTCCATGAACTGACAGGAGAAGTTCACCCAGACTTGCTGTAAAATGCAAAAATCAAGTGCCACACAATACGTGCATCCTGAGCCAGTCTGTATCTTATGGCCCCATAAAAGACAAGCGTATGTTTCTATTAGTGCATGTATGTGTATGTAAATGCATCGATTGAGGAATTTTTGAGGAAACACATTAAACCATTGCTGAGGGGGCTGGTGACGGAGAGGGGTGGACAAGGGAGACTATTGTTTTGTCTGTATTGTTTTCATACACGAGGATTATTTGCATAAATAAGACAGTATTGTAAACAGGTGATATACCTGTACTTACTAGGTCTTTAATAAAAAGAAACTGTTATTATTTGTCATAATAAGAATCACTTCGCCTCTTGCAGGAGCTTCTGCGAAACTTGCGTGCAAGTCAACGAAATTGTATTGAGATCCTCTCATGTACCCAGTGCTTTCACACATATAATTTACCTGTAATTTATCCAGTTCAATCTCAGGGCTGGCAAAATCCAGTTGACCCCTACTCCCTGTAACAACCACTCCAAATTAAAAAATCAACTTTTTCTTGAATCCCTACACACTTGTTTAATCTCAGCTGAGGGAGACATGGTATAAAGCTACGAGGGGCTGACCTCGTAGCCTTTCTCGATATAAATCCCATCCATCCACAGGGTGGTGCGGGGCGGGTCTTATCACCATCACTCACAGCCCTTCCCTGACTCTTTGCAGAACTCTGGGTCCATTCAAGGCAGTTGCACAGAGGCAGCTTATTTTCTCAAAGGAGATTCAGAAAAAAAAAAGGAAATGTTACTGGGCGGGACAACAGGGTTGTCCACCTCACCTGCCATCAGGCTTCGGGGACTGAGCAGCCTGGCCTCCTGGGCCAGCCCGGGACTCCTTTCTTTGAAAAACCGCTAGGTTGGTGTATTAGTCCGCTCGGGCTGCCATAACAAAATACCACAGGCTGGGTGACTTAAACAACAGACATTTATTTTCTCACAGTTCTGCCAGCTGGGAAGTCCAAGATCAAGGTGCTGGCCGATTTGGTTTCTGCTGAAGGCTCTCCTCATGGTTTGCCTCCTTCTTGCTAAGACGTCACATGGCCTTTCCTGGGTGCATGCAGTGCAGAGAAGAAGAGACCTCCCTGCTACCCAAATGTCCCTGCAGAAGCACAGTTGTCACTACCTCGAGATACTGACAGATACAATGAGCTCTGTGGCGTCTCTTCTCATAAGGACACTAATCCTGTAGGAGCAGGGCTCCACCCTTATGACCTCATTTAACCTTAATTGCCTCCTAAAGCCTCTAGCTCCAGATACAGTCCCATTAGGGGTCGGGGCTTCAATATATTAATTGCAGGGCGGGGGAACGCAATTCAGTCCACAGCAGTTGGCAAGGTTTTGTGTTGCGGACCCTCACTTTCTGGCGTTTCTGATTCCCTGCTGTTCAAATGTCCCTGCAGAATCACAGATGTCACTACCCTGACATACTGACAGATACAACTGGCCCCTCATCCTGCCTAAAGCCACCTACTACCACATCCCAGGGTTACTAATGAGGAGGTGAACTGGGTCTCCTAGCCCAGAGGCCCGGCTGATCGATGTCACTGCCTTAAGCGTCATCATAGACGTCAGAAACCCTGGACCAGGCCCTGGGTGCACCCTGGAATAGCTTAAGAGGGCAGAACCTTGGGATGGTTCCCCAGGAGTGATTCCAGCCCCTGAGAAAACTCACTCAAAAACTGCAGCAGCAGGGGCTCAGGGACTCCGTGGGGCACGGTTTTCTCATCTTGTTCTGCCACCTGGTGGCAGTTGGCTGCGTCTACAAGGAAACAGGTGGAAGCTCCATAAAACCTGGGCCTTTCTTCCTGGGAATTTCCAGCAGTTTGGAACAACCTTCCTACTTAGAAAATGAGTTTCTTTATATGAGAATGAAAGTTGTGCTGGGAGATGACAGTGTAGTTACTTGGGTCTTCATTTCTATTCATTTTTTAAGTTAACAATTTAAACCTAGCTTTTATTAAGCATTTAAATACAACTTGCCGGTTTGGTCATTTTAATCACATAGCTAGTCATATACAACTATAAGAAACATTACTTTCACTTGTTCATTGGTTCATGTTCAATTAACTCCTAAGTTTCAGTGGAGTGGTGTAGGAGAAAGCCTAACTGGAGTAGATTCAAGGAGAGAAAAGGGAGATAGGACAGACAATGAGACCTGCTCACTTCTTGGAGGAGTTTCTAAGTATTTCACAACACTTGCCTGGAAATTCACAAGATTTTGAGGAGAATTTTTGTACACGTCAGAGGGAATTACGTATTTACATGAAAGCTAAGGGCTCTTTACCTCTGATTTGCACACGAATCCTATGAATCACAGGGCTGTCTGAAACCATTTGAACCCTCCTCTCTGCAGCATACGGTACAAGTGACCACTCAGGCTGTGTTTCAGCACCTCTAATGTTGCTAATCTCATTACCTTACAAAGCCAGCGATGGCCTGGCTGGTGGGAAGGACATCTTCGTGTGAGTCCCATCTGCAGCATCTGTGGTCTTGTTAACCTCTTTCCCGGCTCCTTCCCCTGACCTTGTCTCTCTGCAATTCTGGGTCCATCTAGAACTCTGGTGTGACACCCCAAGAGCAGATGTGATGGCTGAGGTCCAATCATAGGCTTTTAGTGGATATGTATTCAGGGGCAAACACATAATGCTGCATTTACCTCCACACTATGAAGATATACAGAGCCTTCAATACACATCGATTACTCATAAATGTCTACTTCTTAGGTATCAGGATCACTCTTACAATTTCATCTACAAGGTCCAACTGTTAAATGTGAGAAAAACAGTGCACAGTAATGTGACAATAGTGTCCACATGAATGAAGTAGTTCCAGTTTCCCTGGGACTGAGAGCTTTCCCGGGACAGGGGCCTTTAAGTTTTAAAACCGGAATGGTCCCACTCATGGCAAACTAGGACCATGTGTGACCTTGGCATGCAATGAACCATTCATGGCCAAATAAAATGAGCTACCTGTAGAAGACCTCTACACATCATGTTCTCTCGAGGAGGACCCTCGGGGCTGTTCTGCTCAGCAAGCAGAAGCGTGACTCGAGCCTGCTGGGAGGGCCAGGAGGAAGAAACAAAGGAAAGAAAGATTGGAGGAGTGGGAGTAAGAAACACAGGAACAGACGGAATGTGACATACCAGAAATGTATCCCCTGCTGGAGCACAAGGCTGTAGGAGGGAGGGACGATGGGGCAGGGGCAGAGGGGCTGAATGGGGCGTGGAGGGGGCAGGCCCTCGGCCTCTTTGCACCCGGCAGAGTGACGAGCTTCGCCGGTGTCTTCAACGAAGTCCTGTCGGTCCCTACCGGCACATCACACACTCCTGGAAGCATGATCTTCACTCCCTTCCTTCCACCTGCTGACCTGGTGAGTCTGGCTTCCCTCCATTGTCCTGGAATGTCCCCTAGGAGGTTGGGCTTTGGTCTGTGCAGGTCACTGCTGCATCCCCAGCCCCTGCAAGAGGGCCAGAGACACACACAATAGTTGCTGGGTGGGGTGAAGGAAGCCAGGGATGGGAGGGAGCATTAGGATCTGGCTATTTAGTCTGTCTTTCAGAATGTGAAAGGGCTGCAAAACGACCCTGAGGAATGGGTGGCTGTGTCTGACGCCACGGAGGACCCATCCGGTGGCACAGGCTTGCCCAGGGAACCTGCTCTTCTGCGAGGGTCTTGGAGGAGCCGGTTCCAGAGAGCCCTGGCATGTTTCACCAAGTGTTTCAGGTGAGAGCTCCTTCGGAGCACGCCTCTGCCTCTCTCACTGCTCGCCACCAAGCCCATCCGCCTCCCCTTCCTGTTCCACCAAGAGAACCTCAGGCCAAGCCAGAAATCCCCAGGGCTCCCGAGGGTCCACTTGTCACTCTGCTTTCCTCCCTAGGGGAGGATACCGGGCACTCGGAATCTGAGACCACCGGAGCCACAGACACAGAGCCATGAACGGTGACCAAGCCCCTTCTGCTGCTCCATGCCCCTGCTCGCCGCAGTGTCCCAGTCACCAGGCCTGAAATAAATGCTGGCACGCTTGACTGTTTTTGCTTTGTGGCATTTGATGTAACTTTCAACACGTCGGGTGAAGTGGGAGTGGTCAGCTTTGGTGGTGGTGGGGTTGTGGAGGGAGAGAGCTAGCATCTTCCTGAGCCCTGTTAGGCTGTCCGCCCTCCTCCTCGAGGCAGCGCTGCTTGTTCCTGGGTCCTGGTGGCGATGGGCTGTGGCCAATCAATGGTGAGTTTTCCACAGCTGGCAGCTCGGACCCTGGTGAGGCACTTACATGCAGGAATGACGACGGAATAACATCTCTCTTCCCCCAGCAATGCGCACGGTCTTCATATCGGAGGAAAACTGGGCAGTGTTTATATGCAGAGGCGGGAGGGTCATGTGGAGGAAGAATCTGTGGATCTCAGAAAAGGCATTAACCCCTAAACTGACAAAGAGCTCCCAGGCCCCCCTACCCCACCGCAAGAGAGAGAGCCCTTCCAACAGACGACCTCGTCTCCACCTACGCGTTGCTCGTTTTCATAAGAGGAGGGCTTCATTTTTTCTTTCTTTTGCCTTCCTGAGGTGACCTTGATATGTGCTGCAACACAGTATCAGCAGGAGAATTCTACAAAGGGGGTTGGAGCATACTTGTTCCTTTAACCTGTTAGAAATTGCAACACAAGCAATCACCAAGGTCAATGGAGAGACGGCGGGCCTTTCAGACACACAGTAATGGGTGGGAGGACCTCACAGAGGCCCACGTCAAATTACATTGATCTGTTCACTTTCTGAATGAGGAGCTGAGTCCCACGGGTGCTCCCAGAGTGGGGTCCTCAGCTTTGCAGGCTGGGCAGCTCTAGTGTCTCAGCATGCCCAGGGGACAGCAACACTCTCGAGGACCCACTCCCACAGGAGGCTGACCCATCCTCCCTGCTGGCACATTCTCTTGCTTCTCTCTCATTAAGACTGACATAAATCTGGAAGTGTTTGGTGGTTTTATGGGTCAATATCTTTTTACACCTCTTGAGAAAGATATTTAATCGGGATAGGGTTGGCTGTTGGAGATGGAGAGGAGCTTAAGACATACATACGTATCTGGACTCATGTATGTGGTTATAGTCATGGGACAGCATTGCTTCTTCCTAAGTACCTGTTAGGACTGTGACCTATAGACAATGCTTTTTCCACAGGTATCTTGCTATGGCCTTGAGGAGGGCAATTCAGTGTAACAATGCAGAAAAAATATCATCTCTCCCTGCCCAAATGCATATACCCTTCATAACTGACAATGTTTATTGGCTTCAAATGGAGAGCAGGCGGCTCGGGATTTTGAGGAAAGGCCTCAGATTGAGGTACACATAATCAGCTCCAACTATCCCCACCCCAAACTAAGACAGAGCCCTTCCAAAACCCTTTCCCCATTCACCTCAGATTGCATGTTTTCACATTATGATACCCCCACCCCCACTGCACCACCCCACCACCACCACCACCTCCAGCCTTTCCTTGACGCCAGCAGAGGAATGCAAGTGAGGGGTTACAGTGTAATATTCTCTGGATCCTACATATCCTAGGGTAGGCCCTGAGAGAACTGGTGCCAGGATCCCACAGTGTTTGTGACGAAGGGCACAAAAAGGCTTTGCAAGGCCAACGGGCAGGGATGTAAAACATGCATGTCAATCTCTAAGAACTGAAGATAATTTTAGGCTAGTTATTATGATCACTATACCCACCAGGACCATTCTAAGGCATGGAGAATACTGGTCCTTTGAAAACCACGCTGGTGCTGGCCACTGTAATTTTGGTAGGGTTTGGCCTTCATCAGATCCTTCCCTGCTCAGGAAACCTCCATAGCTTCCTGGGCCAGCCAAATCAGGTTTGAGCCATCAAGGCTCTTCCTGGCTTCGCTCCAGGCTAGTCTAGACTTATCTCTCACCCCTACAAACAGTTTTCCCTCTGTATAAACAGGATAACTTATCCATTCTAACATCTAGGCCTTTGTTTCTTAAAACAACAACAACAACTAACCGTAGTCATATAACCCACTGAGCTCTGTCTCTCCCAGGCTTCAGGGGCGAACATCTGCTCAGTAGCTTCTGGGAATCAGCTCCGGTGAGTGCAACACTTACCCCCTTGCCCATCACTCCTTACGGATGCTGAATGTAAAGCACCTGCTGTGTGCACTGTAGAAACTGCACAGGGACAGGAGGCCAGGACAGCTTCTAGGCATGCCACAGGTGGAGTCTTTTCTCTGGCTCATCCAAGAGCCAAGAGCAGCTGCTTTCCAAAGAGTCACTTTCCACTACACGTTTACTTTATTACTATTATTTTTTAATCTCTCAGCTGTGAAGTCCACCAACTGAGGATCCTGGCTCCTGTACAGGTCCCCACCCCCAGATCATCTCTCCCCAGTCTCCCCAAATTCTAACCTTCCAGTTCCACTGAAGAACATGGAATGCTCCCGATGCCCACAATACCCTGCCTCGGGGACACACTGCACTTACTACTCCTTCAGTGCTTCAGATCTCAGATGGCATCTCACTACAAGGAAGCCTTCCTTGTTCCCAGACATCCACCACCCAGGGTTAAGTGTCTCTCCTCCGGGCTCCCATACCACCTGGTCCTTATCCTCATCCCGGCAATTAATACATCAAACTGCCACATCTGGCTGATTTACTTACATGACAGCCCCATCTAGACTCTCAGATGTGGGGCAGAGGCTGAGTCTGGTGCATTCCTCTATCTCCAGCGCCCGGCACAGTGCCTCACATATAGTAGGTAGTCAGTAAATGTATGTTGAATAAATGAGTCGATGAGCAAGGTGTCTAATTCATTGAATTTTTATTTTTCCCTACATTCTGGAGAACTAGGCAAATACAAGCAGAGAGCGGTTGTAATTTTGTGCAACAGACACTGACCGGCTTTTTATTTTATCTTTTTATATTTGGGGGAGGGGGGGAATGATTGTACTGGTAAAGTCTCTCAAACCTCCAAAGAACAGCTTATTCCAATGCTATAATAAGTTACAGGCATAAAATGATATACTCTCCCAATTTCTTTTATGAAACAGCAAATCTCTCCTGCTAAAACCGAAACAGAGAACAATAAAACATTTGACCAACGTCATTCATAGACCTAGATGTTCAACTTAAGTACTCAATCAAGTGTCTATGGAACAAAGGATTTTGAAAAAAATGCTTAGGTATGGCGTTTGTTTCAACTCTGATATAATTCTGTCATCATGTAGTTTTAACCAGTTTATTTCCTGTAAAATGATCATCATTATAAAAGAAAGTTAATTAAGGCAAACAAAACTTTGCAGTATGCAAATTGAAAGCTAAATCACTGAGAAAGACAAATAGAACTGGAACACAGATACCATGGGCGGCAGGTTCTCCCTAACCCCACTCTACCCCTCGACTCTTGAAAAGTCAGGACCCCAGCACCCACTGCTGTGGGGCCCTTTTGACTACCCACAGCAAAACAAAGTGAAGACTCAGCCCCAGCCTTCACTGCTGGCAGGAGGAGTCCCTGACACTAGCCTGAGATTGCAACCACACTGGCACTGTCCCAGGTACTGATACTTGCTCCAGCCATGGCTCTAGCCCTGGCACTGGCAACTGGCACTTGCATTGGTGCTGGTGCTGATGCTTGCTTCAGCCATGGCATAGGCCCTGGAACTGGAACTGGCACTAACACTGGCACTTGTCACGTCACCAACGGCAGCTGCCATCTCGGGCACGGGGTATCTCCTCCTCTTCTCTCAATGCCTCATTTACTGCCACGGAAAGGAACTGGGGTGGGTGTCATTCACTTTGGCCACAAACTCCGGGACTTCCATCTGTCTTGTTTCCTTTGAGAGCCCCCACAAGAATACCTAGAGCGTGGGATTGCTGTGGGACACCTATTTGTGCACCAGATACTCCTGCTGCACACTAGCTTTGGTGATGAGCTTCATGGACTCCCCAAAGACGAAATGCTTTTTAGACGAAATGTGCCTCCAACACCCTCAACACCTCCCAGACCACCTCCTCGGGGACACAGCTGGCCTGCATGAAGATCGAGTCCAGAGTAATCATCAGGAGCCGGGTCTTTGGTGTGCCCTGGTCGCCTGTCAGGCCCCAAACCAGGGCAGGATCGATTTTTCTGATCAAGACATAGGAGTGCTCTGCTGGATCAAGTTCCTTCAGATAGAACCCAAAGACTAACTCGGGGAGGTCAGAGGCTTTCTTGAAAATCTCAGGGAGGAAGCTCCTGTACCTTTTGATGACATACTTCAGCATGTCTGCCCTTTTGATCGCCACCGTCTTCCGGTTCTTAACCAGCAGGTACTGCACCAGCTCAGCTACTTTCTAGCTCACAGGGCCCCTGGGCATGCGCATCAGGGATGTCGGGGGCCGGAGGGGTACTGCGGGGGCGGGGGGCGGCGGGGGCGCGGGGCGGGGCAGACAGTTGCCTAGGGGTTTCTGGGGTCCACAAAGGAACTTTCAGAAGCACCTGAGCAGGGGCTCCATGCCTCAGAAGAAGTGCTCCCAGGGCTCCGGGGAGCACTTGGTGTCCCCGCTGCAGGCGCCCCCGTGGGGGTTTCTTGGGCAAGGAGGAGAGGAGCAGGCCACCGGGCCTCTGAGACCCGCAGGCCCTGGGTGTCACCTCTACCGCGGACGTTCTCACCTGCGGCTTTGGCTGGCCCAGGAAGCAGGAACTCTGGGAAGAGATGCGCGTCCACGGGCATTCGGCGGCCGGAGCGCTGTGTGCCAGGCCGAGAGGACAGTGACGTCGCCGCGGCTGCTGCGGCGGCTGCTAAGAAGACCCGGAGCCCCAGGGTCTTGAGTCGGAGACCGCCGCCCTCAGACCGGGAGGAGGAGGAGAAGGAGGAGGAGGAGGAGGAGGAGGAGGAGGAGCAGGAGGAGGAGGAGCAGGAGGAGGAGGAGGAGGAGGAGGAGGAGGAGGAGGAGGAGGAGGAGGAGGAAGAAGCGGGAGGGGAGGGGGCTAAGCCTCCGCCGCCCGGGTCTTCCCGGAGCTGTGGGAATGGGCGGGCGCCGCCCCGCAGTGCCTCTTCTGGCAGAAAACAGTACCGCAGGCTACAGCCTGAGGGATGCGGGGGCGCTGCTCCCAGAGGTGGGGCTGCTCATGTGAGGCTTGAAAGAGACCATAAGCCTAAAAGCCAGGCCCAGTGTAAGCGCTTAATAACTGTTACCTGTTGTTGTGATGAATCCGATCATTCTGGATTATCTTCGTATCCCTCCTTCTCTCCTGTGGAGAAGGCTCCTAAGAGCGTAGGCATTTCTGTCCAGCGGCTGCCTCTGCAGCTTCCTCTTCAGATCATCTACCTGAAGTTGCTTTGCTCAGTGCCTGGCCTAGAGTAAGCACTTAGTGAGTTTTCCTTTGCGTTCGTTTCATTATTATAGTGTACATCGCATCTACATTGCTTGCACCCTGTGTGGTCATCTAGATGTGGAGGAAGGACCCGGGAAACAAGTGACCTCCATGGAGAACTGAAGATGTGTTTCCTTTTCTTTATGATCAGTGGATCTGGGGTGCACAACATCAGTTCTCTTGCGTATTCTTTCTCTCCTACACAGTCTGGAAAGTTATTGTTAATTGTAATCTAACTTTGCAAACCACCATTCCCATAATGACATCCTCTTCTTGCCTCTCTTACTCTCATGTCACTGCGCCTCATCCTTTCTCTACAGAGCGCTCTCTCCCATTTCACCTCTCATCTGCGATTCGGGGACCTTAAATCGACTCCTGCTTTGAGGTCAGCCCCTAGGAAGCCTGCAAATAAATAGCAAGAAGACTCCTCCACCCTAGCAAGTGCATTCTCTTATTGTATCGTGGTACAACTTAGCATTCCTTTCTTTCATCCTAACCTTTCTAGACAGTAACCAGTATAGCCTCCTCACACATAACAAAACGGTCGACGTCGTCGTCGTCGTCGTTGTTGTTGTTGTTATTGCTGCTATTGAGACGGAGTCTCGCTCTTGTCACCCAGGCTGGAGTGCAGTGGTGCGATCTTGGCTCACTGCAACCTCCGCCTCCTGGGTTCAAGCTTCTCCTGCCTCAGCCTCCTGAGTAGCTGGGATTACAGGCGCCCGCCACCACGCCCGGCTAATATTTGTACTTTTAGTAGAGACGGGGTTTTGCCATGTTGGCCACGCTGGTCTTGAACTCCTGACCTCAGGCCCGCCCTCATCGGCCTCCCAAAGTGCTGGGATTACGGTCGACTTTTATACAGCAATTGTTATACCTCGAAATAACACGTACTAAATTTCCATATAATGTCCACGCTTGCACTTCAAATTTCTTCCATTGATCTAAATTCTGTTGTTGCTAATTCTGCTATAAAGATTTAGAAATTGTTTTTGTGTGAGTAGAACTAACTCCCCCCTCACTATTCTTCTTTTACAAAATTTCTTCAAAATATTTTGGAAAATGTCGTCATCTGTAAGAACTTCAAAATCAAAGTTTTCAAGTTAAAAAAAATTCCCTGGCTTGAATTTTAACTAGAATTTCTTAGGACTTATAGTTTACTATGAGAATAATTAACATCTCATTAACATGAGAAGATGGAGGGTCCTCAGCCACAAAATATAGCATGTTCTTCATGTTCTTCCATTGATTCTGCTCTTTAATCAGGGTACTTCAATCACCTTTTAGTTTGCTTTATATAGCTTTTGCATAATTCTTAAGTTTGTCCATGGCAGTCTTTTTAGTTTCATTGCTGCTATGAATTGTGTATTTCCCATTATGTCTTCTAATTACTTATTTCTGACATATAGGAAGCCTACTGGTTTTGTATACTTTGGGGCATACGGCCATCTTAATATCCCCTCTCCTTAATTAGAATGCTTTTTCAGTGGATTCTCGCGCGTTTTCTAGGTAGGCAATCACAGTCTCTGCATATTATTAATACAGTATTCATTTTCCCTTTTCTTATTACATTGACTAGGACCGTGGTACCCTGTTAGCTAATAGCGGTGATGTGAAACTTTTTTGTTGTCCTTGTTCCCACTCTTAACGGGAAGGACTCCGTTCATTTGGGGCTAAATATGTTGTTGGTTTTGGATACCGATTGTGACATTTATCAACGTGTTGTCTGTCAGGTCCAAGTTACTCCTTCTTTGCCCTGCTTTGTCACACTAGAGATGATCCTTGTGAGTCTTTCTCCTATGCCAGCTAACAGAATGTTAGGCTCTGGCCATAGAGAGCACTGGGGGTGACCCTACGAATCCCAGCAGGAAAATTCGTCCCTCCTGCTAGTAGCAGTCTCCCGTTTGATGATATTCACTGAAGGAGGTCAGAGACCAGTGCAGACAAGCTCCAGCTGCACCTCCAGACCATGATTTCCCCACTATCAGTTGCCTCTGAGCAGCTCCAGCCTTCCCATGCACCACCACCACCCACCACCTTCCTGCCTTGGTGGTCTCTTCTACAGACCAGCAAAGGCCCACACTCTCTGGTAAGTTTCGACACCACTGGCAGGCTGCAAGTTCTTTTGGCAGCTACATCCTCTTCAAAGAGGTCTGATTCTCAGCTCGGGAGGAACGGTGAACTCTCCTACTCCTTTATTGCCTGCTATTCCTCATCCTAGAGGTAGTAGCTGCTCTTTTGCAACTGCTACTCCTGGACCCCTTAAAGTTCTCTTTTGTGCCTTTTAGGAGGTAACCCCCTTCTACCACTTAGCCATGTTTTCTACTCACTGTGCTCTGTCCAAATAACCTGCACGGTTTCCGTCTCCTGGTTGGGCCCCGACTCACATACCACTTATCAACCTGGAGATGTTTCCCTCTAAACCAAACTTTCTAGCAGGCTTTCTTTTCTTCTTCACCTTCGCCGCCGACTCCTCCTCCTCCTCCTTCATCTTCTTCCTCTTCTTCTTCTTGTTTGCAAATGTACTTTAAATTTCATCAAACGTCTTGTCATTATCGATCAAATTATTCACATGGTTTTGCTTCCATAAGGGCTTTTTATATTTAAAGAAGCCTGGAAAAATGCAGACAACACAAACAAGAGATATGCATTAGAAATCATTGCAATGAGCAGGGCACAGTGGCTCTCGCCTGTAATCCCAGCACTTTGGGAGGCCGAGGCACGCGGATCACGAGTTCAGGAGATCAAGACCATCCTGGCCAACGTGGTGAAACCCCGTCTCTACTAAAGATACAAAAATTAGCTGGGCGTGGTAGCGTGTGCCCGTAGTCCCAGCTACTCGGGAGGCTGAGGCAGGAGGATCGCTTGAACCTGGGAGGCAGAGGTTGCAGTGAGCTGAGATCGTGCCGCTGCACACTCCAGCCTGGTGACAGAGAGAGATTCTGTCTCAAAAAAAAAAAAAGAAAGAAAGAAAGAAAAGAAAAAAGAAATCATTGCAACACACAGTAGTGGGAATCATACAGATTTCTTTAAAACTGTCCTTGGTGAGTCTTTGGCTGCAGACTCTCATTAAGATACTGTAAGTACTATAGAATCCTCTCTACATTGCCCGCTGAACCCAACTGCTGGCCATGTGGAGGGTTTTAGCCTGTGAGGTGAAGGAGAGCTCTGTTCCCTGGAACGCTCCCCACTGTAGTATTTGTTCACAACTGTTCTCTGTTCTCCCCACGACAAAGTCACCCAACCTCCTCAAAAAGCTATCCAATCCACTACTCTGTCCACAGACAGACCTGAGAGGGCCTCTGCAGGCCAAGGAAAGGGGAAAAGCCAAGGCCAAAATGCTTTACACTTTTGAAGAGGGGCCACCAGAGGATGACCCAAGCTGAGAGCAGTGTGCTTGCTAGGCATACTCAGGCTGAGTGACGCATTCAAGCTTCCTTCTCCTCATGCTCTCTCTCTGCTTCTCTCTGCAGCAGCATAGGCCTATGCCCTGCCTCCCTTTACCGCCCCACACACTGCTCACACTGGCCCGCTCTAAAAAAGTAAAGAAAAGGTAGAAAACGGGCAAAACTTATGGACCTACTCCCCAGAGTCAGAAATTCAGATGGCCAACAAACCTGCATGTTGTGCACATGTACCCCAGAACTTATAGTATAATAATAAAAAAAAAAAAAACAAAATCTTCAGGCCGGGCACAGTGGCTCACAACTGTAATCCCAGCACTTTGGGAGGCTGAGGAGGGCAGATCTCTTGGGGTCAGGAGTTCGAGACCAGCCTGGCCAACAGGGTGAAACCCTGCCTTGACTGAAAATACAAAAATTAGTCAGGCGTGGTGGTGCGCGCCTGTAATCCCAGCCACTCAGGGGGCTGAGGCAGGGGAATCGAAAAAAAAAAAAAAATTCTTTGATCCCACCAACAATCAGGGAAATACTCATAAAACGACAAAGAGATACAATTATTTACCCAACATACAGCAAATCCATTTTTAAGTAGATTCATATCAAATATGGCAAAACACAATTGTAAAGACTGTCAATCAGCTGTAAAATTTTAAATGCGTATACACTCAACAACAAAAATTCACTTATAGGTATTCATCCTTCATATTGGTACCAAATAAAATAATGGACTCCCAGTTAAGCTTGAATTTCAGATCCACAGCAAATACTTTTTTAGTGTAAGTGTGTCCTGTATGCAATATTTGAGGCATTCTTACACTAAAACACTTACTAAATGCTAAGAAATTCAAATGTAACTGGGTTTCCTGTACTTTTATTTGCTAACTCTGGCAACCCTAATCCTAGAGAACCACCCAATCCTATGCACAAGGAGATGTGTGCAAGAATTGTCATTGCTGTCTTGTATATAATGGTTACCAAAATTGAAAATAACAGAAATATTCATCAATAAGAGAATGCTTTTAAAAACTACACTGTGACTAACTACCATGTGTAAGTTGAAAGATTAAGGAAGATTTACAGGTATGACGTGAAAAAACATCTATTCTTGAGTTTTAAAATGTTGAGGAACAATATATAGGATTGTCATCATTTAGTCAGACAAAGCAAAACTCAATCATACATTTCTGTGGGTAAAAATACACTAGTGTAAAAGCATAGAACAGGTCTAAAAGGATACGCATCAACCTTTTAAGTGTGGTCACCTTTGCTACGCTTATTTTTTTTTTTTTTGTCTTTTGTTTTTTGTTTTTTGTTTTTTTCCTTTTTCTGGAGAATGGGGTCTCGCTATATTGCCCAGGCAGGTCTCGAACTCCTGGGCTCAAGCTATCCTCCCGCCTCTTGCCTCCCTGAGAGCTGGGATTACAGGCGTGAGCCACCGCGCCCGGCCTAAGAGTGGTCACCTTTGGAGTGGGGCTTTCTATTTGGGGGGTTGGAAGTACGTACTTTCTATCAAATGTCCATCATTGCAACACTGACTTGCAGTGCCAACAAATGTTAAACTTATCAAATTCCCTACATGCAAAGGTCTGTCTCTGGGTTTTGTGTTCTTTTCTGTTGACCTATTTATCTCAAGAGCCAGCACAACACTGTTCTAATTAGGATATCTTTATCATACACATAATTTACATCATGGCAAGTTCCCCTCTGAGTTCTTACTATTCAGAAATGCGTAAGATTAGCTGCATGTCCTATTCTGTTCCGTCCATAAGAAAATTCTCAACTGGCAAGTTCAGTTTGACCCTGGTCAGGAAACAAGGGTCACCCATATAGTTCCATCCCAGCTCTGTTCATTGAAGCTTCCAAATAGATCTCAGGCTGTTGGGCTATGGGTTGTTCATATATGGCCTAATAACACAGCGTGAGTAAGTCTTAATGCAAAATAATTACAGTAAATGTAATTGTGAATCTGCTACATTCACCAATTAAAAGAGACCCTCAGGTTGGATTTTTAAAATGAGAACCAAGAAACACGTTTACATCAAAAAAATAAAAAATAAAAATAAAAAACAGAAAGATTGAGAACAAAAGTGTGGAAAACAATATAAAACAAAAAGAAAGTTGGGGTAGCAATTTTTTTTTTGTTTTATTCCTTTTCTTATACTGGCAGCACTTTAAATTGGGAGCATAAATTACATGCACAAAAATGCACAAATCCAAATGGTTAAGTATAGAGATGGCTGATTTTTGTCCAATGCATTCACTTTGGTAACTGTCACACAGATCAGAATAGAGACGACTTCAATCGCCCCAGAAAGTTCCCTTGCGTTGCTTCGCAGTCAGTCAGTATCCACCCATCCCTCCAGCGGCAACCCCTTTTCTGATTTCTATCACCGCAGATTAATTTTGCCTCTTCCGCAACTTTATAGAAACTGAGCCACAGTGCTCATTTTTTTCAGGCTTCTTTTGCTCAACTTAACGTTTTTTGAGATTCATCCTTGTTGTTGTGTGCATTGACAGTCTGTTAGTTTTTATTGCTGAGTAGTATTCCATTGTACGAGTACATCACAGTGTGTTTATTCTCCTATTGACGGTGGTACAGCCCGATGACCTGGCTAGCTGCCAGGTCTGCTGCTCCCCTCCTTTTAAAGGTATCAGTGTCAACACACTCCACACCAGAGCCAGCAATTATCTCAAGTATTTCAAAGGTGTATTAGTCACCCGGGGGTAGTTAAAGTGAGGGGCGTCCCCGAGGAAGGGAGAGGGAGGTGTGGGGGAGGGAGTGGAGCACCTGGAAATATATACAGGATAAGGAGCCCCCCTGTAGGAGTTTTTAATAGTGTCGGGGGAGGGGGAATGGACCAATTTCTGACAGCCCACAGAGTGCAGGGGCGGCTGAGGAGTGAGTGGAGTGAGGAAGAGCAGTGTTAGCAATGTGCAGGCGAGATTTCTAAGAGTGAGCTTAGCAGGCGGGAGTTATCTAGGAGACTGGCACATGCCACTCTCAGGTTTACCTGGAGGTTCCTTTATTATGTGGGGTATTATGTCTGCTTATGCTGTGTGGGCATAGGCAAACAAATAGGAGCACATGCATTTGGATAGGTGCCTGACCTGCAATCATGGGCCTGGGACCAGACCTGATACATCAGCATCCCCTTGATCTGGACCTGGACAGCATAGAGGGAAACCCACGGCCTTAAAACGATAACGTTTGCTATGGATGGCTTTATGGGTTTGTTTCATGAGCTTTGGGTCAGCAAATAAGAGGGGGGGGTCTGTTCCTGGGGGCAGGAAGCAGGCCTGGCATTGTGTGAGGTCCAGCCTTTGGGATGTAACTTCAGCTATGTATACACACAGATTATCACAGGGGGTAGGTAGCCTCAAGCAGTAGCCTTGCCTCAGGAGGCACACGGGGACAAGGTTTTAGCCTTAGTGGAAATGGGCTTTGTTCTCCTAGGGTGGGTATGGAAACTCTAGTGAGGCTGGTCTTAAAAGTGTGGTTTTATGCACACAATGAGGAGGATGGGGAAGGAGAGGGTTATAACCCAGGAGTCTAGAAGGTGGTGGTTGTTTGGACTGTGGTCATCCTTTGAGATACTTTGGTTGGCTGGGCTGTAGTCATCATCCAGGATGTGGCGATGGCCTCCCAGGGCCAGTATGACTCTTGAGCCAAATCCAGGACTTGGAGGCACAGGTCAAGGTCAGAAAGTCTATCATCATAACTACGCTAAAGGTAGCTCCAGGGAGCACAACCAGTGTAGGACCACATTATTTTTTATTCATCCTGATGGCTGGTCTGGATACTGTTCATATGCCTAGTCAATGGTTTTGCAGAGGACTAGTTGTACACTACGGATAGAGATGACACTGTGGGTGCAATACTGCCTTGGTAGCCTGGCATTGAGTAGGGGAAACTGTGTCCCAGATCCAAGCCACCAGCCATATCAGGCATAGCTAGGCCAGTGATAGCCATCGTTCTCTCCTTTCTGCAAGATCTACATGGTGGTAGGCATGGGTCTATAGGCCAACACTTTTATTTCCTGTTGGGAAGGGCCTGTAATTAGCTAACCTTTAAATCCATCATAACTGTGGAAAGCCTTAGAAAGTGGTAGTGCCTGCTTTCCAGAAAAAGTAGAAAAGTCATGTTGGATATTTCACTGTTCCATCTATGGCCAGAGGATCCCAGTGTATTATCCTGCCTTGGGTCCAGGTGTCAACTCTTTGTGGATTGCATTTGGGTAAAAAAAAAAAAAAAAAAGGACACAGAAATGCAGTATGGAGGTTGTGCTCAGGAAATGGGAATCAGAGTTGGGAATCCATGACTTGGAGTCCAAATATATTCATATATTTGTGGGGATTGACAAATTTCACCCATATGGAAAGTATTACTGGGGTCCATTTGGCTCCAATAATTAACACAACCGTGTTTAGTTTGACCCATCCTGTTGTCCTTTGAGTCAGGGCATCAGTGCAAATGATCAGGCTGGCGAATTTGATGGGTGCTATGACCATGGTAAAAATCACACAGAATAATGGTCTCAATGGTGAGGGCTGGCAGGGGGTGGCATACCCTTGCTTCTATAGCCTATAATCCACCTTGGTGAAAAAGAATCCTCTGCTTGAATTTGGAAGGATCCCCAGGAATCCAAGTGACCAGAGAACCTGTGTTGAGTAAGGCCAGAAAGTGTTGAGTATTATGAGGGAACCAATGGACCACCAGGGTTGTATATGGCCATATGACCCTGGAGGGTGGCACCAAAGATGGCCAAGTCTCTATTATATGGAGCTATCGATTCCATTGACAAAGATTGGGGAAAGTAGAGAGGCCATTTAGTGGGAGAGCCATAGAAAATCAATGGCCCAGCATTTGACCCAGAAAAGGATACTTGTGGGCCATTTAAATGGCCCATTATTAGACGTCCTATAGTTCATTTTCATTTTATTTCCATACGGTTTTCAGGAAAAGGTGGTGTTTGGTTACCTAGGTTCTTTAGTGGTGACTTGTGAGATTTTGGTGCACCCATCACCCAAGCAGTATACACTGTACCCAATTTGTGGTCTTTCATCCCTCACCCCCTCCCAACCTTTTCCCCCAAGTCCCCAAAGTCCACCGTATCATTCTTATGCCTTTGCATCCTCATAGCTTAGCAACCATTTATGAGCGACAACATACAATGTTTGGTTTTCCATTCCTGAGTTACTTCACTTAGAGTAATGGTCTCCGATTCCATCCAGATTGCTGCAAATGCCACTATGTCATTCCTTTTTACAGCTGAGTGGTATTCCATGGTATATATACACACCACAATTTTTTTACCCACTCACTGATTGATGGGCATTTGGGCTGGTTCCATATTTTTGCAATTGCAAAATTTGCTGCTATAAACATGCAAGTGCAAGTATCTTTTTCATATAATGACTTCTTTTCCTCTGGGTAGATACCTAGTAGTGGGATTGCTGGATCAAATGGTAGTTCTACTTTTAGTTCTTTAAGGGATCTCCACACTTCTCTTTTCCACGGTTTGTACTAGTTGCGCACTAGTGCTTTGTACTTGCTTACATTCCCACCAGCAGTGTAAGAGTGTTTCCTTTTCACCACATCCCCGCCAACATCTATTATTTTTTGATTATGGTCATTCTTGCAGGAGTAAGGTGGTATCACATTGTGGTTTTGATTTGCATTTCCCTGATCATTAGTGATGTTGAGCATTTTTCATATGTTTGCTGGCCATTTGTATATCTTCTTTGAGAATTGTCTATTCATGTCCTTTGCCCATTTTTTCATGGGATTGTTTGTCTTTTTCTTGATAATTTGTTTCAGTTCCTTGTAGATTCTGGATATTAGTCCTCTTTCGGATGTATAGATTGTGAAGACTTTTTCCCACTCTGTGACTTGCCTGTTTATGCTGCTGTCCATTCCTTTTGCTGTGCAGAAACTTTTTAGTTTAATTAAGTCCCACCTATTTATCATTGTTTTTGTTGCATTTGCTTTTGAGTTCTTGGTCATGAAGTCTTTGCCTAAGCCAATGTCTAGAAGGGTTTTTCCGATGTTATCTTCTAGAATTTTCATAGTTTCAGGTCTTAGATTTAAGTCCTTGATCCACCTTGAGTTGATTTTTGTATAAGGTGAGAGATGAGGATCCAGTTTCATTCTTCTACATGTGGCTTGTCAATTATCTCGGCACCCTTTGTTGAATAGGGTGTCCTTTCCCCACTTCAAGTTTTTGTTTGCTTTGTCAAAGATCAGTTAGGTGTCAGTATGTGGCTTTATTTCTGGGTTCTATATTCTGATCCATTGGTCTGTGTGCCTATTTCTATACCAGTACCATGCTGTTTTGGTGACTATGGCCTTGTAGTATGGTTTGAAGTCCGGCAATGTGATGCCTCCAGATTTGTTCTTTTTGCTTAGTCTTGCTTTGGCTATGCGGGCTCTTTTTTGGTTCCATATGAATCTTAGGATTGTCTTTTCTAGTTCTGTGAAGAATGATGGTGGTATTCTGATGGAAATTGCATGGAATTTGTAGATTGCTTTTGGCAGTGTGGTCATTTTCACAATATTGATTCTACCCATCCATGAGCATGGGATGTGTTTCCATTTGTTGGTGTCATCTATGATTTCTTTCAGCAGTGTTTTGTAGTTTTCCTTGTAAAGGTCTTTCACCTCCTTGGTTAGGTATAGTCCAAGTATTTTATTTTATTTTATTTTATTTTATTTTATTTTATTTTATTTTATTTTATTTTTTCAGCTATTGTAAAAGGAGTTGAGTTCTTGATTTGATTCTCAGCTTGGTTGCTGTTGGTGTATAGCAGAGCTACTGATTTTTGTACATTAATTTTGTATCCTGAAAGTTTGCTGAATTTGTGTATCAGTTCCAGAAGCTTTTTTGGAGGAGTCTTTAGGGTTTTCCAGATATACGATCATATCATCAACAAACAGTGACAGTTTGACTCCCTCTTTACTGATTTTGATGCCCTTTATTTATTTCTCTTGTCTGATTGCTCTGGCTAGGACTTCCAGTTCTATGTTGAATAGAAGTGGTGAGAGTGTAGATGACCTATAGTTCTGAAACAGTTTTCCCTGCTACTAAGTGGTCGAGGAAACCTAAATCTCAGTTTCTAGTGTCAGAGAGCCTGTTTGAGATCTTGGCGAATTGGGTGTCAGGGATCCTTATTGTCACCTATGGGCCTCTTTCATTTAAAGGCTTTATTTTGTGTTTGAATTTGGTAGACAATGGCACCTCCCCAAACTATTCAAAAAAATTAAAGAGGAGCGAATTCTCCCTAACCCATTCTATGAGGCTAGCATTACCCTGATACCCCAACCAGACAAGGACACAACAAAAAAAGAAAACTACTGGCCGATATCCCTGATGAACTTAGATGCAAAAATCCTCAGCAAAATACTGGCAAGCCAAATCCAACAGCACATCAAAAAGAAAATACACCATGATCAAGTGTGATTTATTCCAGTGATGTAAGGATGGTTCAACATACAGAAATCAATAAACATGATACATCACATCAACAGAATAAAGGACAGAAACCATGTGATCATCTCAATAGACACAGAAAAAAA